>NC_000021.9:12283222-12599515 GCF_000001405.40 Homo sapiens
AGAATTCTCAGAAACTTGTTTGTGATGTGTGTCCTCAACTGACAGAGTTGTACCTTTCTATTGATAGAGTAGTTTTGAAACACTCTTTTTGTGGAATCTGCAAGTGAATATTTGGATAGCTTGGAGGATTTCGTTGGAAGCGGGAATTGAAATGAAAGGTAGACAGCAGCATTCTCAGAAATTACTTTCTGATGTCTGCATTCAACTCATAGAGTTGAAGATTCCCTTTCATAGAGCAGGTTTGAAACACTCTTTCTGTAGTATCTGGATGTGGACACTTGGAGCGCTTTGATACCTACGGTGAAAAAGTAAATATCTTCCCATAAAAACTAGACAGAAGGATTCTCAGAAACAAGTTTGTGATGTGTGTACTCAGCTAACAGAGTGGAACCTTTCTTTTTACAGAGCAGCTTTGAAACTCTATTGTTGTGGATTCTGCAAATTGATATTTAGATTGCTTTAACGATATCGTTGGAAAAGGGAATACCGTCATAGAAAATCTAGACAGAAGCATTCTCACAAACTTCTTTGTGATGTGTGTCCTCAACTAACAGAGTTGAACCTTTCTTTTGATGCAGCAATTTGGAAACACCCTTTTGGTAGAAACTGTAACTGGATATTTGGATAGCTCTAACGATTTCGTGGGAAACGGGAATATCATCATCTAAAATGTAGACAGAAGCACTATTAGAAACTACTTGGTGATATCTGCATTCAAGTCACAGAGTAGAACATTCCCTTACTTCGAGCACGTTTGAAACACTCTTTTGGAAGAATCTGGAAGTGGACATTTGGAGCGCTTTGATGCCTTTGGTGAAAAGGAAACGTCTTCCAATAAAAGCCAGACAGAAGCATTCTCAGAAACTTGTTGGTGATGTGTGTACTCAACTAAAAGAGTTGAACCTTTCTATTGATAGAGCAGTTTTGAAACACTCTTTTTGTGGATTCTGCAAGTGGATATTTGGATTGCTTTGAGGATTTCGTTGGAAGCGGGAATTCGTATAAACACTAGACAGCAGCATTCCCAGAATTTTCTTTCGGATATTTCCATTCAACTCATAGAGTTGAACATGGCCTTTCATAGAGCAGGTTTGAAACACTCTTTTTGTAGTTTGTGGAAGTGGACATTTCGATCGCCTTGACGCCTACGCTGAAAAAGGAAATATCTTCCCATAAAAAATAGACAGAAGCATTCTGAGAAACTTGTTGGTGATATGTGTCCTCAACTAACAGAGTTGAACTTTGCCATTGATACAGAGCAGTTTTGAAACACTCTTTTTGTGGAATCTGCAAGTGGATATTTGGATAGCTTGGAGGATTTCGTTGGAAGCGGGAATTCAAATAAAAGGTAGACAGCAGCATTCTCAGAAATTTCTTTCTGATGTCTGCATTCAACTCATAGAGTTGAAGATTCCCTTTCATAGAGCAGGTTTGAAACACTCTTTCTGGAGTATCTGGATGTGGACATTTGGAGCGCTTTGATTCCTACGGTGAAAAAGTAAATATCTTCCCATAAAAACGAGACAGAAGGATTCTCAGAATCAAGTTTGTGATGTGTGTACTCAGCTAACAGAGTGGAACCTCTCTTTTGATGCAGCAGTTTGGAAACACTCTTTTTGTAGAAACTGTAAGTGGATATTTAGATAGCTCTAATGATTTCGTTGGAAACGGGAATATCATCATCTAAAATCTAGACAGAAGCCCTCTCAGAAACTACTTTGTGATATCTGCATTCAAGTCAGAGAGTTGAACATTCGCTTTCTTAGAGCACGTTTGAAACACTCTTTTTGTAGTATCTGGAAGTGGACATTTGGAGCGCTTTGATGCCTTTGGTGAAAAAGGGAACGTCTTCCCATAAAAACTAGACAGAAGCATTCTCAGAAACTTGTTTGTGATGTGTCTACCCAGCTAAAGGAGTTGAACATTTCTATTGATAGAGCAGTTTTGAAACACTCTTTTTGTGGAAAATGCAGGTGGATATTTGGATAGCTTGGAGGATTTCGTTGGAAGCGGGAATTCAAATAAAAAGTAGACAGCAGCATTCTCAGAAATTTCTTTCTGATGTCTGCATTCAACTCATAGAGTTGAAGATTCCCTTTCATAGAGCAGGTTTGAAACACTCTTTCTGGAGTATCTGGATGTGGACAATTGGAGCGCTTTGATGCCTACGGTGGAAAAGTAAATATCTTCTGATAAAAACGAGACAGAAGGATTCTCAGAAACAAGTTTGTGATGTGTGTACTCAGCTAACAGAGTGGAACCTTTCTTTTTACAGAGCAGCTTTGAAACTCTATTTTTGTGGATTCTGCAAATTGATATTTAGATTGCTTTAACGATATCGTTGGAAAAGGGAATATCGTCATACAAACTCTAGACAGAAGCATTCTCACAAACTTCTTTGTGATGTGTGTCCTCAACTAACAGAGTTGAACCTTTCTTTTGATGCAGCAATTTGGAAACACCCTTTTGGTAGAAACTGTAACTGGATATTTGGATAGCTCTAACGATTTCCTTGGAAACGGGAATATCATCATCTAAAATCTAGACAGAAGCACTATTAGAAACTACTTGGTGATATCTGCATTCAAGTCACAGAGTTGAACATACCCTTACTTTGAGCACGTTTGAAACACTCTTTTGGAAGAATCTGGAAGTGGACATTTGGAGCGCTTTGATGCCTTTGGTGAAAAGGAAACGTCTTCCAATAAAAGCCAGACAGAAGCATTCTCAGAAACTTGTTTGTGATGTGTGTACTCAACTAAAAGAGTTGAACCTTTCTATTGATAGAGCAGTTTTGAAACACTCTTTTTGTGGATTCTGCAAGTGGATATTTGGATTGCTTTGAGGATTTCGTTGGAAGCGGGAATTCATATAAAAACTAGACAGCAGCATTCCCAGAAATTTCTTTCGGATATTTCCATTCAACTCATTGAGATGAACATCGCGTTTCATAGAGCAGGTTTGAAACACTCTTTTTGTAGTTTGTGGAAGTGGACATTTCGATCGCCTTGACGCCTACAGTGAAAAAGGAAATATCTTCCCATAAAAAATAGACAGAAGAACTCTCAGAAACTTGTTTGTGATGTGTATCCTCAACTGACAGAGTTGAACCTTGCCATTGATAGAGCAGTTTAGAAACACTGTTTTTGTGGAATCTGCAAGTGGATATTTGGATAGCCTGGAGGATTTTGTTGGAAGCGGGAATTCAAATGAAAGGTAGACAGCAGCATTCTCAGAAATTTCTTTCTGATGTCTGCATTCAACTCATAGAGTTGAAGATTCCCTTTCATAGAGCAGGTTTGAAACACTCTTTGTGGAGTATCTGGATGTGGACATATGGAGCGCTTTGATGCCTACGGTGAAAAGGTAAATATCTTCCCATAAAAACGAGACAGAAGGATTCTCAGAAACAAGTTTGTGATGTGCGTACTCAGCTAACAGAGTGGAACCTCTCTTCTGATGCAGCAGTTTGGAAACACTCTGTTTGTAGAAACTGTAAGTGGATATTTGGATAGCTCTAATGATTTCGTTGGAAACGGGAATATCATCATCTAAAATCTAGACAGAAGCAGTCTCAGAATCTACTTTGTGATATCTGCATTCCAGTCACAGAGTTGAAAACTCCCTTACTTAGAGCAGGTTTGAAACACTCTTTTTGTAGAATCTGGAAGTGGACATTTGGAGCGCTTTGATGCCTTTGGTGAAAAAGGAAATGTCTTCCCTTAAAAAGTAGACAGAAGCATTCTCAGAAACTTGTTTGTGATGTGTATACCTAGCTAAAGGAGTTGAACATTTCTATTGATAGAGCAGTTTTGAAACACTCTTTTTGTGGAAAATGCAGGTGGATATTTGGATAGGTTGGAAGATTTCGTTGGAAGCGGGAATTCAAATAAATGGTAGACAGCAGCATTCTCAGAAATTAGTTTCTGATGTCTGCATTCAACTCATAGAGTTGAAGATTCCCTTTCATAGAGCAGGTTTGAAACACTCTTTCTGGAATATCTGGATGTGGACATTTGGAGCGCTTTGATGCCTACGGTGAAAAAGTAAATATCTTCCCATAAAAACGAGACAGAAGGATACTCAGAAACAAGTTTGTGATGTGTGTACTCAGCTAACAGAGTGGAACCTTTCTTTTTACAGAGCAGCTTTGAAACTCTATTTTTGTGGATTCTGCAAATTGATATTTAGATTGCTTTAACGATATCGTTGGAAAAGGGAATATTGTCATACAAAATCTAGAGAGAAGCATTCTCACAAACTTCTTTGTGATGTGTGTCCTCAACTAACACAGTTGAACTTTTCTTTTGATGCAGCAGTTTGGAAACACTGTTTTTGTAGAAACTGTAAGTGGATATTTGGATAGCTCTAACGATTTCGTTGGAAACGGGAATATCATCATCTAAAATCTAGACAGAAGCACTATTAGAAACTACTTGGTGATATCTGCATTCAAGTCACAGAGTTGAACATTCCCTTACTTTGAACACGTTTGAAACACTCTTTTGGAAGAATCTGGAAGTGGACATTTGGAGCGCTTTGATGCCTTTGGTGAAAAGGAAACGTCTTCCAATAAAAGCCAGACAGAAGCATTCTCAGAAACTTGTTCGTGATGTGTGTACTCAACTAAAAGAGTTGAACCTTTCTATTGATAGAGCAGTTTTGAAACACTCTTTTTGTGGATTCTGCAAGTGGATATTTGGATTGCTTTGAGGATTTCGTTGGAAGCGGGAATTCGTATAAACACTAGACAGCAGCATTCCCAGAAATTTCTTTCGGATATTTCCATTCAACTCATAGAGATGAATATGGCCTTTCATAGAGCAGGTTTGAAACACTCTTTTTGTAGTTTGTGGAAGTGGACATTTCGATCGCCTTGACGCCTACGGTGAAAAAGGAAATATCTTCCCATAAAAAATAGACAGAAGAATTCTCAGAAACTTGTTTGTGATGTGTATCCTCAACTGACAGAGTTGAACCTTGCCATTGATAGAGCAGTTTAGAAACACACTTTTTGTGGAATCTGCAAGTGGATATTTGGATAGCCTGGAGGATTTCGTTGGAAGCGGGAATTCAAATGAAAGGTAGACAGCAGCATTCTCAGAAATTTCTTTGTGATGTTTGCATTCAACTCATAGAGTTGAACATTCCCTTTCATAGAGCAGGTTTGAAACACTCTTTCTGTACTATGTGGATGTGGACATTTGGAACGCTTTGATGCCTATGGTGAAAAAGTAAATATCTTCCCATAAAAGCTAGACAGAAGGATTCTCAGAAACAAGTTTGTGATGTGTGTACTCAGCTAACAGAGTGGAACCTCTCTTTTGATGCAGCAGTTTGGAAACACTCTTTTTGTAGAAACTGTAAGTGGATATTTGGATAGCTCTAATGATTTCGTTGGAAACGGGAATATCATCATCTAAAATCTAGACAGAAGCCCTCTCAGAAACTACTTTGTGATATCTGCATTCAAGTCACAGGGTTGATCATTCGCTTTCTTAGAGCACGTTTGAAACACTCTTTTTGTAGTGTATGGAAGTGGACATTTGGAGCGCTTTGATGCCTTTGGTGAAAAAGGGAACGTCTTCCCATAAAAACTAGACAGAAGCATTCTCAGAAACTTGTTTGTGATGTGTGTACCCAGCCAAAGGAGTTGAACACTTCTATTGATAGAGCAGTTTTGAAACACTCTTGTTGTGGAAAATGCAGGTGGATATTTGGATAGCTTGGAGGATTTCGTTGGAAGCGGGAATTCAAATAAAAGGTAGACAGCAGGATTCTGAGAAACAAGTTTGTGATGTGTGTACTCAGCTAACAGAGTGGAACCTCTCTTTTGATGCAGCAGTTTGGAAACACTCTTTTTGTAGAAACTGTAACTGGATATTTGGATAGCTCTAATGATTTCGTTGGAAACGGGAATATCATCATCTAAAATCTAGACAGAAGCCCTCTCAGAAACTACTTTTTGATATCTGCATTCAAGTCACAGAGTTGAACATTCGCTTTCTTAGAGCACGTTTGAAACACTCTTTTTGTAGTGTCTGGAAGTGGACATTTGGAGCGCTTTGATGCCTTTGGTGAAAAAGGGAATGTCTTCCCATAAAAACTAGACAGAAGCATTCTCAGAAACTTGTTTGTGATGTGTGTACCCAGCCAAAGGAGTTGAACATTTCTATTGATAGAGCAGTTTTGAAACACTCTTGTTGTGGAAAATGCAAGTGGATATTTGGATAGCTTCGAGGATTTCGTTGGAAGCGGGAATTCAAATAAAAGGTAGACAGCAGCATTCTCAGAAATTTCTTTCTGATGTCTGCATTCAACTCATAGAGTTGAAGATTCCCTTTCATAGAGCAAGTTTGAAACACTCTTTCTGGAGTATCTGGATGTGGACATTTGGAGCGCTTTGATGCCTACGGTGAGAAAGTAAATATCTTCCCATAAAAACGAGACAGAAGGATTCTCAGAAACAAGTTTGTGATGCGTGTACTCAGCTAACAGAGTGGAACCTTTCTTTTTACACAGCAGCTTGGAAACTCTATTTTTGTGGATTCTGCAAATTGATATTTAGATTGCTTTAACGATATCGTTGGAAAAGGGAATATCGTCATACAAAATCTAGACAGAAGCATTCTCACAAACATCTTTGTGATGTGTGTCCTCAACTAACAGAGTTGAACCTTTCTTTTGATGCAGCAGTTTGGAAACACCCTTTTGGTTGAAACTGTAACTGGATATTTGGATAGCTCTAACGATTTCGTTGGAAACGGGAATATCATCATCTAAAATCTAGACAGAAGCACTATTAGAAACTACTTGGTGATATCTGCATTCAAGTCACAGAGTTGAACATTCCCTTACTTTGAGCACGTTTCAAACACTCTTTTGGAAGAATCTGGAAGTGGACATTTGGAGCGCTTTGATGCCTTTGGTGAAAAGGAAATGTCTTCCAATAAAAGCCAGACAGAAGCATTCTCAGAAACTTGTTTGTGATGTGTGTACTCAACTAAAAGAGTTGAACCTTTGTATTGATAGAGCAGTTTTGAAACTCTCTTATGTGGATTCTGCAAGTGGATATTTGGATTGCTTTGTGGATTTCGTTGGAAGCGGGAATTCGTATAAAAACTAGACAGCAGCATTCCCAGAAATTTCTTTCGGATATTTCCATTCAACTCATAGAGATGAACATTGCCTTTCATAGAGCAGGTTTGAAACACTCTTTTTGTAGTTTGTGGAAGTGGACATTTCGATCGCCTTGATGCCTACGGTGAAAAAGGAAATATCTTCCCATAAAAAATAGACAGAAGAATTCTCAGAAACTTGTTTGTGATGTGTATCCTCAACTGACAGAGTTGAACCTTTCCATTGATAGAGCAGTTTTGAAACACGCTTTTTGTGGAATCTGCGAGTGGATATTTGGATAGCCTGGGGGATTTCATTGGAAGCGGGAATTCAAATAAAAGGTAGACAGCAGCATTCTCAGAAATTTCTTTCTGATGTCTGCATTCAACTCATAGAGTTGAAGATTCCCTTTCATAGAGCAGGTTTGAAACACTCTTTCTGGAGTATCTGGATGTGGACATTTGGAGCGCTTTGATGCCTACGGTGAAAAAGTAAATATCTTCCCATAAAAACGACACAGAAGGATTCTGAGAAACAAGTTTGTGATGTGTGTACTCAGCTAACAGAGTGGAACCTCTCTTTTGATGCAGCAGTTTCGAAACACTCTTTTTGTAGAAACTGTAAGTGGATATTTGGATAGCTCTAATGATTTCGTTGGAAACGGGAATATCATCATCTAAAATCTAGACAGAAGCCCTCTCAGAAACTACTTTGTGATATCTGCATTCAAGTCACAGAGTTGAACATTCGTTTTCTTAGAGCACGTTTGAAACACTCTTTTTATAGTGTCTGGAAGTGGACATTTGGAGCGCTTTGATGCCTTTGGTGAAAAAGGGAACGTCTTCCCATAAAAACTAGACAGATAAGCATTCTCAGCAAACTTGTTTGTGATGTGTGTACCCAGCTAAAGGAGTTGAACATTTCCATTGATAGAGCAGTTTTGAAACACTCTTTTTGTGGAAAATGCAAGTGGATATTTGGATAGCTTGGAGGATTTCGTTGGAAGCGGGAATTCAAATAAAAGGTAGACAGGAGCATTCTCAGAAATTTCTTTGTGATGTTTGCATTCAACTCATAGAGTTGAACATTCCCTTTAATAGAGCAGGTTTGAAACACTCTTTCTGTACTATGTGGATGTGGACATTTGGAGCGCTTTGACGCCTACGGTGAAAAAGGAAATGTCTTCCCATAAAAAATTGAAGAAGGTTTCTCAGAAACAAGTTTGTGATGTGTGTACTCAGCTAACAGAGTGGAACCCTTCTTTTTAAAGAGCAGCTTTGAAACTCTATTTTTGTGGATTCTGCAAATTGATATTTAGATTGCTTTAACGATATCGTTGGAAAAGGGAATATGGTCACACAAAATCTAGACAAAAGCTTTCTCAGAAACTTGTATGTGATGTGTGTCCTCAACTAACAGAGTTGAACCTTTCTTTTGATGCAGCAGTTTGGAAACACACTTTTGGTAGAAACTGTAAGTGGATATTTGGATAGCTCTAACGATTTCGTTGGAAACGGGAATATCATCATCTAAAATCTAGACAGAAAGCACTATTAGAAACTACTTGGTGATATCTGCATTCAAGTCACAGAGTTGAACATTCCCTTACTTTGAGCACGTTTGAAACACTCTTTTGGAAGAATCTGGAAGTGGACATTTGCAGCGCTTTGATGCCTTTGGTGAAAAGGAAACGTCTTCCAATAAAAGCCAGACAGAAGCATTCTCAGAAACTTGTTCATGATGTGTGTACTCAACCAAAAGATTTGAACCTTTCTATTGATAGAGCAGTTTTGAAACACTCTTTTTGTGGATTCTGCAAGTGGATATTTGGATTGCTTTGAGGATTTCGTTGGAAGCGGGAATTCGTATAAAAACTAGACAGCAGCATTTCCAGAAATTTCTTTCGGATATTTCCATTCAACTCATAGAGATGAACATGGCCTTTCATAGAGCAGGTTTGAAACACTCTTTTTGTAGTTTGTGGAAGTGGACATTTCGATCGCCTTGACGCCTACGGTGAAAAAGGAAATATCTTCCCATAAAAAATAGACAGAAGCATTCTCAGAAACTTGCTGGTGATATGTGTCCTCAACTAACAGAGTTGAACTTTGCCATTGATAGAGAGCAGTTTTGAAACACTCTTTTTGTGGAATCTGCAAGTGGATATTTGGATAGCTTGGAGGATTTCGTTGGAAGCGGGAATTCAAATAAAAGGTAGACAGCAGCATTCTCAGAAATTTCTTTGTGATGTTTGCATTCAACTCATAGAGTTGAACATTCCCTTTCATAGAGCAGGTTTGAAACACTCTTTCTGTACTATCTGGATGTGGACATTTGGAACGCTTTGATGCCTACGGTGAAAAAGTAAATATCTTCCCATAAAACCTAGACAGAAGGATTCTCAGAAAGAAGTTTGTGATGTGTGTACTCAGCTAACAGAGTGGAACCTCTCTTTTGATGCAGCAGTTTGGAAACACTCTTTTTGTAGAAACTGTAACTGGATATTTGGATAGCTCTAATGATTTCGTTGGAAACGGGAATATCATCATGTAAAATCTAGACAGAAGCAGTCTCAGAAACTACTTTGTGATATCTGCATTCCAGTCACAGAGTTGAAAACTCCCTTACTTAGAGCAGGTTTGAAACACTCTTTTTGTAGAATCTGGAAGTGGACATTTGGAGCACTTTGATGCCTTTGGTGAAAAAGGAAATGTCTTCCCTTAAAAAGTAGACAGAAGTATTCTCAGAAACTTGTTTGTGATGTGTGTACCCAGCCAAAGGAGTTGAACATTTCTATTGATAGAGCAGTTTTGAAACACTCTTGTTGTGGAAAATGCAGGTGGATATTTGGATAGCTTGGAGGATTTCGTTGGAAGCGGGAATTCAAATAAAAGGTAGACAGCAGCATTCTCAGAAATTTCTTTCTGATGTCTGCATTCAACTCATAGAGTTGAAGATTCCCTTTCATAGAGCAGGTTTGAAACAGTCTTTCTGGAGTATCTGGATGTGGACATTTGGAGCGCTTAGATGCCTACGGTGAAAAAGTAAATATCTTCCCATAAAAACGAGACAGAAGGATTCTGAGAAACATGTTTGTGATGTGTGTACTCAGCTAACAGAGTGTAACCTTTCTTTTTACAGAGCAGCTTTGAAACTCTATTTTTGTGGATTCTGCAAATTGATATTTAGATTGCTTTAACGATATCGTTGGAAAAGGGAATATCGTCATACAAAATCTAGACAGAAGGATTCTCACAAACTTCTTTGTGATGTGTGTCCTCAACTAACAGAGTTGAACCTTTCTTTTGATGCAGCAGTTTGGAAACACTCTTTTTGTAGAAACTGTAACTGGATATTTGGATAGCTCTAATGATTTCGTTGGAAACGGGAATATCATCATGTAAAATCTAGACAGAAGCACTATTAGCAAACTACTTGGTGATATCTGCATTCAAGTCACAGAGTTGAACATTCCCTTACTTTGAGCACGTTTGAAACACTCTTTTGGAAGAATCTGGAAGTGGACATTTGCAGCGCTTTGATGCCTTTGGTGAAAAGGAAACGTCTTCCAATAAAAGCCAGACAGAAGCATTCTCAGAAACTTGTTTGTGATGTGTGTACTCAACTAAAAGAGTTGAACCTTTCTATTGATAGAGCAGTTTTGAAACACTCTTTTTGTGGATTCTGCAAGTGGATATTTGGATTACTTTGAGGATTTCGTTGGAAGCGGGAATTCGTATAAACACTAGACAGCAGCATTCCCAGAAATTTCTCTCGGATATTTCCATTCAACTCATAGAGATGAACATGGCCTTTCATAGAGCAGGTTTGAAACACTCTTTTTGTAGTTTGTGGAAGTGGACATTTCGATCGCCTTGACGCCTACGGTGAAAAAGGAAATATCTTCCCATAAAAAATAGACAGAAGCATTCTCAAAAACTTGTTGGTGATATGTGTCCTCAACTAACAGAGTTGAACTTTGCCATTGATAGAGAGCAGTTTTGAAACACTCTTTTTGTGGAATCTGCAAGTGGATATTTGGATAGCTTGGAGGATTTCGTTGGAAGCGGGAATTCAAATAAAAGGTAGACAGCAGCATTCTCAGAAATTTCTTTCTGATGTTTGCATTCAACTCATAGAGTTGAACATTCCCTTTAATAGAGCAGGTTTGAAACATTCTTTCTTTACTATCTGGATGTGGACATTTGGAGCGCTTTGACGCCTACGGTGAAAAAGGAAATGTCTTCCCATAAAAAATTGAAGAAGGATTCTCAGAAACAAGTTTGTGATGTGTGTACTCAGCTAACAGAGTGGAACCTTTCTTTTGACAGAGCAGCTTTGAAACTCTATTTTTGTGGATTCTGCAAATGGATATTTAGATTGCTTTAACGATATCGTTGGAAAAGGGAATATCGTCATACAAAATCTGGACAGAAGCATTCTCACAAACTTCTTTATGATGTGTGTCCTCAACTAACAGAGTTGAACCTTTCTTTTGATGCAGCAATTTGGAAACACCCTTTTGGTAGAAACTGTAACTGGATATTTGGATAGCTCTAACGATTTCGTTGGAAACGGGAATATCATCATCTAAAATCTAGACAGAAGCACTATTAGAAACTACTTGGTGATATCTGTATTCAAGTCACAGAGTTGAACATTCCCTTACTTTGAGCACGTTTGAAACACTCTTTTGGAAGAATCTGGAAGTGGACATTTGGAGCACTTTGATGCCTTTGGTGAAAAGGAAACGTCTTCCAATAAAAGCCAGAGAGAAGCATTCTCAGAAACTTGTTTGTGATGTGTGTACTCAACTAAAAGAGTTGAACCTTACTATTGATAGAGCAGTTTTGAAACACTCTTTTTGTGGATTCTGCAAGTGGATATTTGGATTGCTTTGAGGATTTCGTTGGAAGCGGGAATTCGTATAAAACCTAGACAGCAGCATTCCCAGAAATTTCTTTCGGATATTTCCATTCAACTCATAGAGATGAACATGGCCTTTCATAGAGCAGGTTTGAAACACTCTTTTTGTAGTTTGTGGAAGTGGACATTTCGATCGCCTCGACGCATACGGTGAAAAAGGAAATATCTTCCCATAAAAAATAGACAGAAGCATTCTCAGAAACTTGTTGGTGATATGGGTCCTCAACTAACAGAGTTGAACTTTGCCATTGATAGAGAGCAGTTTTGAAACACTCTTTTTGTGGAATCTGCAAGTGGATATTTGGATAGCTTGGAGGATTTCGTTGGAAGCGGGAATTCAAATAAAAGGTAGACAGCAGCATTCTCAGAAATTTCTTTCTGATGTCTGCATTCAACTCATAGAGTTGAAGATTCCCTTTCATAGAGCAGGTTTGAAACAGTCTTTCTGGAGTATCTGGATGTGGACATTTGAAGCGCTTTGATGCCTACGGTGAAAAAGTAAATATCTTCCCATAAAAACGAGACAGAAGGATTCTCAGAAACAAGTTTGTGATGTGTGTACTCAGCTAAAAGAGTAGAACCTTTCTTTTTACAGAGCAGCTTTGAAACTCTATTTTTGTGGATTCTGCAAATTGATATTTAGATTGCTTTAACGATATCGTTGGAAATGAGAATATCGTCATAGAAAATCTACACAGAAGCATTCTCACAAACTTCTTTGTGATGTGTGTCCTCAACTAACAGAGTTGAACCTTTCTTTTGATGCAGCAGTTTGGAAACACTGTTTTTGTAGCAACTGTAAGTGGATATTTGGATAGCTCTAACGATTTCGTTGGAAACGGGAATATCATCATCTAAAATCTAGACAGAAGCACTATTAGAAACTACTTGGTGATATCTGCATTCAAGTCACAGAGTTGAACATTCCCTTACTTTGAGCACGTTTGAAACAGTCTTTTGGAAGAATCTGGAAGTGGACATATGGAGCGCTTTGATGCCTTTGGTGAAAAGGAAACGTCTTCCAATAAAAGCCAGACAGAAGCATTCTCAGAAACTTGTTCGTGATGTGTGTACTCAACTAAAAGAGTTGAACATTTCTATTGATAGAGCAGTTTTGAAACACTCTTTTTGTGGATTCTGCAAGTGGATATTTGGATTGCTTTGAGGATTTCGTTGGAATCGGGAATTCGTATAAACACTAGACAGCAGCATTCCCAGAAATTTCTTTCGGATATTTCCATTCAACTCATTGAGATGAACATCGCCTTTCATAGAGCTGGTTTGAAACACTCTTTTTGTAGTTTGTGGAAGTGGACATTTCGATCGCCTTGACGCCTACAGTGAAAAAGGAAATATCTTCCCATAAAAAATAGACAGAAGAATTCTCAGAAACTTGTTTGTGATGTGTATCCTCAACTGACAGAGTTGAACCTTGCCATTGATAGAGCAGTTTAGAAACACTCTTTTTGTGGAATCTGCAAGTGGATATTTGGATAGACTGGAGGATTTCGTTGGAAGCGGGAATTCAAATGAAAGGTAGACAGCAGCATTCTCAGAAATTTCTTTCTGATGTCTGCATTCAACTCGTAGAGTTGAAGATTCCCTTTCATAGAGCAGGTTTGAAACACTCTTTCTGGAGTATCTGGATGTGGACATTTGGAGCGCTTTGATGCCTACGGTGAAAAAGTATATATCTTCCCATAAAAACGAGACAGAAGGATTCTCAGAAACAAGTTTGTGATGTGTGTACACAGCTAACAGAGTGGAACCTCTCTTCTGATGCAGCAGTTTGGAAACACTCTTTTTGTAGAAACTGTAAGTGGATATTTGGATAGCTCTAATGATTTCGTTGGAAATGGGAATATCATCATCTAAAATCTAGACAGAAGCCCTCTCAGAAACTACTTTGTGATATCTGCATTCAAGTCACAGAGTTGAACATTCGCTTTCTTAGGGCACGTTGGAAACACTCTTTTTGTAGTGTCTGGAAGTGGACATTTGGAGCGCTTTGATGCCTTTGGTGAAAAAGGGAACGTCTTCCCATAAAAACTAGACAGAAGCATTCTCAGAAACTTGTTTGTGATGTGTGTACCCAGCCAAAGGAGTTGAACATTTCTATTGATAGAGCAGTTTTGAAACACTCTTTTTATGGAAAATGCAAGTGGATATTTGGATAGCTTGGAGGATTTCGTTGGAAGCGGGAATTCAAATAAAAGGTAGACAGCAGGATTCTCAGAAACAAGTTTGTGATGTGTGTACTCAGCTAACAGAGTGGAACCTTTCTTTTTACAGAGCAGCTTTGAATCTCTATTTTTGTGGATTCTGCAAATTGATATTTAGATTGCTTTAACGATATCGTTGGAAAAGGGAATATGGTCATACAAAATCTAGACAGAAGCATTCTCACAAACTTCTTTGTGATGTGTGTCCTCAACTAACAGAGTTGAACCTTTCTTTTGATGCAGCAATTTGGAAACACCCTTTTGGTAGAAACTGTAACTGGATATTTGGATAGCTCTAACGATTTCGTTGGAATCGGGAATATCATCATCTAAAATCTAGACAGAAGCACTATTAGAAACTACTTGGTGATATCTGCATTCAAGTCACAGAGTAGAGCATTCCCTTACTTCGAGCACGTTTGAAACACTCTTTTGGAAGAATCTGGAAGTGGACATTTGGAGCGCTTTGATGCCTTTGGTGAAAAGGAAACGTCTTCCAATAAAAGCCAGACAGAAGCATTCTCAGAAACTTGTTTGTGATGTGTGTACTCAACTAAAAGAGTTGAACCTTTCTATTGATAGAGCAGTTTTGAAACACTCTTTTTGTGGATTCTGCAAGTGGATATTTGGATTGCTTTGAGGATTTCGTTGGAAGCGGGAATTCATATAAAAACTAGACAGCAGCATTCCCAGAAATTTCTTTCGGATATTTCCATTCAACTCATAGAGATGAACATCGCCTTTCATAGAGCAGGTTTGAAACACTCTTTTTGTAGTTTGTGGAAGTGGACATTTCGATCGCTTTGATGCCTACGGTGAAAAAGGAAATATCTTCCCATAAAAAATAGACAGAAGCATTCTCAGAAACTTGTTGGTGATATGTGTCCTCAACTAACAGAGTTGAACTTTGCCATTGATAGAGAGCAGTTTGGAAACACTCTTTTTGTGGAATCTGCAAGTGGATATTTGGATAGCTTGGAGGATTTCGTTGGAAGCGGGAATTCAAATAAAAGGTAGACAGCAGCATTCTCAGAAATTTCTTTCTGATGTCTGCATTCAACTCATAGAGTTGAAGATTCCCTTTCATAGAGCAGGTTTGAAACACTCTTTCTGGAGTATCTGGATGTGGACATTTGGAGCGCTTTGATGCCTACGGTGGAAAAGTAAATATCTTCCCATAAAAACGAGACAGAAGGATTCTGAGAAACAAGTTTGTGATGTGTGTACTCAGCTAACAGAGTGGAACCTCTCTTTTGATGCAGCAGTTTGGAAACACTCTTTTTGTAGAAACTGTAAGTGTATATTTGGATAGCTCTAATGATTTCGTTGGAAACGGGAATATCATCATCTAAAATCTAGACAGAAGCACTCTCAGAAACTTCTTTGTGATATCTGCATTCAAGTCACAGAGTTGAACATTCGCTTTCTTAGAGCACGTTTGAAACACTCTTTTTGTAGTGTCTGGAAGTGGACATTTGGAGCGCTTTGATGCCTTTGGTGAAAAAGGGAATGTCTTTCCATAAAAACTAGACAGAAGCATTCTCAGAAACTTGTTTGTGATGTGTGTACCCAGCGAAAGGAGTTGAACATTTCTATTGATAGAGCAGTTTTGAAACACTCTTTTTGTGGAATCTGCAAGTGGATATTTGGATAGCTTGGAGGTTTTCGTTGGAAGAGGGAATTCAAATAAAAGGTAGACAGCAGCATTCTCAGAAATTTCTTTCTGATGTTTGCATTCAACTCATAGTGTTGAACATTCCCTTTAATAGAGCAGGTTTGAAACACTCTTTCTGTACTATCTGGATGTGGACATTTGGAGCGCTTTGACGCCTACGGTGAAAAAGGAAATGTCTTCCCATAAAAAATTGAAGAAGGATTCTCAGAAACAAGTTTGTGATGTGTGTACTCAGCTAACAGAGTGGATCCTTTCTTTTTACAGAGCAGCTTTGAAACTCTATTTCTGTGGATTCTGCAAATTGATATTTGGGTTGATTTAACAATATCGTTGGAAAAGGGAATATCTTCATACAAAATCTAGACAGAAGCATTCTCACAAACTTCTTTGTGATGTGTGTCCTCAACTAACAGAGTTGAACCTTTCTTTTGATGCAGCAATTTGGAAACACCCTTTTGGTAGAAACTGTAACTGGATATTTGGATAACTCTAACGATTTCGTTGGAAACGGGAATATCATCATCTAAAATGTAGACAGAAGCACTATTAGCAAACTACTTGGTGATATCTGCATTCAAGTCACAGAGTTGAACATTCCCTTACTTTGAGCACGTTTGAAACACTCTTTTGGAAGAATCTGGAAGTGGACATTTGGAGCGCTTTGATGCCTTTGGTGAAAAGGAAACGTCTTCCAATAAAAGCCAGACAGAAGCATTCTCAGAAACTTGTTTGTGATGTGTGTACTCAACTAAAAGGAGTTGAACCTTTCTATTGATAGAGCAGTTTTGAAACACTCTTTTTGTGGATTCTGCAAGTGGATATTTGGATTGCTTTGAGGATTTCGTTGGAAGCGGGAATTCGTATAACAACTAGACAGCAGCATTCCCAGAAATTTCTTTCGGATATTTCCATTCAACTCATAGAGAAGAACATGGCCTTTCATAGAGCAGGTTTGAAACACTCTTTTTGTAGTTTGTGGAAGTGGACATTTCGATCGCCTTGACGCCTACGGTGAAAAAGGAAATATCTTCCCATAAAAAAAAGACAGAAGCATTCTCAGAAACTTGTTGGTGATATGTGTCCTCAACTAACAGAGTTGAACTTTGCCATTGATAGAGAGCAGTTTTGAAACACTCTTTTTCCTGAATCTGCAAGTGGATATATGGATAGCTTGGAGGATTTCGTTGGAAGCGGGAATTCAAATAAAAGGTAGACAGCAGGATTCTGAGAAACAAGTTTGTGATGTGTGTACTCAGCTAACAGAGTGGAACCTCTCTTTTGATGCAGCAGTTTGGAAACACTCTTTTTGTAGAAACTGTAAGTGGATATTTGGATAGCTCTAATGATTTCGTTGGAATCGGGAATATCATCACCTAAAATCTAGACAGAAGCACTCTCAGAAACTACTTTGTGATATCTGCATTCAAGTCACAGAGTTGAACATTCGCTTTCTTAGAGCACGTTTGAAACACTCTTTTTGTAGTGTCTGGAAGTGGACATTTGGAGCGCTTTGATGCCTTTGGTGAAAAAGGGAATGTCTTCCCATAAAAACTAGGCAGAAGCATTCTCAGAAACTTGTTTGTAATGTGTGTACCCAGCTAAAGGAGTTGAACGTTTCTATTGATAGAGCAGTTTTGAAACACTCTTTTTGTGGAAAATGCAGGTGGATGTTTGGATAGATAGGAGGATTTCGTTGGAAGCGGGAATTCAAATAAAAGGTAGACAGCAGCATTCTCAGAAATTTCTTTCTGATGTTTGCATTCAACTCATAGAGTTGAACATTCCCTTTAATAGAGCAGGTTTGAAACACTCTTTCTGTACTGTCCGGATGTGGACATTTGGAGCGCTTTGACGCCTACGGTGAAAAAGGAAATGTCTTCCCATAAAAAACTGAAGTATTCTCAGAAACAAGTTTGTGATGTGTGTACTCAGCTAACAGAGTGGAACCTCTCTTTTGACGCAGCAGTTTGGAAACACTCTTTTTGTAGAAACTGTAAGTGGATATTTGGATAGCTCTAATGATTTCGTTGGAAACGGGAATATCATCATCTAAAATCTAGACAGAAGCATTCCCAGAAATTTCTTTCGGATATTTCCATTCGACTCATAGAGATGAACATGGCCTTTCATAGAGCAGGTTTGAAACACTCTTTTTGTAGTTTGTGGAAGTGGACATTTCGATCGCCTTGACGCCTACGGTGAAAAAGGGAATGTCTTCCCATAAAAACTAGACAGAAGCATTCTCAGAAACTTGTTTGTGATGTGTGTACCCAGCCAAAGGAGTTGAACATTTCTATTGATAGAGCAGTTTTGAAACGCTCCTTTTGTGGAAAATGCAGGTGGATATTTGGATAGCTTGGAGGATTTCGTTGGAAGCGGGAATTCAAATAAAAGGTAGACAGCAGCATTCTCAGAAATTTCTTTCTGATGTCTGCATTCAACTCATAGAGTTGAAGATTCCCTTTCATAGAGCAGGTTTGAAACACTCGTTCTGGAGTATCTGGATGTGGACATTTGGAGCGCTTTGATGCCTACGGTGGAAAAGTAAACATCTTCCCATAAAAACGAGACAGAAGGATTCTCAGAAACAAGTTTTTGATGTGTGTACTCAGCTAACAGAGTGGAACCTTTCTTTTTACAGAGCAGCTTTGAAACTCTATTTTTGTGGATTCTGCAAATTGATATTTAGATTGCTTTAACGATATCGTTGGAAAAGGGAATATCGTCATACAAAATCTAGACAGAAGCATTCTCACAAACTTCTTTGTGATGTGTGTCCTCAACTAACAGAGTTGAACCTTTCTTTTGATGCAGCAGTTTGGAAACACCCTTTTTGTAGAAACTGTAAGTGGATATTTGGATAGCTCTAACGATTTCGTTGGAAACGGGAATATCATCATCTAAAATCTAGACAGAAGCACTATTAGAAACTACTTGGTGATATCTGCATTCAAGTCACAGAGTTGAACATTCCCTTACTTTGAGCACGTTTGAAACACTCTTTTGGAAGAATCTGGAAGTGGACATTTGGAGCGCTTTGATGCCTTTGGTGAAAAGGAAACGTCTTCCAATAAAAGCCAGACAGAAGCATTCTGAGAAACTTGTTCGTGATGTGTGTACTCAACTAAAAGAGTTGAACCTTTCTATTGATAGAGCAGTTTTGAAACACTCTTTTTGTGGATTCTGCAAGTGGATATTTGGATTGCTTTGAGGATTTCGTTGGAAGCGGGAATTCGTATAAAAACTAGACAGCAGCATTCCCAGAAATTTCTTTCGGATAATTCCATTCAACTCATAGAGATGAACATCGCCTTTCATAGAGCAGGTTTGAAACACTCTTTTTGTAGTTTGTGGAAGTGGATATTTCGATCGCCTTGACGCCTATGGTGAAAAAGGAAATATCTTCCCATAAAAAATAGACAGAAGCATTCTCAGAAACTTGTTGGTGATATGTGTCCTCAACTAACAGAGTTGAACTTTGTCATTGATAGAGAGCAGTTTTGAAACACTCTTTTTCCTGAATCTGCAAGTGGATATTTGGATAGCTTGGAGGATTTCGTTGGAAGCGGGAATTCAAATAAAAGGTAGACAGCAGCATTCTCAGAAATTTCTTTCTGAGATCTGCATTCAACTCATAGAGTTGAACATTCCCTTTCATAGAGCAGGTTTGAAATACTCTTTCTGTAGTATCTGGATGTGGACATTTGGAGTGCTTTGATGCCTACGGTGAAAAAGTAAATATCTTCCCATAAAAACGAGACAGAAGGATTCTCAGAAACAAGTTTGTGATGTGTGTACTCACCTAACAGAGTGGAACCTCTCTTTTGATGCAGCAGTTTGGAAACACTCTTTTTGTAGAAACTGTAAGTGGATATTTGGATAGCTCTAATGATTTCGTTGGAAACGGGAATATCATCATCTAAAATCTAGACAGAAGCACTCTCAAAAACTACTGTGTGATATCTGCATTCAAGTCACAGAGTTGAACATTCGCTTTCTTAGAGCACGTTTGAAACACTCTTTTTGTAGTGTCTGGAAGTGGACATTTGGAGCGCTTTGATTCCTTTGGTGAAAAAGGGAATGTCTACCCATAAAAACTAGACAGAAGCATTCTCAGAAACTTGTTTGTGATGTGTGTACCCAGCCAAAGGAGTTGAACATTTCTATTGATAGAGCAGTTTTGAAACACTCTTGTTGTGGAAAATGCAAGTGGATATTTGGATACCTTGGAGGATTTCGTTGGAAGCGGGAATTCAAATAAAAGGTAGACAGCAGCATTCTCAGAAATTTCTTTCTGATGTCTGCATTCAACTCATAGACTTGAAGGTTCCCTTTCATAGAGCAGGTTTGAAACACTCTTTCTGGAGTATCTGGATGTGGACATTTGGAGCGCTTTGATGCCTACGGTGAAAAAGTAAATATCTTCCCATAAAAACGAGACAGAAGGATTCTCAGAAACAAGTTTGTGATGTGTGTACTCAGCTAACAGAGTGAAACCTTTCTTTTTACAGAGCAGCTTTGAAACTCTATTTTTGTGGATTCTGCAAATTGATATTTAGATTGCTTTAACGATATCGTTGGAAAAGGGAATATCGTCATACAAAATCTAGACAGAAGCATTCTCACAAACTTCTTTGTGACGTGTGTCCTCAACTAACAGAGTTGAACCTTTCTTTTGATGCAGCAGTTTGGAAACACTGTTTTTGTAGCAACTGTAAGTGGATATTTGGATAGCTTCTAACGATTTCGTTGGAAACGGGAATATCATCATCTAAAATCTAGACAGAAGCACTATTAGAAACTACTTGGTGATATCTGCATTCAAGTCACAGAGTTGAACATTCTCTTACTTTGAGCACGTTTCAAACACTCTTTTGGAAGAATCTGGAAGTGGACATTTGGAGCGCTTTGATGCCTTTGGTGAAAAGGAAACGTCTTCCAATAAAAGCCAGACAGAAGCATTCTCAGAAACTTGTTCGTGATGTGTGTACTCAACTAAAAGAGTTGAACCTTTCTATTGATAGAGCAGTTTTGAAACACTCTTTTTGTGGATTCTGCAAGTGGATATTTGGATTGCTTTGAGGATTACGTTGGAAGCGGGAATTCGTATAAACACTAGACAGCAGCATTCCCAGAAATTTCTTTCGGATATTTCCATTCAACTCATAGAGATGAACATGGCCTTTCATAGAGCAGGTTTGAAACACTCTTTTTGTAGTTTGTGGAAGTGGACATTTCGATCGCCTTGACGCCTACGGTGAAAAAGGAAATATCTTCCCATAAAAAATAGACAGAAGCATTCTCAGAAACTTGTTGGTGATATGTGTCCTTAACTAACAGAGTTGAACTTTGCCATTGATAGAGAGCAGTTTTGAAACACTCTTTTTGTGGAATCTGCAAGTGGATATTTGCATAGCTTGGAGGATTTCGTTGGAAGCGGGAATTCAAATAAAAGGTAGACAGCAGCATTCTCAGAAATTTCTTTCTGATGTCTGCATTCAACTCATAGAGTTGAAGTTTCCCTTTCATAGAGCAGGTTTGAAACACTCTTTCTGGAGTATCTGGATGTGGACATTTGGAGCGCTTTGATGCCTACGGTGAAAAAGTAAATATCTTCCCATAAAAACGAGACAGAAGGATTCTGAGAAACAAGTTTGTGATGTGTGTACTCAGCTAACAGAGTGGAACCTCTCTTTGGATGCAGCAGTTTGGAAACACTCTTTTTGTAGAAACTGTAAGTGGATATTTGGATAGCTCTAATGATTTCGTTGGAAACGGGAATATCATCATCTAAAATCTAGATAGAAGCCCTCTCAGAAACTACTTTGTGATATCTGCATTCAAGTCACAGAGTTGAACATTCGCTTTCTTAGAGCACGTTGGAAACACTCTTTTTGTAGTGTCTGGAAGTGGACATTTGGAGCGCTTTGATGCCTTTGGTGAAAAAGGGAACGTCTTCCCATAAAAACTAGACAGAAGCATGCTCAGAACTTGTTTGTGATGTGTGTACCCAGCCAAAGGAGTTGAACATTTCTATTGATAGAGCAGTTTTGAAACACTCTTTTTGTGGAAAATGCAGGTGGATATTTGGATAGCTTGGAGGATTTCGTTGGAAGCGGGAATTCAAATAAAAGGTAGACAGCAGCATTCTCAGAAATTTCTTTCTGATGTCTGCATTCAACTCATAGAGTTGAAGATTCCCTTTCATAGAGCAGGTTTGAAACACTCGTTCTGGAGTATCCGGATGTGGACATTTGGAGCGCTTTGATGCCTACGGTGGAAAAGTAAATATCTTCCCATAAAAACGAGACAGAAAGGATTCTCAGAAACAAGTTTGTGATGTGTGTACTCAGCTAACAGAGTGGAACCTTTCTTTTTACAGAGCAGCTTTGAAACTCTATTTTTGTGGATTCTGCAAATTGATATTTAGATTGCTTTAACGATATCGTTGGAAAAGGGAATATCGTCATACAAAATCTAGACAGAAGCATTCTCACAAACTTCTTTGTGATGTGTGTCCTCAACTAACAGAGTTGAACCTTTCTTTTGATGCAGCAATTTGGAAACACCCTTTTGGTAGAAACTGTAACTGGATATTTGGATAGCTCTAACGATTTCCTTGGAAAAGGGAATATCATCATCTAAAATGTAGACAGAAGCACTATTAGAAACTACTTGGTGATATCTGCATTCAAGTCACAGAGTTGAACATTCCCTTACTTTGAGCACGTTTGAAACACTCTTTTGGAAGAATCTCGAAGTGGACATTTGGAGCGCTTTGATGCCTTTGGTGAAAAGGAAACGTCTTCCAATAAAAGCCAGACAGAAGCATTCTCAGAAACTTGTTCCTGATGTGTGTACTCAACTAAAAGAGTTGAACCTTTCTATTGATAGAGCAGTTTTGAAACACTCTTTTTGTGGATTCTGCAAGTGGATATTTGGATTGCTTTGAGGATTTCGTTGGAAGCGGGAATTCGTATAAACACTAGACAGCAGCATTCCCAGAAATTTCTT
Organism: Homo sapiens; assembly: GCF_000001405.40. Lineage (NCBI taxonomy): Eukaryota > Metazoa > Chordata > Mammalia > Primates > Hominidae > Homo > Homo sapiens. Next base: position 12,306,179 of record NC_000021.9, read on the forward strand.
TCGGATATTTCCATTCAACTCATAGAGATGAACATGGCCTTTCATAGAGCAGGTTTGAAACACTCTTTTTGTAGTTTGTGGAAGTGGACATTTCGATCGCCTTGACGCCTACGCTGAAAAAGGAAATATCTTCCCATAAAAAATAGACAGAAGCATTCTCAGAAATTTATTTCTGATGTTTGCATTCAACTCATAGAGTTGAACATTCCCTTTAATAGAGCAGGTTTGAAACACTCTTTCTGTACTATCTGGATGTGGACATTTGGAGCGCTTTGACGCCTACGGTGAAAAAGGAAATGTCTTCCCATAAAAAATTGAAGAAACATTCTCAGAAATTTCTTTCTGATGTGTGCATTCAACTCATAGAGTTGAAGATTCCCTTTCATAGAGCAGGTTTGAAACACTCTTTCTGGAGTATCTGGATGTGGACATTTGGACCGCTTTGATGCCTACGGTGAAAAACTAAATATGTTCCCATAAAAACGAGACAGAAGGATTCTCAGAAACAAGTTTGTGATGTGTGTACTCAGCTAACAGAGTGGAACCTTTCTTTTTACAGAGCAGCTTGGAAACTCTATTTTTGTGGATTATGCAAATTGATATTTAGATTGCTTTAACGATATCGTTGGAAAAGGGAATATCGTCATACAAAATCTAGACAGAAAGCATTCTCACAAACTTCTTTGTGATGTGTGTCCTCAACTAACAGAGTTGAACCTTTCTTTTGATGCAGCAATTTGGAAACACCCTTTTGGTAGAAACTGTAACTGGATATTTGGATAGCTCTAGCGATTTCGTTGGAAACGGGAATATCATCATCTAAAATGTAGACAGAAGCACTATTAGAAACTACTTGGTGATATCTGCATTCAAGTCACAGAGTTGAGCATTCCCTTACTTTGAGCACGTTTGAAACACTCTTTTGGAAGAATCTGGAAGTGGACATTTGCAGCGCTTTGATGCCTTTGGTGAAAAGGAAACGTCTTCCAATAAAAGCCAGACAGAAGCATTCGCAGAAACTTGTTCGTGATGTGTGTACTCAACTAAAAGAGTTGAACCTTTCTATTGATAGAGCAGTTTTGAAACACTCTTTTTGTGGATTCTGCAAGTGGATATTTGGATTGCTTTGAGGATTTCGTTGGAAGCGGGAATTCGTATAAACACTAGACAGCAGCATTCCCAGAAATTTCTTTTGGATATTTCCATTCAACACATAGAGATGAACATGGCCTTTCATATTGAAACACTCTTTTTGTAGTTTGTGGAAGTGGACATTTCGATCGCCTTGATGCCTACGGTGAAAAAGGAAATATCTTCCCATAAAAAATAGACAGAAGCATTCTCAGAAACTTGTTTGTGATGTGTGTACCCAGCTAAAGGAGTTGAACATTTGTATTGATAGAGCAGTTTTGAAACACTCTTTTTGTGGAAAATGCAAGTGGATATTTGGATAGCTTGGAGGATTTCGTTGGAAGCAGGAATTCAAATAAAAGGTAGACAGCAGCATTCTCAGAAATTTCTGTCTGATGTCTGCATTCAACTCATAGAGTTGAAGATTCCCTTTCATAGAGGAGGTTTGAAACACTCTTTCTGGAGTATCTGGATGTGGACATTTGGAGCGCTTTGATGCCTACGGTGAAAAAGTAAATATCTTCCCATAAAAACGAGACAGAAGGATTCTCAGAAACAAGTTTGTGATGTGTGTACTCAGCTAACAGAGTGGAACCTTTCTTTTTACAGAGCAGCTTTGAAACTCTATTTTTCTGGATTCTGGAAATTGATATTTAGATTGCTTTAACGATATCGTTGGAAAAGGGAATATCGTCATACAAAATCTGGACAGAAGCATTCTCACAAACTTCTTTGTGATGTGTGTCCTCAACTAACAGAGTTGAACCTTTCTTTTGATGCAGCAGTTTGGAAACACTCTTTTTGTAGAAACTGTAAGTGCATTATTGAATAGCTCTAACGATTTCGTTGGAAACGGGAATATCATCATCTAAAATCTAGACAGAAAGCACTATTAGTAAACTACTTGGTGATATCTGCATTCAAGTCACAGAGTAGAACATTCCCTTACTTCGAGCACGTTTGAAACACTCTTTTGGAAGAATCTGGAAGTGGACATTTGGAGCGCTTTGATGCCTTTGGTGAAAAGGAAACGTCTTCCAATAAAAGCCAGACAGAGGCATTCTCAGAAACTTGTTTGTGATGTGTGTACTCAACTAAAAGAGTTGAACCTTTCTATTGATAGAGCAGTTTTGAAACACTCTTTTTGTGGATTCTGCAAGAGGATATTTGGATTGCTTTGAGGATTTCGTTGGAAGCGGGAATTCGTATAAAAACTAGACAGCAGCATTCCCAGTAAATTTCTTTCGGATATTTCCATTCAACTCATAGAGATGAACATCGCCTTTCATAGAGCACGTTTGAAACACTCTTTTTGTAGTTTGTGGAAGTGGACATTTCGATCGCCTTGACGCCTACGGTGAAAAAGGAAATATCTTCCCATAAAAAATAGACAGAAGCATTCTCAGAAACTTGTTGGTGATATGTGTCCTCAACTAACAGAGTTGAACTTTGCCATTGATAGAGAGCAGTTTTGAAACACTCTTTTTGTGGAATCAGCAAGTGGATATTTGGATAGCTTGAAGGATTTCGTTGGAAGCGGGAATTCAAATAAAAGGTAGACAGCAGCATTCTCAGCAAATTTCTTTCTGATGTCTGCATTCAACTCATAGAGTTGAAGATTCCCTTTCATAGAGCAGGTTTGAAACACTCTTTCTGGAGTATCTGGATGTGGACATTTGGAGCGCTTTGATGCCTACGGTGAAAAAGTAAATATCTTCCCATAAAAACGACACAGAAGGATTCTCAGAAACAAGTTTGTGATGTGTGTACTCAGCTAACAGAGTGGAACCTCTCTTTCGATGCAGCAGTTTGGAAACACTCTTTTTGTAGAAACTGTAAGTGGATATTTGGATAGCTCTAATGATTTCGTTGGAAACGGGAATATCATCATCTAAAATCTAGACAGAAGCCCTCTCAGAAACTACTTTGTGATATCTGCATTCAAGTCACAGAGTTGAACATTCGCTTTCTTAGAGCACGTTTGAAACACTCTTTTTGTAGTGTCTGGAAGTGGACATTTGGAGCGCTTCGATGCCTTTGGTGAAAAAGGGAATGTCTTCCCATAAAAACTAGACAGAAGCATTCTCAGAAACTTCTTTGTGATGTGTGTACCCAGCTAAAGGAGTTGAACGTTTCTATTGATAGAGCAGTTTTGAAACACTCTTTTTGTGGAAAATGCAAGTGGATATTTGAATAGCTTGGAGGATTTCGTTGGAAGCGGGAATTCAAATAAAAGGTAGACAGCAGCATTCTCAGAAATTACTTTCTGATGTCTGCATTCAACTCATAGAGTTGAAGATTCCCTTTCATAGAGCAGGTTTGAAACACTCTTTCTGTAGTATCTGGATGTGGACATTTGGAGCGCTTTGATACCTACGGTGAGAAAGTAAATATCTTCCCATAAAAACTAGACAGAAGGATTCTGAGAGACAAGTTTGTGATGTGTGTACTCAGCTAACAGAGTGGAACCTTTCTTTTTACAGAGCAGCTTTGAAACTCTATTTTTGTGGATTCTGCAAATGGATATTTAGATTGCTTTAATGATATCGTTGGAAAAGGGAATATCGTCATACAAAATCTGGACAGAAGCATTCTCACAAACTTCTTTGTGATGTGTGTCCTCAACTAACAGGGTTGAACCTTTCTTTTGATGCAGCAGTTTGGAAACACTCTTTTTGTAGAAACTGTAAGTGGATATTTGGATAGCTCTAACGATTTCGTTGGAAACGGGAATATCATCATCTAAAATCTAGACAGAAGCACTATTAGAAACTACTTGGTGATATCTGCATTCAAGTCAAAGAGTTGAACATTCCCTTACTTTGAGCACGTTTGAAACACTCTTTTGGAAGAATCTGGAAGTGGACATTTGGAGCGCTTTGATGCCTTTGGTGAAAAGGAAACGTCTTCCAATAAAAGCCAGACAGAAGCATTCTCAGAAACTTGTTTGTGATGTGTGTACTCAACTAAAAGAGTTGAACCTTTGTATTGATAGAGCAGTTTTGAAACTCTCTTATGTGGATTCTGCAAGTGGATATTTGGATTGCTTTGAGGATTTCGTTGGAAGCGGGAATTCGTATAAAAACTAGACAGCAGCATTCCCAGAAATTACTTTCGGATATTTCCTTTCAACTCATAGAGATGAACATGGCCTTTCATAGAGCAGGTTTGAAACACTCTTTTTGTAGTTTGTGGAAGTGGACATTTCGATCGCCTTTACGCCTACGCTGAAAAAGGAATTATCTTCCCATAAAAAATAGACAGAATTCTCAGAAACTTGTTTGTGATGTGTATCCTCAACTGACAGAGTTGTACCTTTCTATTGATAGAGTAGTTTTGAAACACTCTTTTTGTGGAATCTGCAAGTGAATATTTGGATAGCTTGGAGGATTTCGTTGGAAGCGGGAATTCAAATGAAAGGTAGACAGCAGCATTCTCAGAAATTTCTTTCTGATGTCTGCATTCAACTCATAGAGTTGAACATTCCCTTTCATAGAGCAGATTTGAAACACTCTTTCTGGAGTATCTGGATGTGGACATTTGGAGCGCTTTGATGCCTACGGTGAAAAAGTAAATATCTTCCCATAAAAACGAGACAGAAGGATTCTGAGAAACAAGTTTGTGATGTGTGTACTCAGCTAACAGAGTGGAACCTCTGTTTTGATGCAGCAGTTTGGAAACACTCTTTTTGTAGAAACTGTAAGTGGATATTTGGATAGCTCTAACGATTTTTTTGGAAACGGGAATATCATCATCTAAAATCTAGACAGAAGCCCTTTCAGAAACTACTTTGTGATATCTGCCTTCAAGTCACAGAGTTGAACATTCGCTTTCTTAGAGCACGTTTGAAACACTCTTTTTGTAGTGTCTGGAAGTGGACATTTGGAGCGCTTTGATGCCTTTGGTGAAAAAGGGAATGTCTTCCCATAAAAACTAGACAGAAGCATTCTCAGAAACTTGTTTTTGATGTGTGTACCCAGCGAAAAGAGTTGAACATTTCTATTGATAGAGCAGTTTTGAAACACTCTTTTTGTGGAATCTGCAAGTGGATATTTGGATAGCTTGGAGGTTTTCGTTGGAAGCGGGAATTCAAATAAAAGGTAGACAGCAGCATTCTCAGAAATTTCTTTCTGATGTCTGCATTCAACTCATAGAGTTGAAGATTCCCTTTCATAGAGCAGGTTTGAAACACTCTTTCTGGAGTATCTGGATGTGGACATTTGGAGCGCTTTGATGCCTACGGTGAAAATGTAAATATCTTCCCATAAAAACGAGACAGAAGGATTCTCAGAAACAAGTTTGTGATGTGTGAACTCAGCTAACAGAGTGGATCCTTTCTTTTTACAGAGCAGCTTTGAAACTCTATTTCTGTGGATTCTGCAAATTGATATTTGGGTTGATTTAACGACATCGTTGGAAAAGGGAATATCTTCATACAAAATCTAGACAGAAGCTTTCTCAGAAACTTCTTTGTGATGTGTGTCCACAACTAACAGAGTTGAAACTTTCTTTTGATGCAGCAGTTTGGAAACACTCTTTTTGTAGAAACTGTAAGTGGATATTTGGATAGGTCTAACGATATCGTTGGAAACGGGAATATCTTCATCTAAAGTATACACAGAAGCACTATTAGAAACTACTTGGTGATATCTGCATTCAAGTCACAGAGTTGAACATTCCCTTACTTTGAGCACGTTTCAAACACTCTTTTGGAAGAATCTTTAAGTGGACATTTGGAGCGCTTTGATGCCTTTGGTGAAAAGGAAACGCCTTCCAATAAAAGCCAGACAGAAGCATTCTCAGAAACCTGTTCGTGATGTGTGTACTCAACTAAAAGAGTTGAACCTTTCTATTGATAGAGCAGTTTTGAAACACTCTTTTTGTGGATTCTGCAAGTGGATATTTGGATTGATTTGAGGATTTCGTTGGAAGCGGGAATTCATATAAAAACTAGACAGCAGCATTCCCAGAAATTTCTTTCTCATATTTCCATTCAACTCATAGAGATGAACATGGCCTTTCATAGAGCAGGTTTGAAACACTCTTTTTGTAGTTTGTGGAAGTGGACATTTCGATCGCCTTGACGCCTACGGTGAAAAGAAATATCTTCCCATAAAAAATAGACAGAATTCTCAGAAACTTGTTTGTGATGTGTGTCCTCAACTGACAGAGTTGTACCTTTCTATTGATAGAGTAGTTTTGAAACACTCTTTTTGTGGAATCTGCAAGTGAATATTTGGATAGCTTGGAGGATTTCGTTGGAAGCGGGAATTCAAATGAAAGGAAGACAGCAGCATTCTCAGAAATTTCTTTCTGATGTCTTGAATTCAACTCATAGAGTTGAAGATTCCCTTTCATAGAGCAGGTTTGAAACACTCTTTCTGGAGTATCTGGATGTGGACATTTGGAGCGCTTTGATGCCTACGGTGAAAAAGTAAATATCTTCCCAGAAAAACGAGACAGAAGGATTCTCAGAAACAAGTTTGTGATGTGTGTACTCAGCTAACAGAGTGGAACCTTTCTTTTTACAGAGCAGCTTTGAAACTCTATTTTTGTGGATTCTGCAAATTGGTATTTAGATTGCTTTAACGATATCGTTGGAAAAGGGAATATCGTCATACAAAATCTAGACAGAAGCATTCTCACAAACTTCTTTGTGATGTGTGTCCTCAACTAATAGAGTTGAACCTTTCTTTTGATGCAGCAGTTTGGAAACAACCTTTTGGTAGAAACTGTAACTGGATATTTGGATAGCTCTAACGATTTCTTTGGAAACGGGAATATCATCATCTAAAATCTAGACAGAAGCACCATTAGAAACTACTTGGTGATATCTGCATTCAAGTCACAGAGTTGAACATTCCCTTACTTTGAGCACGTTTGAAACACTCTTTTGGAAGAATCTGGAAGTGGACATTTGTAACGCTTTGATGCCTTTGGTGAAAAGGAAACGTCTTCCAATAAAAGCCAGACAGAAGCATTCTCAGAAACTTGTTTGTGATGTGAGCACTCAACTAAAAGAGTTGAACCTTTCTATTGATAGAGCAGTTTTGAAACACTCTTTTTGTGGATTCTGCAAGTGGATATTTGGATTGCTTTGAGGATTTCGTTGGAAGCGGGAATTCGTATAAACACTAGACAGCAGCATTCCCAGAAATTTCTTTCGGATATTTCCATTCAACTCATAGAGATGAACATTGCCTTTCATAGAGCAGGTTTGAAACACTCTTTTTGTAGTTTGTGGAAGTGGACATTTCGATCGCCTTGACGTCTACGGTGAAAAAGGAAATATCTTCCCATAAAAAATAGACAGAAGAATTCTCAGAAACTTGTTTGTGATGTGTATCCTCAACTGACAGAGTTGAACCTTGCCATTGATAGAGCAGTTTAGAAACACTCTTTTTGTGGAATCTGCAAGTGGATATTTGGATAGCTTGGAGGATTTCGTTGGATGCGGGAATTCAAATGAAAGGTTGACAGCAGCATTCTCAGAAATTACTTTCTGATGTCTGCATTCAACTCATAGAGTTGAAGATTCCCTTTCATAGAGCAGGTTTGAAACACTCTTTCTGTAGTATCTGGATGTGGACATTTGGAGCGCTTTGATACCTACAGTGAAAAAGTAAATATCTTCCCATAAAAACTAGACAGAAGGATTCTCAGAAACAAGTTTGTGATGTGTGTACTCAGCTAACAGAGTGGAACCTCTCTTTTGATGCAGCAGTTTGGAAACACTCTTTTTGTAGAAACTGTAAGTGGATATTTGGATAGCTCTAATGATTTCGTTGGAAATGGGAATATCATCATCTAAAATCTAGACAGAAGCCCTCTCAGAAACTACTTTGTGATATCTGCATTGAAGTCACAGAGTTGAACATTCGGTTTCTTAGAGCACGTTTGAAACAATCTTTTTGTAGTGTCTGGAAGTGGACATTTGGAGCGCTTTGATGCCTTTGGTGAAAAAGGGAATGTCTTCCCATAAAAACTAGACAGAAGCTTTCTCAGAAACTTGTTTGTGATGTGTGTACCCAGCGAAAGGAGTTGAACATTTCTATTGATAGAGCAGTTTTGAAACACTCTTTTTGTGGAATCTGCAAGTGGATATTTGGGTAGCTTGGAGGTTTTTGTTGGAAGCGGGAATTCAAATAAAAGGTAGACAGCAGCATTCTCAGAAATTTCTTTCTGATGTCTGCATTCAACTCATAGAGTTGAAGATTCCCTTTCATAGAGCAGGTTTGAAACACTCTTTCTGGAGTATCTGGATGTGGACATTTGGCGCGCTTTGATGCCTGCGGTGAAAAAGTAAATATCTTCCCATAAAAACGAGACAGAAGGATTCTCAGAAACAAGTTTGTGATGTGTGTACTCAGCTAACAGAGTGGAACCTTTCTTTTTACAGAGCAGCTTTGAAACTCTATTTTTGTGGATTCTGCAAATTGGTATTTAGATTGCTTTAACCGATATCGTTGGAAAAGGGAATATCGTCATACAAAATCTAGACAGAAGCATTCTCACAAACTTCTTTGTGATGTGTGTCCTCAACTAACAGAGTTGAACCTTTCTTTTGATGCAGCAGTTTGGAAACACCCTTTTTGTAGAAACTGTAACTGGATATTTGGATAGCTCTAACGATTTCGTTGGAAACGGGAATATCATCATCTAAAATCTAGAGAGAAGCACTATTAGAAACTACTTGGTGATATCTGCATTCAAGTCACAGAGTTGAACATTCCCTTACTTTGAGCACGTTTGAAACACTCTTTTGGAAGAATCTGGAAGTGGACATTTGGAGAGCTTTGATGCCTTTGGTGAAAAGGAAACGTCTTCCAATAAAAGCCAGACAGAAGCATTCTCAGAAACTTGTTTGTGATGTGTGTACTCAACTAAAAGAGTTGAACCTTTCTATTGATAGAGCAGTTTTAAAACACTCTTTTTGTGGATTCTGCAAGTGGATATTTGGATTGCTTTGAGGATTTCGTTGGAAGCGGGAATTCGTATAAAAACTAGACAGCAGCATTCCCAGAAATTTCTTTCGGATATTTCCATTCGACTCATAGAGATGAACATGGCCTTTCATACAGCAGGTTTGAAACACTCTTTTTGTAGTTTGTGGAAGTGGACATTTCGATCGCCTTGACGCCTACGGTGAAAAAGGAAATATCTTCCCATAAAAAATAGACAGAAGATTTCTCAGAAACTTATTTGTGATGTGTATCCTCAACTGACAGAGTTGAACCTTGCCATTGATAGAGCAGTTTAGAAACCCTCTGTTTGTGGACTCTGCAAGTGGATATTTGGATAGCCTGGAGGATTTCGTTGGAAGCGGGAATTCAAATGAAAGGTAGACAGCAGCATTCTCAGAAATTTCTTTCTGATGTCTGCATTCAACTCATAGAGTTGAACATTCCCTTTCAGAGAGCAGGTTTGAAACACTCTTTCTGGAGTATCTGGATGTGGACATTTGGAGCGCTTTGATGCCTACGGTGAAAAAGTAAATATCTTCCCATAAAAACGAGACAGAAGGATTCTGAGAAACAAGTTTGTGATGTGTGTACTCAGCTAACAGAGTGGAACCTCTCTTTTGATGCAGCAGTTTGGAAACACTCTTTTTGTAGAAACTGTAAGTGGATATTTGGATAGCTCTAATGATTTCGTTGGAAACGGGAATATCATCATCTAAAATCTACACAGAAGCCCTCTCAGAAACTACTTTGTGATATCTGCATTCAAGTCACAGAGTTGAACATTCGCTTTCTTAGAGCACGTTTGAAACACTCTTTTTGTAGTGTCTGGAAGTGGACATTTGGCGCACTTTGATGCCTTTGGTGAAAAAGGGAATGTCTTCCCATAAAAACTAGACAGATAAGCATTCTCAGAAACTTGTTTGTGATGTGTGTACCCAGCTAAAGGAGTTGAACATTTCTATTGATAGAGCAGTTTTGATACACTCTTTTTGTGGAAACTGCAAGTGGATATTTGGATAGCTTGGAGGATTTCGTTGGAAGCGGGAATTCAAATAAAAGGTAGACAGCAGGATTCTGAGAAACAAGTTTGTGATGTGTGTACTCAGCTAACAGAGTGGAACCTTTCTTTTTACAGAGCAGCTTTGAAACTCTATTTTTGTGGATTCTGCAAATGGATATTTAGATTGCTTTAACGATATCGCTGGAAAAGGGAATATGGTCATACAAAATACTAGACAGAAAGCATTCTCACAAACTTCTTTGTGATGTGTGTCCTCAACTAACAGAGTTGAACCTTTCTTTTGATGCAGCAGTTTGGAAACACTCTTTTTGCAGAAACTGTAAGTGGATATTTGGATAGCTCTAACGATTTCGTTGGAAACGGGAATATCATCATCTAAAATCTAGACAGAAGCACTATTAGAAACTACTTGGTGATATCTGCATTCAAGTCAAAGAGTTGAACATTCCCTTACTTTAAGCACGTTTGAAACACTCTTTTGGAAGAATCTGGAAGTGGACATTTGGAGCGCTTTGATGCCTTTGGTGAAAAGGAAACGTCTTCCAATAAAAGCCAGACAGAAGCATTCTCAGAAACTTGTTTGTGATGTGTGTACCCAGCCAAAGGAGTTGAACATTTCTATTGATAGAGCAGTTTTGAAACACTCTTTTTGTGGATTCTGCAAGTGGATATTTGGATTGCTTTGAAGATTTCGTTGGAAGCGGGAATTCGTATAAACACTAGACAGCAGCATTCCCAGAAATTTCTTTCGGATATTTCCATTCAACTCATAGAGATGAACATGGCCTTTCATAGAGCAGGTTTGAAACACTCTTTTTGTAGTTTGTGGAAGTGGACATTTCGATCGCCTTGACGCCTATGGTGAAAAAGGAAATATCTTCCCATAAAAAATAGACAGAATTCTCAGAAACTTGTTTGTGATGTGTGTCCTCAACTGACAGAGTTGTACCTTTCTATTGATAGAGTAGTTTTGAAACACTCTTTTTGTGGAATCTGCAAGTGAATATTTGGATAGCTTGGACGATTTCGTTGGAAGCGGGAATTCAAATGAAAGGTAGACAGCAGCATTCTCAGAAATTTCTTTCTGATGTCTGCATTCAACTCATAGAGTTGAAGATTCCCTTTCATAGAGCAGGTTTGAAACACTCTTTCTGGAGTATCTGGATGTGGACATTTGGAGCGCTTTGATGCCTACGGTGAGAAAGTAAATATCTTCCCATAAAAACGAGACAGAAGGATTCTGAGAAACAAGTTTGTGATGTGTGTACTCAGCTAACAGAGTGGAACCTCTCTTTGGATGCAGCAGTTTAGAAACACTCTTTTTGTAGAAACTGTAAGTGGATATTTGGATAGCTCTAATGATTTCGTTGGAAACGGGAATATCATCATCTAAAATCTAGACAGAAGCACTCTCAGAAACTACTTTGTGATATCTGCATTCAAGTCACAGAGTTGAACATTCGCTTTCTTAGAGCACGTTTGAAACACTCTTTTTGTAGTGTCTGGAAGTGGACATTTGGAGCGCTTTGATTCCTTTGGTGAAAAAGGGAATGTCTACCCATAAAAACTAAACAGAAGAATTCTCAGAAACTTGTTTGTGATGTGTATCCTCAACTGACAGAGTTGAACCTTGCCATTGATAGAACAGCTTTGAAACACTCTTTTTGTGGATTCTGCAAGTGGATATTTGGATAGCCTGGAGGATTTCGTTGGAAGCGGGAATTCAAATAAAAGGTAGACAGCAGCATTCTCAGAAATTTCTTTGTGATGTTTGCATTCAACATATAGAGTTGAACATTCCCTTTCATAGAGCAGGTTTGAAACACTCTTTCTGTACTATCTGGAAATGGACATTTGGAACGCTTTGATGCCTACGGTGAAAAAGTAAATATCTTCCCATAAAAACTAGACAGAAGGATTCTCAGAAACAAGTTTGTGATGTGTGTACTCAGCTAACAGAGTGGAACCTTTCTTTTTACAGAGCAGCTTTGAAACTCTATTTTTGTGGATTCTTCAAATTGATATTTAGATTGCTTTAACGATATCGTTGGAAAAGGGAATATCGTCATACAAAATCTAGACAGAAGCATTCTCACAAACTTCTTTGTGATGTGTGTCCTCAACTAACAGAGTTGAACCATTCTTTTGATGCAGCAGTTTGGAAACACCCTTTTGGTAGAAACTGTAACTGGATATTTGGATAGCTCTAACGATTTCGTTGGAAACGGGAATATCATCATCTAAAATCTAGAGAGAAACACTATTAGAAACTGCTTGGTGATATCTGCATTCAACTCACAGAATTGAACATTCCCTTACTTTGAGCACGTTTGAAACACTCTTTTGGAAGAATCTGGAAGTGGACATTTGGAGCGCTTTGATGCCTTTGGTGAAAAGGAAACGTCTTCCAATAAAAGCCAGACAGAAGCTTTCTCAGAAACTTGTTTGTGATGTGTGTACTCAACTAAAAGAGTTGAACCTTTCTATTGATAGAGCAGTTTTGAAACACTCTTTTTGTGGAATCTGCAAGTGGATATTTGGATTGCTTTGAGGATTTCGTTGGAAGCGGGAATTCATAAAAAAGTAGACAGCAGAATTCTCAGAAACTTGTTTGTGATGTGTATCCTCAACTGACAGAGTTGAACCTTGCCATTGATAGAGCAGTTTTGAAACACTCTTTTTGTGGAATCTGCAAGTGGATATTTGGATAGCCTGGAGGATTTCGTTGGAAGCGGGAATTCAAATGAAAGGTAGACAGCAGAAATCTCAGAAACTTGTTTGTGATGTGTATCCTCAACTGACAGAGTTGAACCTTGCCATTGATAGAGCAGTTTTGAAACCCTCTTTTTGTGGAATCTGCAAGTAGATATTTGGAAAGCCTGGAGGATTTCGTTGGAAGCGGGAATTCAAATAAAAGGTAGACAGCAGCATTCTCAGAAATTTCTTTGTGATGTTTGCATTCAACTCATAGAGTTGAACATTCCCTTTCACAGAGCAGGTTTGAAACACTCTTTCTGTACTATCTGGATGTGGACATTTGGAACGCTTTGATGCCTACGGTGAAAAAGTAAATATCTTCCCATAAAAACTAGACAGAAGGATTCTCAGAAACAAGTTTGTGATGTGTGTACTCAGCTAACAGAGTGGAACCTCTCTTTTGACGCAGCAGTTTGGAAACACTCTTTTTGTAGAAACTGTAAGTGGATATTTGGATAGCTCTAATGATTTCTTTGGAAACGGGAATATCATCATCTAAAATCTAGACAGAAGCACTCTCAGAAACTACTTTGTGATATCTGCATTCAAGTCACAGAGTTGAACATTCGCTTTCTTACAGCACTTTTGAAACACTCTTTTTGTAGTATCTGGAAGTGGACATTTGGAGCTCTTTGATGCCTTTGGCGAAAAAGGAAATGTCTTCCCATAAAAACTAGACAGAAGCATTCTCAGAAACTTGTTTGTGATGTGTGTACCCAGCTAAAGGAGTTGAACATTTCTATTGATAGAGCAGTTTTGAAACACTCTTTTTGTGGAAAATGCAAGTGGATATTTGGATAGCTTGGAGGATTTCGTTGGAAGCTTGAATTCAAATAAAAGGTAGACAGCAGCATTCTCAGAAATTTCTTTCTGATGTCTGCATTCAACTCATAGAGTTGAAGATTCCCTTTCATAGAGCAGGTTTGAAACACTCTTTCTGGAGTATCTGGATGTGGACATTTGGAGCGCTTTGATGCCTACGGTGAAAAAGTAAATATCCTCCCATAAAAACGAGACAGAAGGATTCTCAGAAACAAGTTTGTGATGTGTGTACTCAGCTAACAGAGTGGAACCTTTCTTTTTACAGAGCAGCTTTGAAACTCTATTTTTGTGGATTCTGCAAACTGATATTTAGATTGCTTTAACGATATCGTTGGAAAAGGGAATATCGTCATACAAAATCTGGACAGAAGCATTCCCACAAACTTCTTTGTGATGTGTGTCCTCAACTAACAGAGTTGAACCTTTCTTTTGATGCAGCAGTTTGGAAACACTCTTTTTGTAGAAACTGTAAGTGGATATTTGGATAGCTCTAACGATTTCGTTGGAAACGGGAATATCATCATCTAAAATCTAGACAGAAGCACTATTAGAAACTACTTGGTGATATCTGCATTCAAGTCAAAGAGTTGAACATTCCCTTACTTTGAGCACGTTTGAAACACTCTTTTAGAAGAATCTGGAAGTGGACATTTGGAGCGCTTTGATGCCTTTGGTGAAAAGGAAACGTCTTCCAATAAAAGCCAGACAGAAGCATTCTCAGAAACTTGTATGTGATGTGTGTACTCAACTAAAAGAGTTGAACCTTTCTATTGATAGAGCAGTTTTGAAACACTCTTTTTGTGGAATCTGCAAGTGGATATTTGGATTGCTTTGAGGATTTCGTTGGAAGCGGGAATTCATAAAAAAGTAGACAGCAGCATTCCCAGAAATTTCTTTCGGATATTTCCATTCAACTCATAGAGATGAACATTGCCTTTCATAGAGCAGGTTTGAAACACTCTTTTTGTAGTTTGTGGAAGTGGACATTTCGATCGCCCTGATGCCTATGGTGAAAAAGGAAATATCTTCCCATAAAAAATAGACAGAAGCATTCTCAGAAACTTGTTGGTGATATGTGTCCTCAACTAACAGAGTTGAACTGTGCCATTGATAGAGAGCAGTTTTGAAACACTCTTTTTGTGGAATCTGCAAGTGGATATTTGGATAGCTTGGAGGATTTCGTTGGAAGCGGGAATTCAAATAAAAGTTAGACAGCAGCATTCTCAGAAATTTCTTTCTGATGTCTGCATTCAACTCATAGAGTTGAAGATTCCCTTTCATAGAGCAGGTTTGAAACACTCTTTCTGGAGTATCTGGATGTGGACATTTGGAGCGCTTTGATGCCTACGGTGAGAAAGTAAATATCTTCCCATAAAAACGAGACAGAAGGATTCTGAGAAACAAGTTTGTGATGTGTGTACTCAGCTAACAGAGTGGAACCTTTCTTTTTACAGAGCAGTTTTGAAACTCTATTTTTGTGGATTCTGCAAATTGATATTTAGATTGCTTTAACGATATCGTTGGAAAAGGGAATATCGTCATACAAAATCTAGACAGAAAGCATTCTCACAAACTTCTTTGTGATGTGTGTCCTCAACTAACAGAGTTGAACTTTTCTTTTGATGCAGCAGTTTGGAAACACTCTTTTTGTAGAAACTGTAAGTGGATATTTGGATAGCTCTAACGATTTCGTTGGAAACGGGAATATCATCATCTAAAATCTAGACAGAAGCACTATTAGAAACTACTTGGTGATATCTGCATTCAAGTCACGGAGTTGAACATTCCCTTACTTTGAGCACGTTTGAAACACTCTTTTGGAAGAATCTGGAAGTGGACATTTGGAGCGCTTTGATGCCTTTGGTGAAAAGCAAACCTCTTCCAACAAAAGCCAGACAGAAGCATTCTCAGAAACTTGTTCGTGATGTGTGTACTCAACTAAAAGATTTGAACCTTTCTATTGATAGAGCAGTTTTGAAACACTCTTTTTGTGGATTCTGCAAGTGGATATTTGGATTGCTTTGAGGATTTCATTGGAAGCGGGAATTCGTATAAAAACTAGACAGCAGCATTCACAGAAATTTCTTTCGGATATTTCCATTCAACTCATAGAGATGAACATGGCCTTTCATAGGGCAGGTTTGAAACACTCTTTTTGTAGTTTGTGGAAGTGGACATTTCGATCGCCTTGACGCCTACGGTGAAAAAGGAAATATCTTCCCATAAAAAATAGACAGAAGCATTCTCAGAAACTTGTTGGTGATATGTGTCCTCAACTAACAGAGTTGAACTTTGCCATTGATAGAGAGCAGTTTTGAAACACTCTTTTTGTGGAATCTGCAAGTGGATATTTGGATAGCTTGGAGGATTTCGTTGCAAGCGGGAATTCAAATAAAAGGTAGACAGCAAGGATTCTGAGAAACAAGTTTGTGATGTGTGTACTCAGCTAACAGAGTGGAACCTCTGTTTTGATGCAGCAGTTTGGAAACACTCTTTTTGTAGAAACTGTAAGTGGATATTTGGATAGCTCTAATGATTTCGTTGGAAACGGGAATATCATCATCTAAAATCTAGACAGAAGCACTCTCAGAAACTACTTTGTGATATCTGCATTCAAGTCACAGACTTGAACATTCGCTTTCTTAGAGCACGTTTGAAACACTCTTTTTGTAGTGTCTGGAAGTGGACATTTGGAGCGCTTTGATGTCTTTGGTGAAAAAGGGAATGTCTTCCCATAAAAACTAGACAGAAGCATTCTCAGAGACTTGTTTGTGATGTGTGTACCCAGCCAAAGGAGTTGAACATTTCTATTGATAGAGCAGTTTTGAAACACTCTTGTTGTGGAAAATGCAGGTGGATATTTGGATAGCTTGGAGGATTTCGTTGGAAGCGGGAATTCAAATAAAAGGTAGACAGCAGCATTCTCAGAAACTACTTTCTGATGTCTGCATTCAACTCATAGAGTTGAAGATTCCCTTTCATAGAGCAGGTTTGAAACACTCTTTCTGTAGAATCTGGATGTGGACATTTGGAGCGCTTTGATACCTACGGTGAAAAAGTAAATATCTTCCCATAAAAACTAGACAGAAGGATTCTGAGAAACAAGTTTGTGATGTGTGTACTCAGCTAACAGAGTGGAACCTTTCTTTTTACAGAGCAGCTTTGAAACTCTATTTTTGTAGATTCTGCAAATTGGTATTTAGATTGCTTTAACGATATCGTTGGAAAAGGGAATATCGTCATACAAAATCTAGACAGAAGCATTCTCACAAACTTCTTTGTGATGTGTGTCCTCAACTAACAGAGTTGAACCTTTCTTTTGATGCAGCAATTTGGAAACACCCTTTTGGTAGGAACTGTAACTGGATATTTGGATAGCTCTAACGATTTCGTTGGAAACGGGAATATCATCATCTAAAATCTAGACAGAAGCACTATTAGAAACTACATGGTGATATCTGCATTCAAGTCACAGAGTAGAACATTCCCTTACTTCGAGCACGTTTGAAACACTCTTTTGGAAGAATCTGGAAGTGGACATTTGGAGCGCTTTGATGCCTTTGGTGAAAAGGAAACGTCTTCCAATAAAAGCCAGACAGAAGCATTCTGAGAAACTTGTTCGTGATGTGTGTACTCAACTAAAAGAGTTGAACCTTTCTATTGATATAGCAGTTTTGAAACACTCTTTTTGTGGATTCTGCAAGTGGATATTTGGATTGCTTTGAGGATTTCGTTGGAAGCGGGAATTCATATAAACACTAGACAGCAGCATTCCCAGAAATTACTTTCGGATATTTCCATTCAACTCATAGAGATGAACATGGCCTTTCATAGAGCAGGTTTGAAACACTCTTTTTGTAGTTTGTGGAAGTGGACATTTCGATCGCCTTCACGCCTACGGTGAAAAAGGAAATATCTTCCCATAAAAAATAGACAGAAAGCATTCTCAGAAACTTGTTGGTGATATGTGTCCTCAACTAACAGAGTTGAACTTTGCCATTGATAGAGAGCAGTTTTGAAACACTCTTTTTGTGGAATCTGCAAGTGGATATTTGGATAGCTTGGAGGATTTCGTTGGAAGCGGGAATTCAAATAAAAGGTAGACAGAGCATTCTCAGAAATTTCTTTCTGATGTCTGCATTCAACTCATAGAGTTGAAGATTCCCTTTCATAGAGCAGGTTTGAAACACTCTTTCTGTACTATCTGGATGTGGACATTTGGAGCGCTTTGACGCCTACGGTGAAAAAGTAAATATCTTCCCATAAAAAAGAGACAGAAGGATTCTGAGAAACAAGTTTGTGATGTGTGTACTCAGCTAACAAAGTGGAACCTCTCTTTTGATGCAGCAGTTTGGAAACACTCTTTTTGTAGAAACTGTAAGTGGATATTTGGATAGCTCTAATGATTTCGTTGGAAACGGGAATATCATCATCTAAAATCTAGACAGAAGCCCTCTCAGAAACTACTTTGTGATATCTGCATTCAAGTCACAGAGTTGAACATTCGCTTTCTTAGAGCACGTTTGAAACACTCTTTTTGTAGTTTCTGGAAGTGGACATTTGGAGCGCTTTGATTCCTTTGGTGAAAAAGGGAATGTCTACCCATAAAAACTAGACAGAAGCATTCTCAGAAACTTGTTTGTGATGTGTATACCCAGCTAAAGGAGTTGAACATTTCTATTGATAGAGCAGTTTTGAAACACTCTTTTTGTGGAAAATGCAAGGGGATATTTGGATAGCTTGGAGGATTTCGTTGGAAGCGGGAATTCAAATAAAAGGTAGACAGCAGCATTCTCAGAAATTTCTTTGTGATGTCTGCATTCAACTCATAGAGTTGAAGATTCCCTTTCATAGAGCAGGTTTGAAACAGTCTTTCTGGAGTATCTGGATGTGGACATTTGGAGCGCTTTGATGCCTACGGTGAAAAAGTAAATATCTTCCCATAAAAACGAGACAGAAAGATTCTCAGAAACAAGTTTGGGATGTGTGAACTCAGCTAACAGAGTGGATCCTTTCTTTTTACAGAGCAGCTTTGAAACTCTATTTCTGTGGATTCTGCAAATTGATATTTGGGTTGATTTAACGACATCGTTGGAAAAGGGAATATCTTCATACAAAATCTAGACAGAAGCATTCTCACAAACTTCTTTGTGACGTGTGTCCTCAACTAACAGAGTTGAACCTTTCTTTTGATGCAGCAATTTGGAAACACCCTTTTGGTAGAAACTGTAACTGGATATTTGGATAGCTGCTAGCGATTTCGTTGGAAACGGGAATATCATCATCTAAAATCTAGACAGAAGCACTATTAGAAACTACTTGGTGATATCTGCATTCAAGTCACAGAGTAGAACATTCCCTTACTTCGAGCACGTTTGAAACACTCTTTTGGAAGAATCTGGAAGTGGACATTTGGAGCGCTTTGATGCCTTTGGTGAAAAGGAAACGTCTTCCAATAAAAGCCAGACAGAAGCATTCTCAGAAACTTGTTTGTGATGTGTGTACTCAACTAAAAGAGTTGAACCTTTCTATTGATAGAGCAGTTTTGAAACACTCTTTTTGTGGATTCTGCAAGTGGATATTTGGATTGCTTTGAGGATTTCGTTGGAAGCGGGAATTCATATAAAATCTAGACAGCAGCATTCCCAGAAATTTCTTTCGGATATTTCCATTCAACTCATAGAGATGAACATCGCCTTTCATAGAGCAGGTTTGAAACACTCTTTTTGTAGTTTGTGGAAGTGGACATTTCGATCGCCTTGACGCCTACGGTGAAAAAGGAAATATCTTCCCATAAAAAATAGACAGAATTCTCAGAAACTTGTTTGTGATGTGTGTCCTCAACTGACAGAGTTGTACCTTTCTATTGATAGAGTAGTTTTGAAACACTCTTTTTGTGGAATCTGCAAGTGAATATTTGGATAGCTTGGAGGATTTCGTTGGAAGCGGGAATTCAAATGAAAGGTAGAAAGCAGCATTCTCAGAAATTTCTTTCTGATGTCTGCATTCAACTCATAGAGTTGAAGATTCCCTTTCATAGAGCAGGTTTGAAACACTCTTTCTGAAGTATCTGGATGTGGACATTTGGAGCGCTTTGATGCCTACGGTGAAAAAGTAAATATCTTCCCATAAAAACGAGACAGAAGGATTCTCAGAAACAAGTTTGTGATGTGTGTACTCAGCTAACAGAGTGGAACCTCTCTTTTGATGCAGCAGTTTGGAAACACTCTTTTTGTAGAAACTGTAAGTGGATATTTGGATAGCTCTAATGATTTCGTTGGAAACGGGAATATCATCATATAAAATCTAGAGAGAAGCACTCTCCAGAAACTACTTTGTGATATCTGCATTCAAGTCACAGAGTTGAACATTCGCTTTCTTAGAGCACGTTTGAAACACTCTTTTTGTAGTGTCTGGAAGTGGACATTTGGAGCGCTTTGATGCCTTTGGTGAAAAAGGGAATGTCTTCCCATAAAAACTAGACAGAAGCATTCTCAGAAACTTGTTTGTGATGTGTGTACCCAGCCAAAGGAGTTGAACATTTCTATTAATAGAGCAGTTTTGAAACACTCTTTTTGTGGAAAATGCAGGTGGATATTTGGATAGCTTGGAGGATTTCGTTGGAAGCGGGAATTCAAATAAAAGTTAGACAGCAGCATTCTCAGAAATTACTTTCTGATGTCTGCATTCAACTCATAGAGTTGAAGATTCCCTTTCATAGAGCAGGTTTGAAACACTCTTTCTGTAGTATCTGGATGTGGACATTTGGAGCGCTTTGATACCTACAGTGAAAAAGTAAATATCTTCCCATAAAAACTAGACAGAAGGATTCTCAGAAACAAGTTTGTGATGTGTGTACTCAGCTAACAGAGTGGAACCTTTCTTTTTACAGAGCAGCTATGAAACTCTATTTTTGTGGATTCTGCAAATTGATATTTAGATTGCTTTAACGATATCGTTGGAAAAGGGAATATGGTCATACAAAATCTAGACAGAAGCATTCTCACAAACTACTTTGTGACGTGTGTCTTCAACTAACAGAGTTGAACCTTTCTTTTGATGCAGCAGTTTGGAAACACTCTTTTTGTAGAAACTGTAAGTGGATATTTGGATAGCTCTAACGATTTCGTTGGAAACGGGAATATCATCATCTAAAATCTAGACAGAAGCACTATTAGAAACTACTTGGTGATATCTGCATTCAAGTCACAGAGTTGAACATTCCCTTACTTTGAGCACGTTTGAAACACTCTTTTGGAAGAATCTGGAAGTGGACATTTGGAGCGCTTTGATGCCTTTGGTGAAAAGGAAACGTCTTCCAATACAAGCCAGACAGAAGCATTCTCAGAAACTTGTTCGTGATGTGTGTACTCAACTAAAAGAGTTGAACCTTTCTATTGATAGAGCAGTTTTGAAACACTCTTTTTGTGGATTCTGCAAGTGGATATTTGGATTGCTTTGAGGATTTCGTTGGAAGCGGGAATTCGTATAAACACTAGACAGCAGCATTCCCAGAAATTTCTTTCGGATATTTCCATTCAACTCATAGAGATGAACATGGCCTTTCATAGAGCAGGTTTGAAACACTCATTTTGTAGTTTCTGGAAGTGGACATTTCGATCGCCTTGACGCCTACGGTGGAAAAGGAAATATCTTCCCATAAAAAATAGACAGAAGCATTCTCAGAAACTTGTTGGTGATATGTGTCCTCAACTAACAGAGTTGAACTTTGCCATTGATAGAGAGCAGTTTTGAAACACTCTTTTTGTGGAATCTGCAAGTTGATATTTGGATAGCTTGGAGGATTTCGTTGGAAGCGGGAATTCAAATAAAAGGTAGACAGCAGCATTCTCAGAAATTTCTTTGTGATGTTTGCATTCAACTCATAGAGTTGAACATTCCCTTTCATAGAGCAGGTTTGAAACAATCTTTCTGTACTATCTGGATGTGGACATTTGGAACGCTTTGATGCCTACGGTGAAAAAGTAAATATCTTCCCATAAAAGCTAGACAGAAGGATTCTGAGAAACAAGCTTGTGATGTGTGTACTCAGCTAACAGAGTGGAACCTCTCTTTTGATGCAGCAGTTTGGAAACACTCTTTTTGTAGAAACTGTAAGTGGATATTTGGATAGCTCTAATGATTTCGTTGGAAACGGGAATATCATCATCTAAAATCTAGACAGAAGCCCTCTCATAAACTACTTTGTGATATCTGCATTCAAGTCACAGAGTTGAACATTCGCTTTCTTAGAGCACGTTTGAAACACTCTTTTTGTAGTGTCTGGAAGTGGACATTTGGAGCGCTTTGATGCCTTTGGTGAAAAAGTGAATGTCTTCCCATAAAAACTAGACAGAATTCTCAGAAACTTGTTTGTGATGTGTGTCCTCAACTGACAGAGTTGTACCTTTCTATTGATAGAGTAGTTCTGAAACACTCTTTTTGTGGAATCTGCAAGTGAATATTTGGATAGCTTGGAGGATTTCGTTGGAAGCGGGAATTCAAATGAAAGGTAGACAGCAGCATTCTCAGAAATTACTTTCTGATGTCTGCATTCAACTCATAGAGTTGAGGATTCCCTTTCATAGAGCAGGTTTGAAACCCTCTTTCTGTAGTATCTGGATGTGGACATTTGGAGCGCTTTGATACCTACGGTGAAAAAGTAAATATCTTCCCATAAAAACTAGACAGAAGGATTCTCAGAAACAAGTTTGTGATGTGTGTACTCAGCTAACAGAGTGGATCCTTTCTTTTTACAGAGCAGCTTTGAAACTCTATTTCTGTGGATTCTGCAAATTGATATTTGGGTTGATTTAACGACATCGTTGGAAAAGGGAATATCTTCATACAAAATACAGACAGAAGCTTTCTCAGAAACTTCTTTGTGATGTGTGTCCTCAACTAACAGAGTTGAACCTTTCTTTTGATGCACTAGTTTGGAAACACACTTTCTGTAGAAACTGTAAGTGGATATTTGGGTAGGTCTAACGATATCGTTGGAAACGGGAATATCTTCATCTAAAGTATACACAGAAGCACTATTAGACACTGCTTGGTGATATCTGCATTCAAGTCACAGAGTTGAACATTCCCTTACTTTGAGCACGTTTGAAACACTCTTTTGGAAGAATCTGGAAGTGGACATTTGGAGCGCTTTGATGCCTTTGGTGAAAAGGAAACGTCTTCCAATAAAAGCCAGACAGAAGCATTCTCAGAAACTTGTTTGTGATGTGTGTACTCAACTAAAAGAGTTGAACCTTTCTATTGATAGAGCAGTTTTGAAACACTCTTTTTGTGGATTCTGCAAGTGGATATTTGGATTGCTTTGAGGATTTCGTGGAAGCGGGAATTCGTATAAAAACTAGACAGCAGCATTCCCAGAAATTTCTTTCGGATATTTCCATTCAACTCATAGAGATGAACATGGCCTTTCATAGAGCAGGTTTGAAACACTCTTTTGGTAGTTTGTGGAAGTGGACATTTTGATCGCCTTGACGCCTACGGTGAAAAAGGAAATATCTTCCCATAAAAAATAGACAGAAGCATTCTCAGAAACTTGTTGGTGATATGTGTCCTCAACTAACAGAGTTGAACTTTGCCATTGATAGAGAGCAGTTTTGAAACACTCTTTTTGTGGAATCTGCAAGTGGATATTTGGATAGCTTGGAGGATTTCTTTGGAAGCGGGAATTCAAATAAAAGGTAGACAGCAGCATTCTCAGAAATTTCTTTGTGATGTTTGCATTCAACTCATAGAGTTGAACATTCCCTTTAATAGAGCAGGTTTGAAACACTCTTTCTGTACTATGTGGATGTGGACATTTGGAGCGCTTTGACGCCTACGGTGAAAAAGGAAATGTCTTCCCATAAAAAATTGAAGAAGGATTCTGAGAAACAAGTATGTGATGTGTGTACTCAGCTAACAGAGTGGAACCTTTCTTTTTACAGAGCAGCTTTGAAACTCTATTTTTGTGGATTCTGCAAATGGATATTTAGATTGCTTTAACGATATCGTTGGAAAAGGGAATATCGTCATACAAAATCTAGACAGAAGCATTCTCACAAACTTCTTTGTGATGTGTGTCCTCAACTAATAGAGTTGAACCTTTCTTTTGATGCAGCAGTTTGGAAACACCCTTTTGGTAGGAACTGTAACTGGATATTTGGATAGCTCTAACGATTTCGTTGGAAACGGGAATATCATCATCTAAAATCTAGACAGAAGCACTATTAGAAACTACTTGGTGATATCTGCATTCAAGTCACAGAGTTGAACATTCCCTTACTTTGAGCACGTTTCAAACACTCTTTTGGAAGAATCTGGAAGTGGACATTTGGAGCGCTTTGATGATGCCTTTGGTGAAAAGGAATCGTCTTCCAATAAAAGCCAGACAGAAGCATTCTCAGAAACTTGTTCGTGATGTGTGTACTCAACTAAAAGATTTGAACCTTTCTATTGATAGAGCAGTTTTGAAACACTCTTTTTGTGGATTCTGCAAGTGGATATTTGGATTGCATTGAGGATTTCGTTGGAAGCGGGAATTCGTATAAAAACTGGACAGCAGCATTCCCAGAAATTTCTTTCGGATATTTCCATTCAACTCATAGAGATGAACATGGCCTTTCATAGAGCAGGTTTGAAACACTCTTTTTGTAGTTTGTGGAAGTGGACATTTCGATCGCCTTGACGCCAACGGTGAAAAAGGAAATATCTTCCCATAAAAAATAGACAGAAGCATTCTCAGAAACTTGTTGGTGATATGTGTCCTCAACTAACAGAGTTGAACTTTGCCATTGATAGAGAGCAGTTTTGAAACACTCTTTTTGTGGAATCTGCAAGTGGATATTTGGATAGCTTGGAGGATTTCGTTGGAAGCGGGAATTCAAATTAAAGGTAGACAGCAAGGATTCTGAGAAACAAGTTTGTGATGTGTGTACTCAGCTAACAGAGTGGAACCTCTGTTTTGATTCAGCAGTTTGGAAACACTCTTTTTGTAGAAACTGTAAGTGGATATTTGGATAGCTCTAATGATTTCGTTGGAAAAGGGAATATCATCATCTAAAATCTAGACAGAAGCACTCTCAGAAACTACTTTGTGATATCTGCATTCAAGTCACAGAGTTGAACATTCGCTTTCTTAGAGCACTTTTGAAACACTCTTTTTGTAGTATCTGGAAGTGGACATTTGGAGCTCTTTGATGCCTTTGGTGAAAAAGGAAATGTCTTCCCATAAAAACTAGGCAGAAGCATTCTCAGAAACTTGTTTGTGATGTGTGTACCCAGCGAAAGGAGTTGAACATTTCTATTGATAGAGCAGTTTTGAAACACTCTTTTTGTGGAATCTGCAAGTGGATATTTGGATAGCTTGGAGGTTTTCGTTGGAAGCAGGAATTCAAATAAAAGGTAGACAGCAGCATTCTCAGAAATTTCTTTCTGATGTCTGCATTCAACTCATAGAGTTGAAGATTCCCTTTCCTAGAGCAGGTTTGAAACACTCTTTCTGGAGTATCTGGATGTGGACATTTGGAGCGCTTGGATGCCTACGGTGAAAAAGTAAATATCTTCCCATAAAAACGAGACAGAAGGATTCTCAGAAACAAGTTTGTGATGTGTGTACTCAGCTAACAGAGTGGAACCTCTCTTTTGAAGCAGCAGTTTGGAAACACTCTTTTTGTAGAAACTGTAAGTGGATATTTGGATAGCTCTAATGATTTCGTTGGAAACGGGAATATCATCATCTAAAATCTAGACAGAAGCACTCTCAGAAACTACTTTGTGATATCTGCATTCAAGTCACAGAGTTGAACATTCGCTTTCTTAGAGCACTTTTGAAACACTCTTTTTGTCGTATCTGGAAGTGGACATTTGGAGCTCTTTGATGCCTTTGGTGAAAAAGGAGATGTCTTCCCATAAAAACTAGACAGAAGCTTTCTCAGAAACTTGTTTGTGATGTGTGTACCCAGCGAAAGGAGTTGAACATTTCTATTGATAGAGCATTTTTGAAACACTCTTTTTGTGGAATCTGCAAGTGGATATTTGGATAGCTTGTAGGTTTTCGTTGGAAGCGGGAATTCAAATAAAAGGTAGACAGCAGCATTCTCAGAAATTTCTTTCTGATGTTTGCATTCAACTCATAGAGTTGAACATTCCC
This sequence comes from Homo sapiens, assembly GCF_000001405.40. Classification (NCBI taxonomy): domain Eukaryota; kingdom Metazoa; phylum Chordata; class Mammalia; order Primates; family Hominidae; genus Homo; species Homo sapiens. The sequence goes on from NC_000021.9 coordinate 12,332,025, forward strand.
TTTAATAGAGCAGGTTTGAAACACTCTTTCTGTAGTATCTGGATGTGGATAATTGGAGCGCTTTGACGCCTACGGTGAAAAAGGAAATGTCTTCCCATAAAAAATTGAAGAAGGATTCTGAGAAATAAGTTTGTGATGTGTGTACTCAGCTAACAGAGTGGAACCTCTCTTTTGATGCAGCAGTTTGGAAACACTCTTTTTGTAGAAACCGTAAGTGGATATTTGGATAGCTCTAATGATTTCGTTGGAAACGGGAATATCATCATCTAAAATCTAGACAGAAGCCCTCTCAGAAACTACTTTGTGATATCTGCATTCAAGTCAGAGAGTTGAACATTCGCTTTCTTAGAGCACGTTTGAAACACTCTTTTTGTAGTGTCTGGAAGTGGACATTTGGAGCGCTTTGATGCCTTTGGTGAAACAGGGAATGTCTTCCCATAAAAACTAGACAGAAGCATTCTCAGAAACTTGTTTGTGATGTGTGTACCCAGCCAAAGGAGTTGAACATTTCTATTGATAGAGCAGTTTTGAAACACTCTTTTTGTGGAAAATGCAGGTGGATATTTGGATAGCTTGGAGGATTTCGTTGGAAGCGGGAATTTCAAATAAAAGTTAGACAGCAGGATTCTGAGAAACAAGTTTGTGATGTGTGTACTCAGCTAACAGAGTGGAACCTCTCTTTTTACAGAGCAGCTTTGAAACTCTATTTTTGTGGATTCTGCAAATGGATATTTAGATTGCTTTAACGATATCGCTGGAAAAGGGAATATGGTCATACAAAATCTAGACAGAAGCATTCTCACAAACTTCTTTGTGATGTGTGTCCTCAACTAACAGAGTTGAACCTTTCTTTTGATGCAGCAGTTTGGAATCACCCTTTTGGTAGAAACTGTAACTGGATATTTGGATAGCTCTAACGATTTCGTTGGAAACGGGAATATCATCATCTAAAATCTAGACAGAAGCACTATTAGAAACTACTTGGTGATATCTGCATTCAAGTCACAGAGTTGAACATTCCCTTACTTCGAGCACGTTTGAAACACTCTTTTGGAAGAATCTGGAAGTGGACATTTGGAGCCCTTTGATGCCTTTGGTGAAAAGGAAACGTCTTCCAATAAAAGCCAGACAGAAGCATTCTCAGAAACTTGTTCGTGATGTGTGTACTCAACTAAAAGAGTTGAACCTTTCTATTGATAGAGCAGTTTTGAAACGCTCTTTTTGTGGATTCTGCAAGTGGATATTTGGATTGCTTTGAGGATTTCGTTGGAAGCGGGAATTCGTATAAACACTAGACAGCAGCATTCCCAGAAATTTCTTTCGGATATTTCCATTCAACTCATAGAGATGAACATGGCCTTTCATAGAGCAGGTTTGAAACACTCTTTTTGTAGTTTGTGGAAGTGGACATTTCGATCGCCTTGACGCCTACGGTGAAAAAGGAAATATCTTCCCATAAAAAATAGACAGAAGCATTCTCAGAAACTTGTTGGTGATATGTGTCCTCAACTAACAGAGTTGAACTTTGCCATTGATAGAGAGCAGTTTTGAAACACTCTTTTTGTGGAATCTGCAAGTGGATATTTGGATAGCTTGGAGGATGTCGTTGGAAGCGGGAATTCAAATTAAAGGTAGACAGCAGCATTCTCAGAAATTTCTTTCTGATGTCCGCATTCAACTCATAGAGTTGAACATTCCCTTTCATAGAGCAGGTTTGAAACACTCTTTCTGGAGTATCTGGATGTGGACATTTGGAGCGCTTTGATGCCTACGGTGAAAAAGTAAATATCTTCCCATAAAAACGAGACAGAAGGATTCTGAGAAACAAGTTTGTGATGTGTGTACTCAGCTAACAGAGTGGAACCTCTCTTTTGATGCAGCAGTGTGGAAACACTCTTTTTGTAGAAACTGTAAGTGGATATTTGGATAGCTCTAATGATTTCGTTGGAAACGGGAATATCATCATCTAAAATCTAGACAGAAGCCCTCTCAAAAACTACTTTGTGATATCTGCATTCAAGTCACAGAGTTGAACATTCGCTTTCTTAGAGCACGTTTGAAACACTCTTTTTGTAGTGTCTGGAAGTGGAAATTTGGAGCGCTTTGATGCCTTTGGTGAAAAAGGGAATATCTTCCCATAAAAACTAGACAGAAGCTTTCTCAGAAACTTGTTTGTGATGTGTGTACCCAGCGAAAGGAGTTGAACATTTCTATTGATAGAGCAGTTTTGAAACACTCTTTTTGTGGAATCTGCAAGTGGATATTTGGATAGCTTGTAGGTTTTCGTTGGAAGCGGGAATTCAAATAAAAGGTAGACAGCAAGCATTCTCAGAAATTTCTTTCTGATGTCTGCATTCAACTCATACAGTTGAAGATTCCCTTTCATAGAGCAGGTTTGAAACACTCGTTCTGGAGTATCTGGATGTGGACATTTGGAGCGCTTTGATGCCTACGGTGGAAAAGTAAATATCTTCCCATAAAAACGAGACAGAAGGATTCTCAGAAACAAGTTTGTGATGTGTGTACTCAGCTAACAGAGTGGAACCTTTCTTTTTACAGAGCAGCTTTGAAACTCTATTTTTGTGGATTCTGCAAATTGATATTTAGATTGCTTTAACGATATCGTTGGAAAACGGAATATCGTCATACAAAATCTAGACAGAAGCATTCTCACAAACTTCTTTGTGATGTGTGTCCTCAACTAACAGAGTTGAACCTTTCTTTTGATGCAGCAATTTGGAAACACCCTTTTGGTAGAAACTGTAACTGGATATTTGGATAGCTCTAACGATTTCGTTGGAAACGGGAATATCATCATCTAAAATATAGACAGAAGCACTATTAGAAACTACTTGGTGATATCTGCATTCAAGTCACAGAGTTGAACATTCGCTTACTTTGAGCACGTTTGAAACACTCTTTTGGAAGAATCTGGAAGTGGACATTTGGAGCGCTTTGATGCCTTTGGTGAAAAGGAAACGTCTTCCAATAAAAGCCAGACAGAAGCATTCTCAGAAACTTGTTCGTGATGTGTGTACTCAACTAAAAGAGTTGAACCTTTCTATTGATAGAGCAGTTTTGAAACACTCTTTTTGTGGATTCTGCAAGTGGATATTTGGATTGCTTTGAGGATTTCGTTGGAAGCGGGAATTCGTATAAACACTAGACAGCAGCATTCCCAGAAATTTCTTTCGGATATTTCCATTCAACTCATAGAGATGAACATGGCCTTTCATATTGAAACACTCTTTTTGTAGTTTGTGGAAGTAGACATTTCGATCACCTTGACGCCTGCGGTGAAAAAGGAAATATCTTCCCATAAAAAATAGACAGAAGCATTCTCAGAAACTTGTTGGTGATATGTGTCCTCAACTAACAGAATTGAACTTTGCCATTGATAGAGAGCAGTTTTGAAACACTCTTTTTGTGGAATCTGCAAGTGGATATTTGGATAGCTTGGAGGATTTCGTTGGAAGCGGGAATTCAAATAAAAGGTAGACAGCAGCATTCTCAGAAATTTCTTTCTGATGTCTGCATTCAACTCATAGAGTTGAAGATTCCCTTTCATAGAGCAGGTTTGAAACACTCTTTCTGGAGTATCTGGATGTGGACATTTGGAGCGCTTTGATGCCTACGGTGAGAAAGTAAATATCTTCCCATAAAAACGAGACAGAAGGATTCTGAGAAACAAGTTTGTGATGTGTGTACTCAGCTAACAGAGTGGAACCTCTCTTTTGATGCAGCAGTTTGGAAACACTCTTTTTGTAGAAACTGTAAGTGTTTATTTGGATAGCTCTAATGATTTCGTTGGAAACGGGAATATCATCATCTAAAATCTAGACAGAAGCACTCTCAGAAACTACTTGTTGATATCTGCATTCAAGTCACAGAGTTGAACATTCGCTTTCTTAGAGCACTTTTGAAACACTCTTTTTGTAGTATCTAGAAGTGGACATTTGGAGCTCTTTGATGCCTTTGGTGAAAAAGGAAATGTCTTCCCATAAAAACTAGACAGAAGCATTCTCAGGAAACTTGTTTGTGATGTGTGTACCCAGCCAAAGGAGTTGAACATTTCTATTGATAGAGCAGTTTTGAAACACTCTTGTTGTGGAAAATGCAGGAGGATATTTGGATAGCTTGGAGGATTTCGTTGGAAGCGGGAATTCAAATAAAAGGTAGACAGCAGGATTCTGAGAAACAAGTTTGTGATGTGTGTACTCAGCTAACAGAGTGGAACCTTTCTTTTTACAGAGCAGCTTTCAAACTCTATTTTTGTGGATTCTGCAAATTGATATTTAGATTGCTTTAACGATATCGTTGGAAAAGGGAATATCCTCATACAAAATCTAGACAGAAGCATTCTCACAAACTTCTTTGTGATGTGTGTCCTCAACTAACAGTAGTTGAACCTTTCTTTTGATGCAGCAATTTGGAAACACCCTTTTGGTAGAAACTGTAACTGGATATTTGGATAGCTCTAACGATTTCGTTGGAAACGGGAATATCATCATCTAAAATGTAGACAGATCTAGAAACTACTTGGTGATATCTGCATTCAAGTCAAAGAGTTGAACATTCCCTTACTTTGAGCACGTTTGAAACACTCTTTTGGAAGAATCTGGAAGTGGACATTTGGAACGCTTTGATGCCTTTGGTGAAAAGGAAACGTCTTCCAATAAAAGCCAGACAGAAGCCTTCTCAGAAGCTTGTTCGTGATGTGTGTACTCAACTAAAAGAGTTGAACCTTTCTATTGATAGAGCAGTTTTGAAACACTCTTTTTGTGGATTCTGCAAGTGGATATTTGGATTGCTTTGAGGATTTCGTTGGAAGCGGGAATTCGTATAAACACTAGACAGCAGCATTCCCAGAAATTTCTTTCGGATATTTCCATTCAACTCATAGAGGTGAACATGGCCTTTCATACAGCAGGTTTGAAACACTCTTTTTGTAGTTTGTGGAAGTGGACATTTCAATCGCCTTGATGCCTACGGTGAAAAAGGAAATATCTTCCCATAAAAAATAGACAGAAGCATTCTCAGAAACTTGTTGGTGATATGTGTCCTCAACTAACAGAGTTGAACTTTGCCATTGATAGAGAGCAGTTTTGAAACAGTCTTTTTGTGGAATCTGCAAGTGGATATTTGGATAGCTTGGAGGATTTCGTTGGAAGCGGGAATTCAAATAAAAGGTAGACAGCAGCATTCTCAGAAATTTCTTTCTGATGTCTGCATTCAACTCATAGAGTTGAAGATTCCCTTTCATAGAGCAGGTTTGAAACACTCGTTCTGGAGTATCTGGATGTGGACATTTGGAGCGCTTTGATGCCTACGGTGCAAAAGTAAATATCTTCCCATAAAAACGAGACAGAAGGATTCTCAGAAACAAGTTTGTGATGTGTGTACTCAGCTAACAGAGTGGAACCTCTCTTTTGATGCAGCAGTTTGGAAACACTCTTTTTGTAGAAACTGTAAGTGGATATTTGGAAAGCTCTAATGATTTCATTGGAAACGGGAATATCATCATCTAAAATCTAGACTGAAGCACTCTCAGAAACTACTTTGTGATATCTGCATTCAAGTCACAGAGTTGAACATTCGCTTTCTTAGAGCACTTTTGAAACACTCTTTTTGTAGTATCTGGAAGTGGACATTTGGAGCTCTTTGATGCCTTTGGTGAAAAAGGAAATGTCTTCCCATAAAAGCTAGACAGAAGCATTCTCAGAAACTTGTTTGTGATGTGTGTACCCAGCGAAAGGAGTTGAATATTTCTATTGATAGAGCAGTTTTGAAACACTCTTTTTGTGGAATCTGCAAGTGGATATTTGGATAGCTTGGAGGTTTTCATTGGAAGCGGGAATTCAAATAAAAGATAGACAGCAGCATTCTCAGAAATTTCTTTCTGATGTCTGCATTCAACTCATAGAGTTGAAGATTCCCGTTCATAGAGCAGGTTTGAAACACTCGTTCTGGAGTATCTGGATGTGGACATTTGGAGCGCTTTGATGCCTACGGTGGAAAAGTAAATATCTTCCCATAAAAACGAGACAGAAGGATTCTCAGAAACAAGTTTGTGATGTGTGTACTCAGCTAACAGAGTGGATCCTTTCTTTTTACAGAGCAGCTTTGAAACTCTATTTCTGTGGATTCTGCAAATTGATATTTGGGTTGATTTAACGATATCGTTGGAAAAGGGAATATCTTCATACAAAATCTAGACAGAAGCATTCTCACAAACTTCTTTGTGATGTGTGTCCTCAACTAACAGAGTTGAACCTTTCTTTTGATGCAGCAATTTGGAAACACCCTTTTGGTAGAAACTGTAACTGGATATTTGGATAGCTCTAGCGATTTCGTTGGAAACGGGAATATCATCATCTAAAATCTAGACAGAAGCACTATTAGAAACTACTTGGTGATATCTGCATTCAAGTCAAAGAGTTGAACATTCCCTTACTTTGAGCACGTTTGAAACACTCTTTTGGAAGAATCTGGAAGTGGACATTTGGAGCGCTTTGATGCCTTTGGTGAAAAGGAAACGTCTTCCAATAAAAGCCAGACAGAAGCATTCTGAGAAACTTGTCCGTGATGTGTGTACTCAACTAAAAGAGTTGAACCTTTCTATTGATAGAGCAGTTTTGAAACACTCTTTTTGTGGATTCTGCAAGTGGATATTTGGATTGCTTTGAGGATTTCGTTGGAAGCGGGAATTCGTATAAACACTAGACAGCAGCATTCCCAGAAATTTCTTTCGGATATTTCCATTCAACTCATAGAGATGAACATGGCCTTTCATAGAGCAGGTTTGAAACACTCTTTCTGTAGTTTGTGGAAGTGGACATTTCGATCGCCTTGACGCCTACGGTGAAAAAGGAAATATCTTCCCATAAAAAATAGACAGAAGAATTCTCAGAAACTTGTTTGTGATGTGTGTCCTCAACTGACAGAGTTGTACCTTTCTATTGATAGAGTAGTTTTGAAACACTCTTTTTGTGGAATCTGCAAGTGAATATTTGGATAGCTTGGAGGATTTCGTTGGAAGCGGGAATTCAAATGAAAGGTAGACAGCAGCATTCTCAGAAATTTCTTTCTGATGTCTGCATTCAACTCATAGAGTTGAAGATTCCCTTTCATAGAGCAGGTTTGAAACACTCTTTCTGGAGTATCTGGATGTGGACATTTGGAGCGCTTTGATGCCTACGGTGAAAAAGTAAATATCTTCCCATAAAAACGACACAGAAGGATTCTGAGAAACAAGTTTGTGATGTGTGTACTCAGCTAACAGAGTGGAACCTCTCTTTTGATGCAGTAGTTTGGAAACACTCTTTTTGTAGAAACTGTAAGTGGATATTTGGATAGCTCTAATGATTTCGTTGGAAACGGGAATATCATCATCTAAAATCTAGAGAGATGCCCTCTCAGAAACTACTTTGTGATATCTGCATTCAAGTCACAGAGTTGAACATTCGCTTTCTTAGAGCACGTTGGAAACACTCTTTTTGTAGTGTCTGGAAGTGGACATTTGGAGCGCTTTGATGCCTTTGGTGAAAAAGGGAATGTCTTCCCATAAAAACTAGACAGAAGCATTCTCAGAAACTTGTTTGTGATGTGTGTACCCAGCTAAAGGAGTTGAACATTTCTATTGATAGAGCAGTTTTGAAACACTCTTTTTGTGGAAAATGCAAGTGGATATTTGGAGAGCTTGGAGGATTTCGTTGGAAGCGGGAATTCAAATAAAAGGTAGACAGCAGCATTCTCAGAAATTTCTTTCTGATGTCTGCATTCAACTCATAGAGTTGAAGATTCCCTTTCATAGAGCAGATTTGAAACACTCTTTCTGGAGTATCTGGATGTGGACATTTGGAGCGCTTTGATGCCTACGGTGAAAAAGTAAATATCTTCCCATAAAAACGAGACAGAAGGATTCTCAGAAACAAGTTTGTGATGTGTGTACTCAGCTAACAGAGTGGAACCTTTCTTTTTACAGAGCAGCTTTGAAACTCTATTTTTGTGGATTCTGCAAATGGATATTTAGATTGCTTTAATGATATCGCTGGAAAAGGGAATATGGTCATACAAAATCTAGACAGAAGCATTCTCACAAACTTCTTTGTGATGTGTGTCCTCAACTAACAGAGTTGAAGCTTTCTTTTGATGCAGCAGTTTGGAAACACCCTTTTGGTAGAAACTGTAAGTGGATATTTGGATAGCTCTAACGATTTCGTTGGAAACGGGAATATCATCATCTAAAATCTAGACAGAAGCACTATTAGAAACTACTTGGTGATATCTGCATTCAAGTCAAAGAGTTGAACATTCCCTTACTTTCAGCACGTTTGAAACACTCTTTTGGAAGAATCTGGAAGTGGACATTTGGAGCGCTTTGATGCCTTTGGTGAAAAGGAAACGTCTTCCAATAAAAGCCAGACAGAAGCATTCTCAGAAACTTATTCGTGATGTGTGTACTCAACTAAAAGAGTTGAACCTTTCTATTGATAGAGCAGTTTTGAAACACTCTTTTTGTGGATTCTGCAAGTGGATATTTGGATTGCTTTGAGGATTTCGTTGGAAGCGGGAATTCGTATAAACACTAGACAGCAGCATTCCCAGAAATTTCTTTCGGATATTTCCATTCGACTCATAGAGATGAACATGGCCTTTCATAGAGCAGGTTTGAAACACTCTTTTTGTAGTTTGTGGAAGTGGACATTTCGATCGCCTTGACGCCTACGGTGAAAAAGGAAATATCTTCCCATAAAAAATAGACAGAAGCATTCTCAGAAACTTGTTGGTGATATGTGTCCTCAACTAACAGAGTTGAACTTTGCCATTGATAGAGAGCAGTTTTGAAACACTCTTTTTGTGGAATCTGCAAGTGGATATTTGGATACCTTGGAGGATTTCGTTGGAAGCGGGAATTCAAATAAAAGGTAGACAGCAGCATTCTCAGAAATTTCTTTCTGATGTCTGCATTCAAGTCATAGAGTTGAAGATTCCCTTTCATAGAGCAGGTTTGAAACACTCTTTCTGGAGTATCTGGATGTGGACATTTGGAGCGCTTTGATGCCTACGGTGAGAAAGTAAATATCTTCCCATAAAAACGAGACAGAAGGATTCTAAGAAACAAGTTTGTGATGTGTGTACTCAGCTAACAGAGTGGAACCTCTCTTTTGATGCAGCAGTTTGGAAACACTCTTTTTGTAGAAACTGTATGTGGATATTTGGATAGCTCTAATGATTTCATTGGAAACGGGAATATCATCATCTAAAATCTAGACAGAAGCACTCTCAGAAACTACTTTGTGATATCTGCATTCAAGTCACAGAGTTGAACATTCCCTTTCTTAGAGCACGTTTGAAAGACTCTTTTTGTAGTGTCTGGAAGTGGACATTTGGAGCGCTTTGATTCCTTTGGTGAAAAAGGGAATGTCTACCCATAAAAACTAGACAGAAGCATTCTCAGAAACTTGTTTGTGATGTGTGTACCCAGCTAAAGGAGTTGAACATTTCTATTGATAGAGCAGTTTTGAAACACTCTTTTTGTGGAAAATGCAAGTGGATATTTGGATTGCTTGGGGGATTTCGTTGGAAGCGGGAATTCAAATAAAAGGTAGACAGCAGCATTCTCAGAAATTTCTTTCTGATGTCTGCATTCAATTCATAGAGTTGAAGATTCCCTTTCATAGAGCAGGTTTGAAACACTCGTTCTGGAGTATCTGGATGTGGACATTTGGAGCGCTTTGATGCCTACGGTGGAAAAGTAAATATCTTCCCATAAAAACGAGACAGAAGGATTCTGAGAAACAAGTTTGTGATGTGTGTACTCAGCTAACAGAGTGGAACCTTTCTTTTTACAGAGCAGCTTTGAAACTCTATTTCTGTGGATTCTGCAAATTGATATTTAGATTGCTTTAACGATATCGTTGGAAAAGGGAATATCGTCATACAAAATCTAGACAGAAGCATTCTCACAAACTTCTTTGTGATGTGTGTCCTCAACTAACAGAGTTGAACCTTTCTTTTGATGCAGCAATTTGGAAACAGCCTTTTGGTAGAAACTGTAACTGGATATTTGGATAGCTCTAACGATTTCGTTGTAAACGGGAATATCATCATCTAAAATCTAGACAGAAGCACTATTAGAAACTACTTGGTGATATCTGCATTCAAGTCACAGAGTAGAACATTCCCTTACTTCGAGCACGTTTGAAACACTCTTTTGGAAGAATCTGGAAGTGGACATTTGGAGCGCTTTGATGCCTTTGGTGAAAAGGAAACGTCTTCCAATAAAAGCCAGACAGAAGCATTCTCAGAAACTTGTTCGTGATGTGTGTACTCAACTAAAAGAGTTGAACCTTTCTATTGATAGAGCAGTTTTGAAACACTCTTTTTGTGGATTCTGCAAGTGGATATTTGGATTGCTTTGAGGATTTCGTTGGAAGCGGGAATTCGTATAAACACTAGACAGCAGCATTCCCAGAAATTTCTTTCGGATATTTCCATTCAACTCATAGAGATGAACATGGCCTTTCATAGAGCAGGTTTGAAACACTCTTTTTGTAGTTTGTGGAAGTGGACATTTCGATCGCCTTGACGCCTACGGTGATAAAGGAAATATCTTCCCATAAAAAATAGACAGAAGCATTCTCAGAAACTTGTTGGTGATATGTGTCCTCAACTAACAGAGTTGAACTTTGCCATTGATAGAGAGCAGTTTTGAAACACTCTTTTTGTGGAATCTGCAAGTGGATATTTGGATAGCTTGGAGGATTTCGTTGGAAGCGGGAATTCAAATAAAAGGTAGACAGCAGCATTCTCAGAAATTTCTTTCTGATGTCTGCATTCAACTCATAGAGTTGAAGATTCCCTTTCATAGAGCAGGTTTGAAACACTCTTTCTGGAGTATCTGGATGTGGACATTTGGAGCGCTTTGATGCCTACGGTGGAAAAGTAAATATCTTCCCATAAAAACGAGACAGAAGGATTCTGAGAAACAAGTTTGTGATGTGTGTACTCAGATAACAGAGTGGAACCTCTCTTTTGATGCAGCAGTTTGGAAACACTCTTTTTGTAGAAACTGTAAGTGGATATTTGGATAGCTCTAATGATTTCGTTGGAAACGGGAATATCATCATCTAAAATCTAGACAGAAGCACTCTCAGAAACTACTTTGTGATATCTGCATTCAAGTCACAGAGTTGAACATTCGCTTTCTTAGAGCACGTTTGAAACACTCTTTTTGTAGTGTCTGGAAGTGGACATTTGGAGCGCTTTGATGGCTTTGGTGAAAAAGGGAACGTCTTCCCATAAAAACTAGACAGAAGCATTCTCAGAAACTTGTTTGTGATGTGTGTACCCAGCTAAAGGAGTTGAACATTTCTATTGATAGAGCAGTTTTGATACACTCTTTTTGTGGAAACTGCAAGTGGATATTTGGATAGCTTGGAGGATTTCGTTGGAAGCGGGAATTCAAATAAAAGGTAGACAGCAGCATTCTCAGAAATTTCTTTCTGATGTCTGCATTCAACTCATAGAGTTGAAGATTCCCTTTCATAGAGCAGGTTTGAAACACTCTTTCTGGAGTATCTGGAAGTGGCCATTTGGACCGCTTTGATGCCTACGGTGAAAAACTAAATATGTTCCCATAAAAACGAGACAGAAGGATTCTCAGAAACAAGTTTGTGATGTGTGTACTCAGCTAACAGAGTGGAACCTTTCTTTTTACAGAGCAGCTTTGAAACTCTATTTTTGTGGATTCTGCAAATTGATATTTAGATTGCTTTAACGATATCGTTGGAAAAGGGAATATCGTCATACAAAATCTAGAAAGAAGCATTCTCACAAACTTCTTTGTGATGTGTGTCCTCAACTAACAGAGTTGAACCTTTCTTTTGATGCAGCAATTTGGAAACACCCTTTTGGTAGAAACTGTAACTGGATATTTGGATAGCTCTAAAGATTTCGTTGGAAACGGGAATATCATCATCTAAAATCTAGACAGAAGCACTATTAGAAACTACTTGGTGATATCTGCATTCAAGTCACAGAGTTGAACATTCCCTTACTTTGAGCACGTTTGAAACACTCTTTTGGAAGAATCTGGAAGTGGACATTTGGAGCGCTTTGATGCCTTTGGTGAAAAGGAAACGTCTTCCAATAAAAGCCAGACAGAAGCATTCTCAGAAACTTGTTTGTGGTGTGTGTACTCAACTAAAAGAGTTGAACCTTTCTATTGATAGAGCAGTTTTGAAACACTCTTTTTGTGGATTCTGCAAGTGGATATTTGGATTGCTTTGAGGATTTCGTTGGAAGCGGGAATTCGTATAAAAACTAGACAGCAGCATTCCCAGAAATTTCTTTCGGATATTTCCATTCAACTCATAGAGATGAACATGGCCTTTCATAGAGCAGGTTTGAAACACTCTTTTTGTAGTTTGTGGAAGTGGACATTTCGATCGCCTTGACGCCTACGGTGAAAAAGGAAATATCTTCCCATAAAAAATAGACAGAAGCATTCTCAGAAACTTGTTGGTGATATGTGTCCTCAACTAACAGAGTTGAACTTTGCCATTGATAGAGAGCAGTTTTGAAACACTCTTTTTGTGGAATCTGCAAGTGGATATTTGGATAGCTTGGAGGATTTCGTTGGAAGCGGGAATTCAAATAAAAGGTAGACAGCAGCATTCTCAGAAATTTCTTTCTGATGTCTGCATTCAACTCATAGAGTTGAACATTCCCTTTCATAGAGCAGGTTTGAAACACTCTTTCTGGAGTATCTGGATGTGGACATTTGGAGCGCTTTGATGCCTACGGTGAAAAAGTATAATCTTCCCATAAAAACGAGACAGAAGGATTCTCAGAAAGAAGTTTGTGATGTGTGTACTCAGCTAACAGAGTGGAACCTCTCTTTTGAAGCAGCAGTTTGGAAACACTCGTTTTGTAGAAACTGTAAGTGGATATTTGGATAGCTCTAATGATTTCGTTGGAAACGGGAATATCATCATCTAAAATCTAGACAGAAGCCCTCTCAGAAACTACTTTGTGATATCTGCATTCAAGTCACAGAGTTGAACATTCGCTTTCTTAGAGCACGTTGGAAACACTCTTTTTGTAGTGTTTGGAAGTGGACATTTGGAGCGCTTTGATGCCTTTGGTGAAAAAGGGAATGTCTTCCCATAAAAACTAGACAGAAGCATTCTCAGAAACTTGTTTGTGATGTGTGTACCCAGCTAAAGGAGTTGAACATTTCCATTGATAGAGCAGTTTTGAAACACTCTTTTTGTGGAAAATGCAAGTGGATATTTGGATAGCTTGGAGGATTTCGTTGGAAGCGGGAATTCAAATAAAAGGTAGACAGCAGCATTCTCAGAAATTTCTTTCTGATGTCTGCATTCAACTCATAGAGTTGAAGATTCCCTTTCATAGCAGCAGGTTTGAAACACTCTTTCTGGAGTATCTGGATGTGGACATTTGGAGCGCTTTGATGCCTACGGTGAAAAAGTAAATATCTTCCCAGAAAAACGAGACAGAAGGATTCTGAGAAACAAGTTTGTGATGTGTGTACTCAGCTAACAGAGTGGAACCTTTCTTTTTACAGAGCAGCTTTGAAACTCTATTTTTGTGGATTCTGCAAATGGATATTTAGATTGATTTAATGTTATCGCTGGAAAAGGGAATATGGTCATACAAAATCTAGATAGAAGCATTCTCACAAACTTCTTTGTGATGTGTGTCCTCAACTAACAGAGTTGAACCTTTCTTTTGATGCAGCAGTTTGGAAACACCCTTTTGGTAGAAACTGTAAGTGGATATTTGGATAGCTCTAACTATTTCATTGGAAACGGGAATATCATCATCTAAAATCTAGACAGAAGCACTATTAGAAACTACTTGGTGATATCTGCATTCAAGTCACAGAGTTGAACATTCCCTTACTTTGAGCACGTTTGAAACACTCTTTTGGAAGAATCTGGAAGTGGACATTTGCAGCGCTTTGATGCCTTTGGTGAAAAGGAAACGTCTTCCAATAAAAGCCAGACAGAAACATTCTCAGAAACTTGTTTGTGATGTGTGTACTCAACTAAAAGAGTTGAACCTTTCTATTGATAGAGCAGTTTTGAAACACTCTTTTTGTGGATTCTGCAAGTGGATATTTGGATTGCTTTGAGGATTTCGTTGGAAGCGGGAATTCGTATAAACACTAGACAGCAGCATTCCCAGAAATTTCTTTCGGATATTTCCATTCAACTCATAGAGATGAACATGGCCTTTCATAGAGCAGGTTTGAAACACTCTTTTTGTAGTTTGTGGAAGTGGACATTTCGATCGCCTTGACGCCTACGGTGAAAAAGGAAATATCTTCCCATAAAAAATAGACAGAAGCATTCTCAGAAACTTGTTGGTGATATGTGTCCTCAACTAACAGAGTTGAACTTTGCCATTGATAGAGAGCAGTTTTGAAACACTCTTTTTGTGGAATCTGCAAGTGGATATTTGGATAGCTTGGAGGATTTCGTTGGAAGCGGGAATTCAAATAAAAGGTAGACAGCAGGATTCTCAGAAACAAGTTTGTGATGTGTGTACTCAGCTAACAGAGTGGATCCTTTCTTTTTACAGAGCAGCTTTGAAACTCTATTTCTGTGGATTCTGCAAATTGATATTTGGGTTGATTTAACGACATCGTTGGAAAAGGGAATATCTTCATACAAAATCCAGACAGAAGCATTCTCAGAAACTTCTTTCTGATGTCTGTCCTCAACTAACAGAGTTGAACCTTTCTTTTGATGCAGAAGTTTGGAAACACTCTTTTTGTAGAAACTGTAAGTGGATATTTGGATAGGTCTAACGATATCGTTGGAAACGGGAATATCTTCATCTAAAGTATACACAGAAGCACTATTAGAAACTACTGGGTGATATCTGCATTCAAGTCACAGAGTTGAACATTCCCTTACTTTGAGCACGTTTCAAACACTCTTTTGTAAGAATCTGGAAGTGGACATTTGGAGCGCTTTGATGCCTTTGGTGAAAAGGAAACGTCTTCCAATAAAAGCCAGACAGAAGCATTCTCAGAAACTTGTTCGTGATGTGTGTACTCAACTAAAAGAGTTGAACCTTTCTATTGATAGAGCAGTTTTGAAACACTCTTTTTGCGGATTCTGCAAGTGGATATTTGGATTGCTTTGAGGATTTCGTTGGAAGCGGGAATTCGTATAAACACTAGACAGCAGCATTCCCAGAAATTTCTTTCGGATATTTCCATTCGACTCATAGAGATGAACATGGCCTTTCATAGAGCAGGTTTGAAACACTCTTTTTGTAGTTTGTGGAAGTGGACATTTCGATCGCCTTGACGCCTACGGTGAAAAAGGAAATATCTTCCCATAAAAAATAGACAGAAGCATTCTCAGAAACTTGTTGGTGATATGTGTCCTCAACTAACAGAGTTGAACTTTGCCATTGATAGAGAGCAGTTTTGAAACACTCTTTTTGTGGAATCTGCAAGTGAATATTTGGATAGCTTGGAGGATTTCGTTGGAAGCGGGAATTCAAATAAAAGGTAGACAGCAGCATTCTCAGAAATTTCTTTCTGATGTCTGCATTCAACTCATAGAGTTGAACATTCCCTTTCATAGGACAGGTTTGAAATACTCTTTCTGTAGTATCTGGATGTGGACATTTGGAGCGCTTTGATGCCTACGGTGAGAAAGTAAATCTCTTCCCATAAAAACGAGACAGAAGGATACTCAGAAACAAGTTTGTGATGTGTGTACTCAGCTAACAGAGTGGAACCTCTCTTTTGATGCAGCAGTTTGGAAACACTCTTTTTGTAGAAACTGTAAGTGGATATTTGGATAGCTCTAATGATTTCGTTGGAAACGGGAATATCATCATCTAAAATCTAGACAGAAGTCCTCTCAGAAACTACTTTGTGATATCTGCATTCAAGTCACAGAGTTGAACATTCGCTTTCTTAGAGCACGTTTGAAACACTCTTTTTGTAGTGTCTGGAAGTGGACATTTGGAGCGCTTTGATGCCTTTGGTGAAAAAGGGAACGTCTTCCCATAAAAACTAGACAGAAACATTCTCAGAAACTTGTTTGTGATGTGTGTACCCAGCCAAAGGAGTTGAACATTTCTATTGATAGAGCAGTTTTGAAACACTCTTTTTGTGGAAAATGCAGGTGGATATTTGGATAGCTTGGAGGATTTCGTTGGAAGCGGGAATTCAAATAAAAGGTAGACAGCAGCATTCTCAGAAATTTCTTTGTGATGTTTGCATTCAACTCATAGAGTTGAACATTCCCTTTAATAGAGCAGGTTTGAAACACTCTTTCTGTACTATCTGGATGTGGACAGTTGGAGCGCTTTGACGCCTACGGTGAAAAAGGAAATGTCTTCCCATAAAAAATTGAAGAAGGATTCTGAGAAACAAGTTTGTGATGTGTGTACTCAGCTAACAGAGTGGAACCTTTCTTTTTACAGAGCAGCTTTGAAACTCTATTTTTGTGGATTCTGCAAATCGATATTTAGATTGCTTTAACGATATCGTTGGAAAAGGGAATATCGTCATACAAAATCTAGACAGAAGCATTCTCACAAACTTCTTTGTGATGTGTGTCCTCAACTAACAGAGTTGAACCTTTCTTTTGATGCAGCAATTTGCAAACACCCTTTTGGTAGAAACTGTAACTGGATATTTGGATAGCTCTAACGATTTCGTTGGAAACGGGAATATCATCATCTAAAATGTAGACAGAAGCACTATTAGAAACTACTTGGTGATATCTGCATTCAAGTCACAGAGTAGAACATTCCCTTACTTCGAGCACGTTTGAAACACTCTTTTGGAAGAATCTGGAAGTGGACATTTGGAGCGCTTTGATGCCTTTGGTGAAAAGGAAACGTCTTCCAATAAAAGCCAGACAGAAGCATTCTCAGAAACTTGTTCGTGATGTGTGTACTCAACTAAAAGCAGTTGAACCTTTCTATTGATAGAGCAGTTTTGAAACACTCTTTTTGTGGATTCTGCAAGTGGATATTTGGATTGCTTTGAGGATTTCGTTGGAAGCGGGAATTCATATAAAAACTAGACAGCAGCATTCCCAGAAATTTCTTTCGGATATTTCCATTCAACTCATAGAGATGAACATCGCCTTTCATAGAGCAGGTTTGAAACACTCTTTTTGTAGTTTGTGGAAGTGGACATTTCGATCGCCTTGACGCCTACGGTGAAAAAGGAAATATCTTCCCATAAAAAATAGACAGAAGCATTCTCAGAAACTTGTTGGTGATATGTGTCCTCAACTAACAGAGTTGAACTTTGCCATTGATAGAGAGCAGTTTTGAAACACTCTTTTTGTGGAATCTGCAAGTGGATATTTGGATAGCTTGGAGGATTTCGTTGGAAGCGGGAATTCAAATAAAAGGTAGACAGCATCATTCTCAGAAATTTCTTTCTGATGTCTGCATTCAACTCATAGAGTTGAAGATTCCCTTTCATAGAGCAGGTTTGAAACACTCGTTCTGGAGTATCTGGATGTGGACATTTGGAGCGCTTTGATGCCTACGGTGGAAAAGTAAATATCTTCCCATAAAAACGAGACAGAAGGATTCTGAGTAAACAAGTTTGTGATGTGTGTACTCAGCTAACAGAGTGGAACCTCTCTTTTGATGCAGCAGTTTGGAAACTCTCTTTTTGTAG
The DNA here is from genome assembly GCF_000001405.40 of Homo sapiens. Lineage (NCBI taxonomy): Eukaryota > Metazoa > Chordata > Mammalia > Primates > Hominidae > Homo > Homo sapiens. The sequence goes on from NC_000021.9 coordinate 12,349,726, forward strand.
AAACTGTAAGTGGATATTTGGATAGCTCTAATGATTTCGTTGGAAACGGGAATATCATCATCTAAAATCTAGACAGAAGCCCTCTCAGAAACTACTTTGTGATATCTGCATTCAAGTCACAGAGTTGAACATTCGCTTTCTTAGAGCACGTTGGAAACACTCTTTTTGTAGTGTCTGGAAGTGGACATTTGGAGCGCTTTGATGCCTTTGGTGAAAAAGGGAATGTCTTCCCATAAAAACTAGACAAAAGCATTCTCAGAAACTTGTTTGTGATGTGTGTACCCAGCCAAAGGAGTTGAACATTTCTATTGATAGAGCAGTTTTGAAACACTCTTGTTGTGGAAAATGCAAGTGGATATTTGGATAGCTTGGAGGATTTCGTTGGAAGCGGGAATTCAAATAAAAGGTAGACAGCAGCATTCTCAGAAATTTCTTTCTGATGTCTGCATTCAACTCATAGAGTTGAAGATTCCCTTTCGTAGAGCAGGTTTGAAACACTCGTTCTGGAGTATCTGGATGTGGACATTTGGAGCGCTTTGATGCCTACGGTGGAAAAGTAAATATCTTCCCATAAAAACGAGACAGAAGGATTCTCAGAAACAAGTTTGTGATGTGTGTACTCAGCTAACAGAGTGGAACCTTTCTTTTTACAGAGCAGCTTTGAAACTCTATTTTTGTGGATTCTGCAAATTGATATTTAGATTGCTTTAACGATATCGTTGGAAAAGGGAATATGGTCATACAAAATCTAGACAGAAGCATTCTCACAAACTTCTTTGTGATGTGTGTCCTCAACTAACAGAGTTGAACCTTTCTTTTGATGCAGCAGTTTGGAAACACTCTTTTTGTAGAAACTGTAAGTGCATTATTGGATAGCTCTAACGATTTCGTTGGAAACGGGAATATCATCATCTAAAATCTAGACAGAAGCACTATTAGAAACTACTTGGTGATATCTGCATTCAAGTCACAGAGTTGAACATTCCCTTACTTTGAGCACGTTTGAAACACTCTTTTGGAAGAATCTGGAAGTGGACATTTGGAGCGCTTTGATGCCTTTGGTGAAAAGGAAACGTCTTCCAATAAAAGCCAGACAGAAGCATTCTCAGAAACTTGTTCGTGATGTGTGTACTCAACTAAAAGAGTTGAACCTTTCTATTGATAGAGCAGTTTTGAAACACTCTTTTTGTGGATTCTGCAAGTGGATATTTGGATTGCTTTGAGGATTTCGTTGGAAGCGGGAATTCATATAAACACTAGACAGCAGCATTCTCAGAAATTTCTTCCTGATGTTTGCATTCAACTCATAGAGTTGAACATTCCCTTTAATAGAGCAGGTTTGAAACACTCTTTCTGTACTATCTGGATGTGGACATTTGGAGCGCTTTGATGCCTACGGTGAAAAAGGAAATGTCTTCCCATAAAAAATTGAAGAATTCTCAGAAACTTGTTTGTGATGTGTGTCCTCAACTGACACAGTTGTACCTTTCTATTGATAGAGTAGTTTTGAAACACTCTTTTTGTGGAATCTGCAAGTGAATATTTGGATAGCTTGGAGGATTTCGTTGGAAGCGGGAATTCAAATGAAAGGTAGACAGCAGCATTCTCAGAAATTACTTTCTGATGTCTGCATTCAACTCATAGAGTTGAAGATTCCCTTTCATAGAGCAGGTTTGAAACACTCTTTCTGTAGTATCTGGATGTGGACATTTGGAGCGCTTTGATACCTACGGTGAAAAAGTAAATATCTTCCCGTAAAAACTAGACAGAAGGATTCTGAGAAACAAGTTTGTGATGTGTGTACTCAGCTAACAGAGTGGAACCTCTCTTTTGATGCAGCAGTTTGGAAACACTCTTTTTGTAGAAACTGTACGTGGATATTTGGATAGCTCTAATGATTTCGTTGGAAACGGGAATATCATCATCTAAAATCTAGACAGAAGCCCTCTCAGAAACTACATTGTGATATCTGCATTCAAGTCACAGAGTTGAACATTCGCTTTCTTAGAGCACGTTTGAAACACTCTTTTTGTAGTGTCTGGAAGTGGACATTTGGAGCGCTTTGATGCCTTTGGTGAAAAAGGGAATGTCTTCCCATAAAAACTAGACAGAAGCATTCTCAGAAACTTGTTTGTGATGTGTGTACCCAGCTAAAGGAGTTGAACATTTCTATTGATAGATTAGTTTTGAAACACTCTTTTTGTGGAAAATGCAAGTGGATATTTGGATAGCTTGGAGGATTTCGTTGGAAGCGGGAATTCAAATAAAAGGTAGACAGCAGCATTCTCAGAAATTTCTTTCTGATGTCTGCATTCAACTCATAGAGTTGAAGATTCCCTTTCATAGAGCAGGTTTGAAACACTCTTTCTGGAGTATCTGGATGTGGACATTTGGAGCGCTTTGATGCCTACGGTGAAAAAGTAAATATCTTCCCATAAAAACTAGACAGAAGGATTCTCAGAAACAAGTTTGTGATGTGTGTACTCAGCTAAAAGAGTGGAACCTTTCTTTTTACAGAGCAGCTTTGAAACTCTATTTTTGTGGATTCTGCAAATTGATATTTAGATTGCTTTAACGATATCGTTGGAAAAGGGAATATCGTCATACAAAATCTAGACAGGAAGCATTCTCACAAACTTCTTTGTGATGTGTGTCCTCAACTAACAGAGTTGAACCTTTCTTTTGATGCAGCAGTTTGGAAACACTCTTTTTGTAGAAACTGTAAGTGGATATTTGGATAGCTCTAACGATTTTGTTGGAAACGGTAATATCATCATCTAAAATCTAGACAGAAGCACTATTAGAAACTACTTGGTGATATCTGCATTCAAGTCACAGAGTTGAACATTCCCTTACTTTGAGCACCTTTCAAACACTCTTTTGGAAGAATCTGGAAGTGGACATTTGGAGCGCTTTGATGCCTTTGGTGAAAAGGAAACGTCTTCCAATAAAAGCCAGACAGAAGCATTCTCAGAAACTTGTTCGTGATGAGTGTACTCAACTAAAAGATTTGAACCTTTCTATTGATAGAGCAGTTTTGAAACACTCTTTTTGTGGATTCTTCAAGTGGATATTTGGATTGCTTTGAGGATTTCGTTGGAAGCGGGAATTCGTATAAAAACTATACAGCAGCATTCCCAGAAATTTCTTTCGGATATTTCCATTCGACTCATAGAGATGAACATGGCCTTTCATAGAGCAGGTTTGAAACACACTTTTTGTAGTTTGTGGAAGTGGACATTTCGATCGCCTTGACGCCTACGGTGAAAAAGGAAATATCTTCCCATAAAAAATAGACAGAAGCATTCTCAGAAACTTGTTGGTGATATGTGTCCTCAACTAACAGAGTTGAACTTTGCCATTGATAGAGAGCAGTTTTGAAACACTCTTTTTGTGGAATCTGCAAGTGGATATTTGGATAGCTTGGAGGATTTCGTTGGAAGCGGGAATTCAAATAAAAGGTAGACAGCAGCATTCTCAGAAATTTCTTTCTGATGTCTGCATTCAACTCATAGAGTTGAAGATTCCCTTTCATAGAGCAGGTTTGAAACACTCTTTCTGGAGTATCTGGATGTGGACATTTGGAGCGCTTTGATGCCTACGGTGAAAAAGTAAATATCTTCCCATAAAAACGACACAGAGGATTCTGAGAAACAAGTTTGTGATGTGTGTACTCAGCTAACAGAGTGGAACCTTTCTTTTTACAGAGCAGCTTTGAAACTCTATTTTTGTGGATTCTGCAAATTGGTATTTAGATTGCTTTAACGATATCGTTGGAAAAGGGAATATCGTCATACAAAATTCTAGACAGAAAGTATTCTCACAAACTTCTTTGTGATGTGTGTCCTCAACTAACAGAGTTGAACCTTTCTTTTGATGCAGCAGTTTGGAAACACCCTTTTGGTAGAAACTGTAAGTGGATATTTGGATAGCTCTAACGATTTCGTTGGAAACGGGAATATCATCATCTAAAATCTAGACAGAAGCACTATTAGAAACTACTTGGTGATATCTGCATTCAAGTCACAGAGTTGAACATTCCCTTACTTTGAGCACGTTTGAAACACTCTTTTGGAAGAATCTGGAAGTGGACATTTGGAGCGCTATGATGCCTTTGGTGAAAAGGAAACGTCTTCCAATAAAAGCCAGACAGAAGCATTCTCAGAAACTTGTTTGTGATGTGTGTACTCAACTAAAAGAGTTGAACCTTTCTATTGATAGAGCAGTTTTGAAACACTCTTTTTGTGGATTCTGCAAGTGGATATTTGGATTGCTTTGAGGATTTCGTTGGAAGCGGGAATTCGTATAAAAACTAGACAGCAGCATTCCCAGAAATTTCTTTCGGATATTTCCATTCGACTCATAGAGATGAACATGGCCTTTCATAGAGCAGGTTTGAAACACTCTTTTTGTAGTTTGTGGAAGTGGACATTTCGATCGCCTTGACGCCTACGGTGAAAAAGGAAATATCTTCCCATAAAAAATAGACAGAAGCATTCTCAGAAACTTGTTGGTGATATGTGTCCTCAACTAACAGAGTTGAACTTTGCCATTGATAGAGAGCAGTTTTGAAACACTCTTTTTGTGGAATCTGCAAGTGGATATTTGGATAGCTTGGAGGATTTCGTTGGAAGCGGGAATTCCAATAAAAGGTAGACAGCAGCATTCTCAGAAATTTCTTTCTGATGTCTGCATTCAACTCATAGAGTTTAAGATTCCCTTTCATAGAGCAGGTTTGAAACACTCTTTCTGGAGTATCTGGATGTGGACATTTGGAGCGCTTTCATGCCTATGGTGAAAAAGTAAATATCTTGTCATAAAAACGAGACAGAAGGATTCTGAGAAACAAGTTTGAGATGTGTGTACTCAGCTAACAGAGTGGAACCTTTCTTTTTACAGAGCAGCTTTGAAACTCTATTTTTGTGGATTCTGCAAATGGATATTTAGATTGCTTTAACGATATCGTTGGAAAAGGGAATATCGTCATACAAAATCTGGACAGAAGCATTCTCACAAACTTCTTTGTGATGTGTGTCCTCAACTAACAGAGTTGAACCTTTCTTTTGATGCAGCAATTTGGAAACACCCTTTTGGTCGAAACTGTAACTGGATATTTGGATAGCTCTAACGATTTCGTTGGAAACGGGAATATCATCATCTAAAATCTAGACAGAAGCACTATTAGAAACTACTTGGTGATATCTGCATTCAAGTCACAGAGTTGAACATTCCCTTACTTTGAGCACGTTTGAAACACTCTTTTGGAAGAATCTGGAAGTGGACATTTGGAGCGCCTTGATGCCTTTGGTGAAAAGGAAACGTCTTCCAATAAAAGCCAGACAGAAGCATTCTCAGAAACTTGTTTGTGATGTGTGTACTCAACTAAAAGAGTTGAACCTTTCTATTGATAGAGCAGTTTTGAAACACTCTTTTTGTGGATTCTGCAAGTGGATATTTGGATTGCTTTGAGGATATCGTTGGAAGCGGGAATTTGTATAAAAACTAGACAGCAGCATTCCCAGAAATTTCTTTCGGATATTTCCATTCAACTCATAGAGATGAACATGGCCTTTCATAGAGCAGGTTTGAAACACTCTTTTTGTAGTTTGCGGAAGTGGACATTTCGATCGCCTTGACGCCTACGGTGAAAAAGGAAATATCTTCCCATAAAAAATAGACAGAAGCATTCTCAGAAACTTGTTGGTGATATGTGTCCTCAACTAACAGAGTTGAACTTTGCCATTGATAGAGAGCAGTTTTGAAACACTCTTTTTGTGGAATCTGCAAGTGGATATTTGGATAGCTTGGAGGATTTCGTTGGAAGCGGGAATTCAAATAAAAGGTAGACAGCAGCATTCTCAGAAATTTCTTTCTGATGTCTGCATTCAACTCATAGAGTTGAAGATTCCCTTTCATAGAGCAGGTTTGAAACACTCTTTCTGTAGTATCTGGATGTGGACATTTGGAGCGCTTTGATGCCTACAGTGAAAAAGTATAATCTTCCCATAAAAACGAGACAGAAGGATTCTCAGAAACAAGTTTGTGATGTGTGTACTCAGCTAACAGAGTGGAACCTTTCTTTTTACAGAGCAGCTTTGAAACTCTATTTTTGTGGATTCTGCAAATTGATATTTAGATTGCTTTAACGATATCGTGGAAAAGGGAATATCGTCATACAAAATCTAGACAGAAGCATTCTCACAAACTTCTTTGTGATGTGTGTCCTCAACTAACAGAGTTGAACCTTTCTTTTGATGCAGCAATTTGGAAACACCCTTTTGGTAGAAACTGTAACTGGATATTTGGATAGCTCTAACGATTTCGTTGGAAACGGGAATATCATCATCTAAAATGTAGACAAAAGCACTATTAGAAACTACTTGGTGATATCTGCATTCAAGTCACAGAGTTGAACATTCCCTTACTTTGAGCACGTTTGATACACTCTTTTGGAAGAATCTGGAAGTGGACATTTGGAGCGCTTTGATGCCTTTGGTGAAAAGGAAACGTCTTCCAATAAAAGCCAGACAGAAGCATTCTCAGAAACTTGTTTGTGATGTGTGTACTCAACTAAAAGAGTTGAACCTTTCTATTGATAGAGCAGTTTTGAAACACTCTTTTTGTGGAATCTGCAAGTGGATATTTGGATAGCTTGGAGGATTTCGTTGGAAGCGGGAATTCAAATGAAATGTAGACAGCAGCATTCCCAGTAAATTTCTTTCGGATATTTCCATTCAACTCATTGAGATGAACATCGCCTTTCATAGAGCAGGTTTGAAACACTCTTTTTGTAGTTTGTGGAAGTGGACATTTCGATCGCCTTGACGCCTACAGTGAAAAAGGAAATATCTTCCCATAAAAAATAGACAGAAGCATTCTCAGAAACTTGTTGGTGATATGTGTCCTCAACTAACAGAGTTGAACTTTGCCATTGATAGAGAGCAGTTTTGAAACACTCTTTTTGTGGAATCTGCAAGTGGATATTTGGATAGCTTGGAGGATTTCGTTGGAAGCGGGAATTCAAATAAAAGGTAGACAGCAGCATTCTCAGAAATTTCTTTCTGATGTCTGCATTCAACTCATAGAGTTGAGCATTCCCTTTCATAGGGCAGGTTTGAAATACTCTTTCTGTAGTATCTGGATGTGGACATTTGGAGCGCTTTGATGCCTACGGTGAAAAAGTAAATATCTTCCCATAAAAACGAGACAGAAGGATTCTGAGAAAAAAGTTTGTGATGTGTGTACTCAGCTAACAGAGTGGAACCTCTCTTTTGATGCAGCAGTTTGGAAACACTCTTTTTGTAGAAACTGTAAGTGGATATTTGGATAGCTCTAATGATTTCGTTGGAAACGGGAATATCATCATCTAAAATCTAGACAGAAGCGCTCTCAGAAACTACTTTGTGATATCTGCATTCAAGTCACAGAGTTGAACATTCGCTTTCTTACAGCACTTTTGAAACACTCTTTTTGTAGTATCTGGAAGTGGACATTTGGAGCTCTTTGATGCCTTTGGTGAAAAAGGAAATGTCTTCCCATAAAAACTAGACAGAAGCATTCTCAGAAACTTGTTTGTGATGTGTGTACCCAGCTAAAGGAGTTGAACATTTCTATTGATAGAGCAGTTTTGAAACGCTCTTTTTGTGGAAAATGCAGGTGGATATTTGGATAGCTTGGAGGATTTCGTTGGAAGCGGGAATTCAAATAAAAGGTAGACAGCAGCATTCTCAGAAATTTCTTTCTCATGTCTGCATTCAACTCATAGAGTTGAAGATTCCCTTTCATAGAGCAGGTTTGAAACACTCTTTCTGGAGTATCTGGATGTGGACATTTGGAGCGCTTTGATGCCTACGGTGGAAAAGTAAATATCTTCCCATAAAAACGAGACAGAAGGATTCTGAGAAACAAGTTTGTGATGTGTGTACTCAGCTAACAGAGTGGAACCTCTCTTTTGATGCAGCAGTTTGGAAACACTCTTTTTGTAGAAACTGTAAGTGGATATTTGGATAGCTCTAATGATTTCGTTGGAAACGGGAATATCATCATCTAAAATCTAGAGAGAAGCCCTCTCAGAAACTACTTTGTGATATGTGCATTCAAGTCACAGAGTTGAACATTCGCTTTCTTAGAGCACGTTTGAAACACTCTTTTTGTAGTGTCTGGAAGTGGACATTTGGAGCGCTTTGATGCCTTTGGTGAAAAAGGGAACGTCTTCCCATAAAAACTAGACAGAAGCATTCACAGAAACTTGTTTGTGATGTGTGTACCCAGCCAAAGGAGTTGAACATTTCTATTGATAGAGCAGTTTTGAAACACTCTTTTTGTGGAAAATGCAGGTGGATATTTGGATAGCTTGGAGGATTTCGTTGGAAGCGGGAATTCAAATAAAAGGTAGACAGCAGCATTCTCAGAAATTTCTTTCTGATGTCTGCATTCAACTCATACAGTTGAAGATTCCCTTTCGTAGAGCAGGTTTGAAACACTCCTTCTGGAGTATCTGGATGTGGACATTTGGAGCGCTTTGATGCCTACGGTGGAAAAGTAAATATCTTCCCATAAAAACGAGACAGAAGGATTCTCAGAAACAAGTTTGTGATGTGTGTACTCAGCTAACAGAGTGGATCCTTTCTTCTTACAGAGCAGCTTTGAAACTCTATTTCTGTGGATTCTGCAAATTGACATTTGGGTTGATTTAACGACATCGTTGGAAAAGGGAATATCTTCATACAAAATCTAGACAGAAGCATTCTCACAAACTTCTTTGTGATGTGTGTCCTCAACTAACAGAGTTGAACCTTTCTTTTAATGCAGCAGTTTGGAAACACTCTTTTTGTAGAAACTGTAAGTGGATATTTGGATAGCTCTAACGATTTCGTTGGAAACGGGAATATCATCATCTAAAATCTAGACAGAAGCACTATTAGAAACTACTTGGTGATATCTGCATTCAAGTCACAGAGTTGAACATTCCCTTACTTCGACCACGTTTGAAACTCTCTTTTGGAAGAATCTGGAAGTGGACATTTGGAGCGCTTTGATGCCTTTGGTGAAAAGGAAACGTCTTCCAATAAAAGCCAGACAGAAGCATTCTCAGAAACTTGTTGGTGATGTGTGTACTCAACTAAAAGAGTTGAACCTTTCTATTGATAGAGCAGTTTTGAAACACTCTTTTTGTGGATTCTGCAAGTGGATATTTGGATTGCTTTGAGGATTTCGTTGGAAGCGGGAATTCATATAAAAACAAGACAGCAGCATTCCCAGAAATTTCTTTCGGATATTTCCATTCAACTCATTGAGATGAACATCGCCTTTCATAGAGCAGGTTTGAAACACTCTTTTTGTAGTTTGTGGAAGTGGACATTTCGATCGCCTTGACGCCTACAGTGAAAAAGGAAATATCTTCCCATAAAAAATAGACAGAAGCATTCTCAGAAACTTGTTGGTGATATGTGTCCTCAACTAACAGAGTTGAACTTTGCCATTGATAGAGAGCAGTTTTGAAACACTCTTTTTGTGGAATCTGCAAGTGGATATTTGGATAGCTTGGAGGATTTCGTTGGAAGCGGGAATTCAAATAAAAGGTAGACAGCCAGCATTCTCAGAAATTTCTTTCTGATGTCTGCATTCAACTCATAGAGTTGAAGATTCCCTTTCATAGAGCAGGTTTGAAACACTCTTTCTGGAGTATCTGGATGTGGACATTTGGAGCGCTTTGATGCCTACGGTGAAAAAGTAAATATCTTCCCATAAAAACGACACAGAGGATTCTCAGAAACAAGTTTGTGATGTGTGTACTCAGCTAACAGAGTGGAACCTCTCTTTTGATGCAGCAGTTTGGAAACACTCTTTTTGTAGAAACTGTAAGTGGATATTTGGATAGCTCTAATGATTTCGTTGGAAACGGGAATATCATCATCTAAAATCTAGACAGAAGCCCTCTCAGAAACTACTTTGTGATATCTGCATTCAAGTCACAGAGTTGAACATCCGGTTTCTTAGAGCACGTTTGAAACACTCTTTTTGTAGTGTCTGGAAGTGGACATTTGGAGCGCTTTGATGCCTTTGGTGAAAAAGGGAATGTCTTCCCATAAAAACTAGACAGAAGCATTCTCAGAAACTTGTTTGTGATGTGTGTACCCAGCTAAAGGAGTTGAACATTTCTATTGATAGAGCAGTTTTGAAACACTCTTTTTGTGGAAAATGCAAGTGGATATTTGGATAGCTTGGAGGATTTCGTTGGAAGCGGGAATTCAAATAAAAGATAGACAGCAGCATTCTCAGAAATTTCTTTCTGATGTCTGCATTCAACTCATAGAGTTGAAGATTCCCTTTCATAGAGCAGGTTTGAAACACTGTTTCTGGAGTATCTGGATGTGGACATTTGGAGCGCTTTGATGCCTACGGTGAAAAAGTAAATATCTTCCCATCAAAACGAGACAGAAGGATTCTCAGAAACAAGTTTGTGATGTGTGTACTCAGCTAACAGAGTGGAACCTTTCTTTTTACAGAGCAGCTTTGAAACTCTATTTTTGTGGATTCTGCAAATGGATATTTAGACTGCTTTAATGATATCGCTGGAAAAGGGAATATGGTCATACAAAATCTAGACAGAAGCATTCTCGCAAACTTCTTTGTGATGTGTGTCCTCAACTAACAGAGTTGAACCTTTCTTTTGATGCAGCATTTTGGAAACACCCTTTTGGTAGAAACTGTAACTGGATATTTGGATAGCTCTAACGATTTCGTTGGAAACGGGAATATCATCATCTAAAATGTAGACAGAAGCACTATTAGAAACTACTTGGTGATATCTGCATTCAAGTCACAGAGTTGAACATTCCCTTACTTTGAGCACGTTTGAAACACTCTTTTGGAAGAATCTGGAAGTGGACATTTGGAGCGCTTTGATGCCTTTGGTGAAAAGGAAACGTCTTCCAATAAAAGCCAGACAGAAGCATTCTCAGAAACTTGTTCGTGATGTGTGTACTCAACTAAAAGAGTTGAACCTTTCTATTGATAGAGCAGTTTTGAAACACTCTTTTTGTGGATTCTGCAAGTGGATATTTGGATTGCTTTGAGGATTTCGTTGGAAGCGGAAATTCGTATAAACACTAGACAGCAGCATTCCCAGAAATTTCTTTCGGATATTTCCATTCAACTCATAGAGGTGAACATGGCCTTTCATAGAGCAGGTTTGAAACACTCTTTTTGTAGTTTGTGGAAGTGGACATTTCGATCGCCTTGATGCCTACGGTGAAAAAGGAAATATCTTCCCATAAAAAATAGACAGAAGCATTCTCAGAAACTTGTTGGTGATATGTGTTCTCAACTAACAGAGTTGAACTTTGCCATTGATAGAGAGCAGTTTTGAAACACTCCTTCTGTGGAATCTGCAAGTGGATATTTGGATAGCTTGGAGGATTTCGTTGGAAGCGGGAATTCAAATAAAAGGTAGACAGCAGCATTCTCAGAAATTTCTTTGTGATGTGTACATTCAACTCATAGAGTAGAACATTCCCTTTCATAGAGCAGGTTTGAAACACTCTTTCTGTACTATCTGGATGTGGACATTTGGAACGCTTTGATGCCTACGGTGAAAAAGTAAATATCTTCCCATAAAAACTAGACAGAAGGATTCTGAGAAACAAGTTTGTGATGTGTGTACTCAGCTAACAGAGTGGAACCTTTCTTTTTACAGAGCAGCTTTGAAACTCTATTTTTGTGGATTCTGCAAATGGATATTTAGATTGCTTTAATGATATCGTTGGAAAAGGGAATATCGTCATACAAAATCTAGACAGAAGCATTCTCACAAACTTCTTTGTGATGTGTGTCCTCAACTAACAGAGTTGAACCTTTCTTTTGATGCAGCAGTTTGGAAACACTCTTTTTGTAGAAACTGTAAGTGGATATTTGGATAGCTCTAATGATTTCGTTGGAAACGGGAATATCATCATCTAAAATCTAGACAGAAGCACTATTAGAAACTACTTGGTGATATCTGCATTCAAGTCACAGAGTTGAACATTCCCTTACTTTGAGCACGTTTGAAACACTCTTTTGGAAGAATCTGGAAGTGGACATTTGGAGCGCTTTGATGCCTTTGGTGAAAAGGAAACGTCTTCCAATAAATGCCAGACAGAAAGCATTCTCAGTAAACTTGTTCGTGATGTGTGTACTCAACTAAAAGAGTTGAACCTTTCTATTGATAGAGCAGTTTTGAAACACTCTTTTTGTGGATTCTGCAAGTGGATATTTGGATTGCTTTGAGGATTTCGTTGGAAGCGGGAATTCGTATAAACACTAGACAGCAGCATTCCCAGAAATTTCTTTCGGATATTTCCATTCAACTCATAGAGATGAACATCGCCTTTCATAGAGCACGTTTGAAACACTCTTTTTGTAGTTTGTGGAAGTGGACATTTCGATCGCCTTGACGCCTACGGTGAAAAAGGAAATATCTTCCCATAAAAAATAGACAGAAGCATTCTCAGAAACTTGTTGGTGATATGTGTCCTCAACTAACAGAGTTGAACTTTGCCATTGATAGAGAGCAGTTTTGAAACACTCTTTTTGTGGAATCTGCAAGTGGATATTTGGATAGCTTGGAGGATTTCGTTGGAAGCGGGAATTCAAATAAAAGGTAGACAGCAGGATTCTGAGAAACAAGTTTGTGATGTGTGTACTCAGCTAACAGAGTGGAACCTCTCTTTTGATGCAGCAGTTTGGAAACACTCTTTTTGTAGAAACTGTAAGTGGATATTTGGATTGCTCTAATGATTTCGTTGGAAACGGGAATATCATCATCTAAAATCTAGACAGAAGCACTCTCAGAAACTACTTTTTGATATCTGCATTCAAGTCATAGAGTTGAACATTCGCTTTCTTAGAGCACTTTTGAAACACTCTTTTTGTAGTATCTGGAAGTGGACATTTGGAGCTCTTTGATGCCTTTGGTGAAAAAGGAAATGTCTTCCCATAAAATCTAGAAAGAAGCTTTCTCAGAAACTTGTTTGTGATGTGTGTACCCAGCGAAAGGAGTTGAACATTTCTATTGATAGAGCAGTTTTGAAACACTCTTTTTGTGGAATCTGCAAGTGGATATTTGGATGGCTGGGAGGTTTTTGTTGGAAGCGGGAATTCAAATAAAAGGTAGACAGCAGCATTCTCAGAAATTTCTTTCTGATGTCTGCATTCAACTCATAGAGTTGAAGATTCCCTTTCATAGAGCAGGTTTGATACAGTCTTTCTGGAGTATCTGGATGTGGACATTTGGAGCGCTTTGATGCCTACGGTGAAAAAGTAAATATCTTCCCATAAAAACGAGACAGAAGGATTCTCAGAAACAAGTTTGTAATGTGTGTACTCAGCTAACAGAGTGGAACCTTTCTTTTTACAGAGCAGCTTTGAAACTCTATTTTTGTGGATTCTGCAAATTGATATTTAGATTGCTTTAACGATATCGTTGGAAAAGGGAATATCGTCATACAAAATCTAGACAGAAGCATTCTCACAAACTTCTTTGTGATGTGTGTCCTCAACTAACAGAGTTGAACCTTTCTTTTGATGCAGCAATTTGGAAACACCCTTTTGGTAGAAACTGTAACTGGATATTTGGATAGCTCTAGCGATTTCGTTGGAAACGGGAATATCATCATCTAAAATGTAGACAGAAAGCACTATTAGAAACTACTTGGTGATATCTGCATTCAAGTCACAGAGTTGAACATTCCCTTACTTCGAGCACGTTTGAAACACTCTTTTGGAAGAATCTGGAAGTGGACATTTGGAGCGCTTTGATGCCTTTGGTGAAAAGGAAACGTCTTCCAATAAAAGCCAGACAGAAGCATTCTCAGAAACTTGTTCATGATGTGTGTACTCAACTAAAAGAGTTGAACCTTTCTATTGATAGCGCAGTTTTGAAACACTCTTTTTGTGGATTCTGCAAGTGGATATTTGGATTGCTTTGAGGATTTCGTTGGAAGCGGGAATTCATATAAAAACTAGACAGCAGCATTCCCAGAAATTTCTTTCGGATATTTCCATTCAACTCATAGAGATGAACATGGCCTTTCATAGAGCAGGTTTGAAACACTCTTTTTGTAGTTTGTGGAAGTGGACATTTCGATCGCCTTGACGCCTACGCTGAAAAAGGAAATATCTTCCCATAAAAAATAGACAGAAGCATTCTCAGAAACTTGTTGGTGATATGTGTCCTCAACTAACAGAGTTGAACTTTGCCATTGATAGAGAGCAGTTTTGAAACACTCTTTTTGTGGAATCTGCAAGTGGATATTTGGATAGCTTGGAGGATTTCGTTGGAAGCGGGAATTCAAATAAAGGTAGACAGCAGCATTCTCAGAAATTTCTTTCTGATGTCTGCATTCAACTCATAGAGTTGAAGATTCCCTTTCATAGAGCACGTTTGAAACCCTCTTTCTGGAGTATCTGGATGTGGACATTTGGAGCGCTTTGATGCCTACGGTGAGAAAGTAAATATCTTCCCATAAAAACGAGACAGAAGGATTCTGAGAAACAAGTTTGTGATGTGTGTACTCAGCTAACAGAGTGGAACCTCTCTTTTGATGCAGCAGTTTGGAAACACTCTTTTTGTAGAGACTGTAAGTGGATATTTGGATAGCTCTAATGATTTCGTTGGAAACGGGAATATCATCATCTAAAATCTAGACAGAAGCCCTCTCAGAAAACTACTTTGTGATATCTGCATTCAAGTCACAGAGTTGAACATTCGCTTTCTTAGAGCACGTTGGAAACACTCTTTTTGTAGTGTCTGGAAGTGGACATTTGGAGCGCTTTGATGCCTTTGTTGAAAAAGGGAACGTCTTCCCATAAAAACTAGACAGATAAGCATTCTCAGAAACTTGTTTGTGATGTGTGTACCCAGCCAAAGGAGTTGAACATTTCTATTGATAGAGCAGTTTTGAAACGCTCTTTTTGTGGAAAATGCAGGTGGATATTTGGATAGCTTGGAGGATTTCGTTGGAAGCGGGAATTCAAATAAAAGGTAGACAGCAGCATTCTCAGAAATTTCTTTCTGATGTCTGCATTCAAGTCATAGAGTTGAAGATTCCCTTTCATAGAGCAGGTTTGAAACAGTCTTTCTGGAGTATCTGGATGTGGACATTTGGAACGCTTTGATGCCTACGGTGGAAAAGTAAATATCTTCCCATAAAAACGAGACAGAAGGATTCTCAGAAACAAGTTTGTGATGTGTGTACTCAGCTAACAGAGTGGAACCTTTCTTTTTACAGAGCAGCTTTGAAACTCTATTTTTGTGGATTCTGCAAATTGATATTTAGATTGCTTTAACTATATCGTTGGAAAAGGGAATATGGTCATACAAAATCTAGACAGAAGCATTCTCACAAACTTCTTTGTGATGTGTGTCCTCAACTAACAGAGTTGAACCTTTCTTTTGATGCAGCAGTTTGGAAACACTCTTTTTGTAGAAACTGTAAGTGGATATTTGGATAGCTCTAACGATTTCGCTGGAAACGGGAATATCGTCATCTAAAATCTAGACAGAAGCCCTCTCAGAAACTACTTTGTGATATCTGCATTCAAGTCACAGAGTTGAACATTCGCTTTCTTAGAGCACGTTTGAAACACTCTTTTTGTAGTGTCTGGAAGTGGACATTTGGAGCGCTTTGATGCCTTTGTTGAAAAAGGGAATGTCTTCCCATAAAAACTAGACAGAAGCATTCTCAGAAACTTGTTTGTGATGTGTGTACCCAGCCAAAGGAGTTGAACATTTCTATTGATAGAGCAGTTTTGAAACACTCTTGTTGTGGAAAATGCAGGTGGATATTTGGATAGCTTGGAGGATTTCTTTGGAAGCGGGAATTCAAATAAAAGGTAGACAGCAGCATTCTCAGAAATTTCTTTCTGATGTCTGCATTCAACTCATAGAGTTGAAGATTCCCTTTCATAGAGCAGGTTTGAAACACTCCTTCTGGAGTATCTGGATGTGGACATTTGGAGCGCTTTGATGCCTACGGTGAAAAAGTAAATATCTTCCCAGAAAAACGAGACAGAAGGATTCTCAGAAACAAGTTTGTGATGTGTGTACTCAGCTAAAAGAGTGGAACCTTTCTTTTTACAGAGCAGCTTTGAAACTCTATTTTTGTGGATTCTGCAAATTGATATTTAGATTGTTTTAACGATATCGTTGGAAAAGGGAATATCGTCATACAAAATCTAGACAGAAGCATTCTCACAAACTTCTTTGTGATGTGTGTCCTCAACTAACAGAGTTGAAGCTTTCTTTTGATGCAGCAATTTGGAAACACCCTTTTGGTAGAAACTGTAACTGGATATTTGGATAGCTCTAACGATTTCGTTGGAAACGGGAATATCATCATCTAAAATCTAGACAGAAGCACTATTAGAAACTACTTGGTGATATCTGCATTCAAGTCACAGAGTTGAACATTCCCTTACTTTGAGCACGTTTGAAACACTCTTTTGGAAGAATCTGGAAGTGGACATTTGGAGCGCTTTGATGCCTTTTGTGAAAAGGAAACGTCTTCAAATAAAAGCCAGACAGAAGCGTTCTCAGAAACTTGTTCGTGATGTGTGTACTCAACTAAAAGAGTTGAACCTTTCTATTGATAGAGCAGTTTTGAAACACTCTTTTTGTGGATTCTGCAAGTGGATATTGGGATTGCTTTGAGGATTTCGTTGGAAGCGGGAATTCGTATAAAAACTAGACAGCAGCATTCCCAGAAATTTCTTTCGGATATTTCCATTCGACTCATAGAGATGAACATGGCCTTTCATAGAGCAGGTTTGAAACACTCTTTTTGTAGTTTGTGGAAGTGGACATTTCGATCGCCTTGACGCCTACGGTGAAAAAGGAAATATCTTCCCATAAAAAATAGACAGAAGCATTCTCAGAAACTTGTTGGTGATATGTGTCCTCAACTAACAGAGTTGAACTTTGCCATTGATAGAGAGCAGTTTTGAAACACTCTTTTTGTGGAATCTGCAAGTGGATATTTGGATAGCTTGGAGGATTTCGTTGGAAGCGGGAATTCAAATCAAAGGTAGACAGCAGCATTCTCAGAAATTACTTTCTGATGTCTGCATTCAACTCATAGAGTTGAAGATTCCCTTTCATAGAGCAGGTTTGAAACACTCTTTCTGTAGTACCTGGATGTGGACATTTGGAGCGCTTTGATACCTACGGTGAAAAAGTAAATATCTTCCCATAAAAACTAGACAGAAGGATTCTGAGAAACAAGTTTGTGATGTGTGTACTCAGCTAACAGAGTGGAACCTCTCTTTTGATGCAGCAGTTTGGAAACACTCTTTTTGTAGAAACTGTAAGTGGATATTTGGATAGCTCTAATGATTTCGTTGGAAACGGGAATATAATCATCTAAAATCTAGACAGAAGCAGTCTCAGAAACTACTTTGTGATATCTGCATTCCAGTCACAGAGTTGAAAACTCCCTTACTTAGAGCAGGTTTGAAACACACTTTTTGTAGAATCTGGAAGTGGACATTTGGAGCGCTTTGATGCCTTTGGTGAAAAAGGAAATGTCTTCCCTTAAAAAGTAGACAGAATCATTCTCAGAAACTTGTTTGTGATGTGTGTACCCAGCTAAAGGAGTTGAACTTTGCCATTGATAGAGAGCAGTTTTGAAACCCTCTTTTTGTGGAAAATGCAAGTGGGTATTTGGATAGCTTGGAGGATTTCGTTGGAAGCGGGAATTCAAATAAAAGGTAGACAGCAGCATTCTCAGAAATTTCTTTCTGATGTGTGCATTCAACTCATAGAGTTGAAGATTCCCTTTCATAGAGCAGGTTTGAAACACTCTTTCTGGAGTATCTGGATGTGGACATTTGGAGCGCTTTGATGCCTACGGTGGAAAAGTAAATATCTTCCCATAAAAACGAGACAGAAGGATTCTGAGAAACAAGTTTGTGATGTGTGTACTCAGCTAACAGAGTGGAACCTCTCTTTTGATGCAGCAGTTTGGAAACACTCTTTTTGTAGAAACTCTAAGTGGATATTTGGATAGCTCTAATGATTTCGTTGGAAACGGGAATATCATCATCTAAAATCTAGACAGAAGCACTCTCAGAAACTACTGTGTGATATCTGCATTCAAGTCACAGAGTTGAACATTCGCTTTCTTAGAGCACGTTTGAAACACTCTTTTTGTAGTGTCTGGAAGTGGACATTTGGAGCGCTTTGATGTCTTTGGTGAAAAAGGGAATGTCTTCCCATAAAAACTAGACAGAAGCATTCTCAGAGACTTGTTTGTGATGTGTGTACCCAGCCAAAGGAGTTGAACATTTCTATTGATAGAGCAGTTTTGAAACACTCTTTTTGTGGAAAATGCAGGTGGATATTTGGATAGCTTGGAGGATTTCGTTGGAAGCGGGAATTCAAATAAAAGTTAGACAGCAGCATTCTCAGAAATTTCTTTCTGATGTCTGCATTCAAGTCATAGAGTTGAAGATTCCCTTTCATAGAGCAGGTTTGAAACACTCGTTCTGGAGTATCTGGATGTGGACATTTGGAGCGCTTTGATGCCTACGGTGGAAAAGTAAATATCTTCCCATAAAAACGAGACAGAAGGATTCTCAGAAACAAGTTTGTGATGTGTGTACTCAGCTAACAGAGTGGAACCTTTATTTTTACAGAGCAGCTTTGAAACTCTATTTTCGTGGATTCTGCAAATTGATATTTAGATTGCTTTAACGATATCGTTGGAAAAGGGAATATCGTCATACAAAATACTAGACAGAAGCATTCTCACAAACTTCTTTGTGATGTGTGTCCTCAACTAACAGAGTTGAACCTTTCTTTTGATGCAGCAGTTTGGAAACACTCTTTTTGTAGAAACTGTAAGTGGATATTTGGATAGCTCTAACGATTTTGTTGGAAACGGGAATATCATCATCTAAAATCTAGACAGAAGCACTATTAGAAACTACTTGGTGATATCTGCATTCAAGTCACAGAGTTGAACATTCCCTTACTTTGAGCACGTTTGAAACACTCTTTTGGAAGAATCTGGAAGTGGACATTTGGAGCGCTTTGATGCCTTTGTTGAAAAGGAAACGTCTTCCAATAAAAGCCAGACAGAAGCATTCTGAGAAACTTGTTCGTCATGTGTGTACTCAACTAAAAGAGTTGAACCTTTCTATTGATAGAGCAGTTTTGAAACACTCTTTTTGTGGATTCTGCAAGTGGATATTTGGATTGCTTTGAGGATTTCGTTGGAAGCGGGAATTCGTATAAACACTAGACAGCAGCATTCCCAGAAATTTCTTTCGGATATTTCCATTCACCTCATAGAGATGAACATGGCCTTTCAGAGAGCAGGTTTGAAACACTCTTTTTGTAGTTTGTGGAAGTGGACATTTCGATCGCCTTGACGCCTACGGTGAAAAAGGAAATATCTTCCCATAAAATATAGACAGAAGCATTCTCAGAAACTTGTTGGTGATATGTGTCCTCAACTAACAGAGTTGAACTTTGCCATTGATAGAGAGCAGTTTTGAAACACTCTTTTTGTGGAATCTGCAAGTGGATATTTGGATAGCTTGGAGGATTTCGTTGGAAGCGGGAATTCAAATAAAAGGTAGACAGCAGCATTCTCAGAAATTTCTTTGTGATGTCTGCATTCAACTCATGGAGTTGAAGATTCCCTTTCATAGAGCAGGTTTGAAACACTCTTTCTGGAGTATCTGGATGTGGACATTTGGAGCGCTTTGATGCCTACGGTGGAAAAGTAAATATCTTCCCATAAAAACGAGACAGAAGGATTCTGAGAAACAAGTTTGTGATGTGTGTACTCAGCTAACAGAGTGGAACCCTTTCTTTTTACAGAGCAGCTTTGAAACTCTATTTTTGTGGATTCTGCAAATTGATATTTAGATTGCTTTAACGATATCGTTGGAAAACGGAATATCGTCATACAAAATCTAGACAGAAGCATTCTCACAAACTTCTTTGTGATGTGTGTCCTCAACTAACAGAGTTGAACCTTTCTTTTGATGCAGCAGTTTGGAAACACTCTTTTTGTAGAAACTGTAAGTGGATATTTGGATAGCTCTAACGATTTCGTTGGAAACGGGAATATCATCATCTAAAACCTAGACAGAAGCACTATTAGAAACTACTTGGTGATATCTGCATTCAAGTCACAGAGTTGAACATTCCCTTACTTTGAGCACGTTTGAAACACTCTTTTGGAAGAATCTGGAAGTGGACATTTGGAACGCTTTGATGCCTTTGGTGAAAAGGAAACGTCTTCCAATAAAAGCCAGACAGAAGCATTCTCAGAAAATTGTTTGTGATGTGTGTACTCAACTAAAAGAGTTGAACCTTTCTATTGATAGAGCAGTTTTGAAACACTCTTTTTGTGGATTCTGCAAGTGGATATTTGGATTGCTTTGAGGATTTCGTTGGAAGCGGGAATTCGTATAAAAACTAGACAGCAGCATTCCCAGAAATTTCTTTCGGATATTTCCATTCGACTCATAGAGATGAACATGGCCTTTCATAGAGCAGGTTTGAAACACTCTTTTTGTAGTTTGTGGAAGTGGACATTTCGATCGCCTTGACGCCTACGGTGAAAAAGGAAATATCTTCCCATAAAAAATAGACAGAAGCATTCTCAGAAACTTGTTTGTGATGTGTGTACCCAGCTAAAGGAGTTGAACATTTCTATTGATAGAGCAGTTTTGAAACACTCTTTTTGTGGAAAATGCAAGTGGATATTTGGATAGCTTGGAGGATTTCGTTGGAAGCGGGAATTCAAATAAAAGGTAGCAGCATTCTCAGAAATTTCTTTCTGATGTCTGCATTCAACTCATAGAGTTGAAGATTCCCTTTCATAGAGCAGGTTTGAAACACTCTTTCTGGAGTATCTGGATGTGGACATTTGGAGCGCTTTGATGCCTACGGTGAAAAAGTAAATATCTTCCCATAAAAACGAGACAGAAGGATTCTCAGAAACAAGTTTGTGATGTGTGTACTCAGCTAACAGAGTGGAACCTTTCTTTTTATAGAGCAGCTTTGAAACTCTATTTTTGTGGATTCTGCAAATTGATATTTAGATTGCTTTAACGATATCGTTGGAAAAGGGAATATCGTCATACAAAATCTAGACAGAAGCATTCTCACAAACTTCTTTGTTATGTGTGTCCTCAACTAACAGTAGTTGAACCTTTCTTTTGATGCAGCAGTTTGGAAACACTCTTTTTGTAGAAACTGTAAGTGGATATTTGGATAGCTCTAACGATTTCGTTGGAAACGGGAATATCATCATCTAAAATCTAGACAGAAGCACTGTTAGAAACTACTTGGTGATATCTGCATTCAAGTCAAAGAGTTGAACATTCCCTTACTTTGAGCACGTTTGAAACACTCTTTTGGAAGAATCTGGAAGTGGACATTTGGAGCGCTTTGATGCCTTTGGTGAAAAGGAAACGTCTTCCAATAAAAGCCAGACAGAAGCATTCTCAGAAACTTGTTTGTGATGTGTGTACTCAACTAAAAGAGTTGAACCTTTCTATTGATAGAGCAGTTTTGAAACACTCTTTTTGTGGATTCTGCAAGTGGATATTTGGATTGCTTTCAGGAATTCGTTGGAAGCGGGAATTCGTATAAAAACTAGACAGCAGCATTCCCAGAAATTTCTTTCGGATATTTCCATTCGACTCATAGAGATGAACATGGCCTTTCATAGAGCAGGTTTGAAACACTCTTTTTGTAGTTTGTGGAAGTGGACATTTCGATCGCCTTGACGCCTACGGTGAAAAAGGAAATATCTTCCCATAAAAAATAGACAGAAGCATTCTCAGAAACTTGTTGGTGATATGTGTCCTCAACTAACAGAGTTGAACTTTGCCATTGATAGAGAGCAGTTTTGAAACACTCTTTTTGTGGAATCTGCAAGTGGATATTTGGATAGCTTGGAGGATTTCGTTGGAAGCGGGAATTCAAATAAAAGTTAGACAGCAGCATTCTCAGAAATTTCTTTCTGATGTCTGCATTCAACTCATAGAGTTGAAGATTCCCTTTCATAGAGCAGGTTTGAAACACTCTTTCTGGAGTATCTGGATGTGGACATTTGGAGCGCTTTGATGCCTACGGTGAAAAAGTAAATATCTTCCCATAAAATCGAGACAGAAGGATTCTGAGAAACAAGTTTGTGATGTGTGTACTCAGCTAACAGAGTGGAAACCTCTTTTGATGCAGCAGTTTGGAAACACTCTTTTTGTAGATACTGTAAGTGGATATTTGTATAGCTCTAATGATTTCGTTGGAAACGGGAATATCATCATCTAAAATCTAGACAGAAGCCCTCTCAGAAACTACTTTGTGATATCTGCATTCAAGTCACAGAGTTGAACATTCGCTTTCTTAGAGCACGTTTGAAACACTCTTTTTGTAGTGTCTGGAAGTGGACATTTGGAGTGCTTTGATGCCTTTGGTGAAAAAGGGAACGTCTTCCCATAAAAACTAGACAGAAGCATTCTCAGAAACTTGTTTGTGATGTGTGTACCCAGCTAAAGGAGTTGAACATTTCTATTGATAGAGCAGTTTTGAAACACTCTTTTTGTGGAAAATGCAGGGGGATATTTGGATAGCTTGGAGGATTTCGTTGGAAGCGGGAATTCAAATAAAAGGTAGACAGCAGCATTCTCAGAAATTTCTTTCTGATGTCTGCATTCAACTCATAGAGTTGAAGATTCCCTTTCATAGAGCAGGTTTGAAACACTCTTTCTGGAGTATCTGGATGTGGACCTTTGGAGCGCTTTGATGCCTACGGTGAAAAAGTAAATATCTTCCATAAAAACGAGACAGAAGGATTCTCAGAAACAAGTTTGTGATGTGTGTACTCAGCTAACAGAGTGGAACCTTTCTTTTTACAGAGCAGCTTTGAAACTCTATTTTTGTGGATTCTGCAAATTGATATTTAGATTGCTTTAACGATATCGTTGGAAAAGAGAATATGGTCATACAAAATCTAGACAGAAGCATTCTCACAAACAGCTTTGTGACGTGTGTCCTCAACTAACAGTAGTTGAACCTTTCTTTTGATGCAGCAGTTTGGAAACACCCTTTTGGTAGAAACTGTAAGTGGATATTTGGATAGCTCTAACGATTTCGTTGGAAACGGGAATATCATCATCTAAAATCTAGACAGAAGCACTATTAGAAACTACTTGGTGATATCTGCATTCAAGTCACAGAGTTGAACATTCCCTTACATTGAGCACGTTTGCAACACTCTTTTGGAAGAATCTGGAAGTGGACATTTGGAGCGCTTTGATGCCTTTGGTGAAAAGGAAACGTCTTCCAATAAAAGCCAGACAGAAGCATTCTCAGAAACTTGTTTGTGATGTGTGTACTCAACTAAAAGAGTTGAAACTTTCTATTGATAGAGCAGTTTTGAAACACTCTTTTTGTGGATTCTGCAAGTGGATATTTGGATTGCTTTGAGGATTTCGTTGGAAGCGGGAATTCGTATAACAACTAGACAGCAGCATTCCCAGAAATTTCTTTCGGATATTTCCATTCGACTCATAGAGATGAACATGGCCTTTCATAGAGCAGGTTTGAAACACTCTTTTTGTAGTTTGTGGAAGTGGACATTTCGATCGCCTTGACGCCTACGGTGAAAAAGGAAATATCTTCCCATAAAAAATAGACAGAAGCATTCTCAGAAACTTGTTGGTGATATGTGTCCTCAACTAACAGAGTTGAACTTTGCCATTGATAGAGAGCAGTTTTGAAACACTCTTTTTGTGGAATCTGCAAGTGGATATTTGGATAGCTTGGAGGATTTCGTTGGAAGCGGGAATTCAAATAAAAGGTAGACAGCAGCATTCTCAGAAATTTCTTTCTGATGTCTGCATTCAACTCATAGAGTTGAAGATTCCCTTTCATAGAGCAGGTTTGAAACACTCTTTCTGGAGTATCTGGATGTGGACATTTGGAGCGCTTTGATGCCCACGGTGAAAAAGTAAATATCTTCCCAGAAAAACGAGACAGAAGGATTCTGAGAAACAAGTTTGTGATGTGTGTACTCAGCTAACAGAGTGGAACCTTTCTTTTTACAGAGCAGCTTTCAAACTCTTTTTTTGTGGATTCTGCAAATTGATATTTAGATTGCTTTAACGATATCGTTGGAAAAGGGAATATGGTCATACAAAATCTAGACAGAAGCTTTCTCAGAAACTTCTTTGTGATGTGTGTCCTCAACTCACAGAGTTGAACCTTTCTTTTGATGCAGCAGTTTGGAAACACTCTTCTTGTAGAAACTGTTAGTGGATATTTGGATAGGTCTAACGATATCGTTGGAAACGGAAATATCTTCATCTAAAGTATACACAGAAGCACTATTAGAAACTACTTGGTGATATCTGCATTCAAGTCACAGAGTTGAACATTCCCTTACTTCGACCACGTTTGAAACACTCTTTTGGAAGAATCTGGAAGTGGACATTTGGAGCGCTTTGATGCCTTTGGTGAAAACGAAACGTCTTCCAATAAAAGCCAGACAGAAGCATTCTCAGAAACTTGTTTGTGATGAGTGTACTCAACTAAAAGAGTTGAACCTTTCTATTGATAGAGCAGTTTTGAAACACTCTTTTTGTGGATTCTGCAAGTGGATATTTGGATTGCTTTGAGGATTTCGTTGGAAGCGGGAATTCGTATAAAAACTAGACAGCAGCATTCCCAGAAATTTCTTTCGGATATTTCCATTCAACTCATAGAGATGAACATGGCCTTTGCATAGAGCAGGTTTGAAACACTCTTTTTGTAGTTTGTGGAAGTGGACATTTCGATCGCCTTGACGCCTACGGTGAAAAAGGAAATATCTTCCCATAAAAAATAGACAGAAGCATTCTCAGAAACTTGTTGGTGATATGTGTCCTCAACTAACAGAGTTGAACTTTGCCATTGATAGAGAGCAGTTTTGAAACACTCTTTTTGTGGAATCTGCAAGTGGATATTTGGATAGCTTGGAGGATTTCGTTGGAAGCGGGAATTCAAATAAAAGGTAGACAGCAGCATTCTCAGAAATTTCTTTCTGATGTCTGCATTCAACTCATAGAGTTGAAGATTCCCTTTCATAGAGCAGGTTTGAAACACTCTTTCTGGAGTATCTGGATGTGGACATTTGGAGCGCTTTGATGCCTACGGTGAAAAAGTAAATATCTTCCCAGAAAAACGACACAGAAGGATTCTGAGAAACAAGTTTGTGATGTGTGTACTCAGCTAACAGAGTGGAACCTCTCTTTTGATGCAGCAGTTTGGAAATACTCTTTTTGTAGAAACTGTAAGTGGATATTTGGATAGCTCCTAATGATTTCGTTGGAAACGGGAATATCATCATGCTAAAATACTAGACAGAAAGCCCTCTCAGAAACTACTTTGTGATATCTGCATTCAAGTCACAGAGTTGAACATTCGCTTTCTTAGAGCACGTTTGAAACACTCTTTTTGTAGTGTCTGGAAGTGGACATTTGGAGCGCTTTGATGTCTTTGGTGAAAAAGGGAATGTCTTCCCATAAAAACTAGACAGAAGGATTCTCAGAAACTTGTTTGTGATGTGTGTACCCAGCTAAAGGAGTTGAACATTTCTATTGATAGAGCAGTTTTGAAACACTCTTTTTGTGGAATCTGCAGGTGGATATTTGGATAGCTTGGAGGATTTCGTTGGAAGCGGGAATTCAAATAAAAGGTAGACAGGAGCATTCTCAGAAATTTCTTTCTGATGTCTGCATTCAACTCATAGAGTTGAAGATTCCCTTTCATAGAGCAGGTTTGAAACACTCGTTCTGGAGTATCTGGATGTGGACATTTGGAGCGCTTTGATGCCTACGGTGGAAAAGTATATATCTTCCCATAAAAACGAGACAGAAGGATTCTCAGAAACAAGTTTGCGATGTGTGTACTCAGCTAACAGAGTGGAACCTTTCTTTTTACAGAGCAGCTTTGAAACTCTATTTTTGTGGATTCTGCAAATTGATATTTAGATTGCTTTAACGATATCGTTGGAAAAGGGAATATCGTCATACAAAATCTAGACAGAAGCATTCTCACAAACTTCCTTGTGATGTGTGTCCTCAACTAACAGAGTTGAACCTTTCTTTTGATGCAGCAGTTTGGAAACACTCTTTTTGTAGAAACTGTAAGTGGATATTTGGATAGCTCTAACGATTTCGTTGGAAACGGGAATATCATCATCTAAAATCTAGACAGAAGCACTATTAGAAACTACTTGGTGATATCTGCATTCAAGTCAAACAGTTGAACATTCCCTTACTTTGAGCACGTTTGAAACACTCTTTTGGAAGAATCTGGAAGTGGACATTTGGAGCGCTTTGATGCCTTTGGTGAAAAGGAAACGTCTTCCAATAAAAGCCAGACAGAAGCATTCTCAGAAACTTGTTCGTGATGTGTGTACTCAACTAAAAGAAGTTGAACCTTTCTATTGATAGAGCAGTTTTGAAACACTCTTTTTGTGGATTCTGCAAGTGGATATTTGGATTGCTTTGAGGATTTCGTTGGAAGCGGGAATTCGTATAAACACTAGACAGCAGCATTCCCAGAAATTTCTTTCGGATATTTCCATTCAACTCATAGAGATGAACATGGCCTTTCATAGAGCAGGTTTGAAACACTCTTTTTGCAGTTTGTGGAAGTGGACATTTCGATCGCCTTGACGCCTACGCTGAAAAAGGAAATATCTTCCCATAAAAAATAGACAGAAGCATTCTCAGAAACTTGTTGGTGATATGTGTCCTCAACTAACAGAGTTGAACTTTCCCATTGATAGAGAGCAGTTTTGAAACACTCTTTTTGTGGACTCTGCAAGTGGATATTTGGATAGCTTGGAGGATTTCGTTGGAAGCGGGAATTCAAATAAAAGGTAGACAGCAGCATTCTCAGAAATTTCTTTCTGATGTCTGCATTCAACTCATAGAGTTGAAGATTCCCTTTCATAGAGCAGGTTTGAAACACTCTTTCTGGAGTATCTGGATGTGGACATTTGGAGAGCTTTGATGCCTACGGTGAGAAAGTAAATATCTTCCCATAAAAACGTGACAGAAGGATTCTCAGAAACAAGTTTGTGATGTGTGTACTCAGCTAACAGAGTGGAACCTTTCTTTTTACAGAGCAGCTTTGAAACTCTATTTTTGTGGATTCTGCAAATGGATATTTAGATTGCTTTAACGATATCGCTGGAAAAGGGAATATGGTCATACAAAATACTAGACAGAAGCTTTCTCAGAAACTTCTTTGTGATGCGTGTCCTCAACTAACAGAGTTGAACCTTTCTTTTGATGCAGCAGTTTGGAAACACTCTTTTTATAAAAACTGTAAGTGGATATTTGGGTAGGTCTAACGATATCGTTGGAAACGGGGATATCTTCATCTAAAGTATACACAGAAACACTATTAGAAACTACTTGGTGATATCTGCATTCAAGTCACAGAGTTGAACATTCCCTTACTTTGAGCACGTTTGAAACACTCTTTTGGAAGAATCTGGAAGTGGACATTTGGAGCGCTTTGATGCCTTTGGTGAAAAGGAAACGTCTTCCAATAAAAGCCAGACAGAAAGCATTCTCAGTAAACTTGTTTGTGATGTGTGTACTCAACTAAAAGAGTTGAACCTTTCTATTGATAGAGCAGTTTTGAAACACTCTTTTTGTGGATTCTGCAAGTGGATATTTGGATTGCTTTGAGGATTTCGTTGGAAGCGGGAATTCATATAAAAACTAGACAGCAGCATTCCCAGAAATTTCTTTCGGATATTTCCATTCAACTCATAGAGATGAATATGGCCTTTCATAGAGCAGGTTTGAAACACTCTTTTTGTAGTTTGTGGAAGTGGACATTTCGATCGCCTTGACGCCTACGGTGAAAAAGGAAATATCTACCCATAAAAAATAGACAGAAGCATTCTCAGAAACTTGTTGGTGATATGTGTCCTCAACTAACAGAGTTGAACTTTGCCATTGATAGAGAGCAGTTTTGAAACACTCTTTTTGTGGAATCTGCAAGTGGATATTTGGATAGCTTGGAGGATTTCGTTGGAAGCGGGAATTCAAATAAAAGGTAGACAGCAGCATTCTCAGAAATTTCTTTCTGATGTCTGCATTCAACTCATAGAGTTGAAGATTCCCTTTCATAGAGCAGGTTTGAAACACTCTTTCTGGAGTATCTGGATGTGGACATTTGGAGCGCTTTGATGCCTACGGTGAAAAAGTAAATATCTTCCCATAAAAACGACACAGAAGGATTCTGAGAAACAAGTTTGTGATGTGTGTACTCAGCTAACAGAGTGGAACCTCTCTTTTGATGCAGCAGTTTGGAAACCCTCTTTTTGTAGAAACTGTAAGTGGATATTTGGATAGCTCTAATGATTTCGTTGGAAACGGGAATATCATCATCTAAAATCTAGACAGAAGCACTCTCAGAAACTACTTTGTGATATCTGCATTCAAGTCACAGAGTTGAACATTCGCTTTCTTAGAGCACTTTTGAAACACTCTTTTTGTATATCTGGAAGAGGACATTTGGAGCTCTTTGATGCCTTTGGTGAAAAAGGAAATGTCTTCCCATAAAAACTAGACAGAAGCATTCTCAGAAAGTTGATTGTGATGTGTGCACCCAGCTAAAGGAGTTGAACATTTATTGATAGAGCAGTTTTGAAGCACTCTTTTTGTGGAAAATGCAAGTGGATATTTGGATAGCTTGGAGGATTTCGTTGGAAGCGGGAGTTCAAATAAAAGGTAGACAGCAGCATTCTCAGAAATTACTTTCTGATGTCTGCATTCAACTCATAGAGTTGAAGATTCCCTTTCATAGAGCAGGTTTGAAACACTCTTTCTGTAGTATCTGGATGTGGACATTTGGAGCGCTTTGATACCTACGGTGAAAAAGGAAATATCTTCCCATAAAAACTAGACAGAAGGATTCTCAGAAACAAGTTTGTGATGTGTGTACTCAGCTAACAGATTGGAACCTTTCTTTTTACAGAGCAGCTTTGAAACTCTATTTTTGTGGATTCTGCAAATTGATATTTAGATTGCTTTAACGATATCGTTGGAAAAGGGAATATGGTCATACAAAATCTAGACAGAAGCATTCTCACAAACTTCTTTGTGATGTGTGTCCTCAACTAACAGAGTTGAACCTTTCTTTTGATGCAGCAGTTTGGAAACACTCTTTTTGTAGAAACTGTAAGTGGATATTTGGATACTTCTAACGATTTCGTTGGAAACGGGAATATCATCATCTAAAATCTAGACAGAAGCACTATTAGAAACTACTTGGTGATATCTGTATTCAAGTCACAGAGTTGAACATTCCCTTACTTTGAGCACGTTTGAAACACTCTTTTGGAAGAATCTGGAAGTGGACATTTGGAGCGCTTTGATGCCTTTGGTGAAAAGGAAACGTCTTCCAATAAAAGCCAGACAGAAGCATTCTCAGAAACTTGTTTGTGATGTGTGTACTCAACTAAAAGAGTTGAACCTTTCTATTGATAGAGCAGTTTTGAAACACTCTTTTTGTGGATTCTGCAAGTGGATATTTGGATTGCTTTGAGGATTTCATTGGAAGCGGGAATTCGTATAAAAACTAGACAGCAGCATTCCCAGAAATTTCTTTCGGATATTTCCATTCAACTCATTGAGATGAACATCGCCTTTCATAGAGCAGGTTTGAAACACTCTTTTTGTAGTTTGTGGAAGTGGACATTTCGATCGCCGTGACGCCTACAGTGAAAAAGGAAATATCTTCCCATAAACAATAGACAGAAGCATTCTCAGAAACTTGTTGGTGATATGTGTCCTCAACTAACAGAGTTGAACTTTGCCATTGATAGAGAGCAGTTTTGAAACACTCTTTTTGTGGAATCTGCAAGTGGATATTTGGATAGCTTGGAGGATTTCGTTGGAAGCGGGAATTCAAATAAAAGGTAGACAGCAGCATTCTCAGAAATTTCTTTCTGATGTCTGCATTCAACTCATAGAGTTGAAGATTCCCTTTCATAGAGCAGGTTTGAAACACTGTTTCTGGAGTATCTGGATGTGGACATTTGGAGCGCTTTGATGCCTACGGTGAGAAAGTAAATATCTTCCCATAAAAACGAGACAGAAGGATTCTGAGAAACAAGTTTGTGATGTGTGTACTCAGCTAACAGAGTGGAACCTCTCTTTTGATGCAGCAGTTTGGAAACACTCTTTTTGTAGAAACTGTAAGTGGATATTTGGATAGCTCTAATGATTTCGTTGGAAACGCGAATATCATCATCTAAAATCTAGACAGAAGCACTCTCAGAAACTACTTTTTGATATCTGCACTCAAGTCACAGAGTTGAACATTCGCTTTCTTAGAGCACTTTTGAAACACTCTTTTTGTAGTATCTGGAAGTGGACATTTGGAGCTCTTTGATGCCTTTGGTGAGAAAGGAAATGTCTTCCCATAAAAACTAGACAGAAGCATTCTCAGAAAGTTGTTTGTGATGTGTGTACCCAGCTAAAGGAGTTGAACATTTCTATTGATAGAGTAGTTTTGAAACACTCTTTTTGTGGAAAATGCAAGTGGATATTTGGATAGCTTGGAGGATTTCGTTGGAAGCGGGAATTCAAATAAAAGGTAGACAGCAGCAGCATTCTCAGAAATTTCTTTCTGATGTCTGCATTCAACTCATAGGGTTGAAGATTCCCTTTCATAGAGCAGGTTTGAAACACTCTTTCTGGAGTATCTGGATGTGGACATTTGGAGCGCTTTGATGCCTACGGTGAAAAAGTAAATATCTTCCCATAAAAACGAGACAGAAGGATTCTCAGAAACAAGTTTGTGATGTGTGTACTCAGCTAACAGAGTGGAACTTTTATTTTTACAGAGCAGCTTTGAAACTCTATTTTTGTGGATTCTGCAAATTGATATTTAGATTGCTTTAACGATATCGTTGGAAAAGGGAATATCGTCATACAAAATCTAGACAGAAGCATTCTCACAAACTTCTTTGTGATGTGTGTCCTCAACTAACAGAGTTGAACCTTTCTTTTGATGCAGCAATTTGGAAACACCCTTTTGGTAGAAACTGTAACTGGATATTTGCTTAGCTCTAACGATTTCGTTGGAAACGGGAATATCATCATCTGAAATCTAGACGGAAGCACTATTAGAAACTACTTGGTGATATCTGCATTCAAGTCACAGAGTTGAACATTACCTTACTTTGAGCACGTTTGAAACACTCTTTTGGAAGAATCTGGAAGTGGACATTTGGAGCGCTTTGATGCCTTTGGTGAAAAGGAAACGTCTTCCAATAAAAGCCAGACAGAAGCATTCTCAGAAACTTGTTCGTGATGTGTGTACTCAACTAAAAGAGTTGAACCTTTCTATTGATAGAGCAGTTTTGAAACACTCTTTTTGTGGATTCTGCAAGTGGATATTTGGATTGCTTTGAGGATTTCGTTGGAAGCGGGAATTCGTATAAACACTAGACAGCAGCATTCCCAGAAATTTCTTTCGGATATTTCCATTCAACTCATAGAGATGAACATGGCCTTTCATAGAGCAGGTTTGAAACACTCTTTTTGTAGTTTGTGGAAGTGGACATTTCGATAGCCTTGACGCCTACGGTGAAAAAGGAAATATCTTCCCATAAACAATAGACAGAAGCATTCTCAGAAACTTGTTGGTGATATGTGTCCTCAACTAACAGAGTTGAACTTTGCCATTGATAGAGAGCAGTTTTGAAACACTCTTTTTGTGGAATCTGCAAGTGGATATTTGGATAGCTTGGAGGATTTCGTTGGAAGCGGGAATTCAAATAAAAGGTAGACAGCAGCATTCTCAGAAATTTCTTTCTGATGTCTGCATTCAACTCATAGAGTTGAAGATTCCCTTTCATAGAGCAGGTTTGAAACACTCTTTCTGTAGTATCTGGATGTGGACATTTGGAGCGCTTTGATACATACGGTGAAAAAGGAAATATCTTCCCGTAAAAACTAGACAGAAGGATTCTCAGAAACAAGTTTGTGATGTGTGTACTCAGCTAATAGAGTGGATCCTTTCTTTTTACAGAGCAGCTTTGAAACTCTATTTCTGTGGATTCTGCAAATTGATATTTGGGTTGATTTAACGACATCGTTGGAAAAGGGAATATCTTCATACAAAATCTAGACAGAAGCATTCTCACAAACTTCTTTGTGATGTGTGTCCTCAACTAACAGAGTTGAACCTTTCTTTTGATGCAGCAGTTTGGAAACACCCTTTTGGTAGAAACTGTAAGTGGATATTTGGATAGCTCTAACGATTTCGTTGGAAACGGGAATATCATCATCTAAAATGCTAGACAGAAGCACTATTAGAAACTACTTGGTGATATCTGCATTCAAGTCACAGAGTTGAACATTCCCTTACTTTGAGCACGTTTGAAACACTCTTTTGGAAGAATCTGGAAGTGGACATTTGGAGCGCTTTGATGCCTTTGGTGAAAAGGAAACGTCTTCCAATAAAAGCCAGACAGAAGCATTCTCAGAAACTTGTTTGAGATGTGTGTACTCAACTAAAAGAGTTGAACCTTTCTATTGATAGAGCAGTTTTGAAACACTCTTTTTGTGGATTCTGCAAGTGGATATTTGGATTGCTTTGAGGATTTCGTTGGAAGCGGGAATTCGTATAACAACTAGACAGCAGCATTCCCAGAAATTTCTTTCGGATATTTCCATTCAACTCATAGAGATGAACATGGCCTTTCATAGAGCAGGTTTGAAACACTCTTTTTGTAGTTTGTGGAAGTGGACATTTCGATCGCCTTGACGCCTACGGTGAAAAAGGAAATATCTTCCCATAAAAAATAGACAGAAGCATTCTCAGAAACTTGTTGGTGATATGTGTCCTCAACTAACAGAGTTGAACTTTGCCATTGATAGAGAGCAGTTTTGAAACACTCTTTTTGTGGAATCTGCAAGTGGATATTTGGATAGTTTGGAGGATTTCGTTGGAAGCGGGAATTCAAATAAAAGGTAGACAGCAGCATTCTCAGAAATTTCTTTCTGATCTCTGCATTCAACTCATAGAGTTGAACATTCCCTTTCATAGGGCAGGTTTGAAATACTCTTTCTGTAGTATCTGGATGTGGACATTTGGAGCGCTTTGATGCCTACGGTGAAAAAGTAAATATCTTCCCATAAAAACGAGACAGAAGGATTCTGAGAAACAAGTTTGTGATGTGTGTACTCAGCTAACAGAGTGGAACCTCTGTTTTGATGCAGCAGTTTGGAAACACTCTTTTTGTAGAAACTGTAAGTGGATATTTGGATAGCTCTAATGATTTCGTTGGAAACGGGAATATCATCATCTAAAATCTAGACAGAAGCCCTCTCAGAAACTACTTTGTGATATCTGCATTCAAGTCACAGAGTTGAACATTCGCTTTCTTAGAGCACGTTGGAAACACTCTTTTTGTAGTGTCTGGAAGTGGACACTTGGAGCGCTTTGATGCCTTTGGTGAAAAAGGGAACGTCTTCCCATAAAAACTAGACAGAAGCATTCTCAGAAACTTGTTTGTGATGTGTGTACACAGCCAAAGGAGTTGAACATTTCTATTGATAGAGCAGTTTTGAAACACTCTTGTTGTGGAAAATGCAGGTGGATATTTGGATAGCTTGGAGGATTTCGTTGGAAGCGGGAATTCAAATAAAAGGTAGACAGCAGGATTCTGAGAGACAAGTTTGTGATGTGTGTACTCAGCTAACAGAGTGGAACCTTTCTTTTTACAGAGCAGCTTTGAAACTCTATTTTTGTGGATTCTGCAAATGGATATTTAGATTGCTTTAACGATATCGTTGGAAAAGGGAATATGGTCATACAAAATCTGGACAGAAGAATTCTCACAAACTTCTTTGTGATGTGTGTCCTCAACTAACAGAGTTGAACCTTTCTTTTGATGCAGCAGTTTGGAAACACCCTTTTGGTAGAAACTGTAAGTGGATATTTGGATAGCTCTAACGATTTCGTTGGAAACGGGAATATCATCATCTAAAATCTAGACAGAAGCACTATTAGAAACTTCTTGGTGATATCTGCATTCAAGTCACAGAGTTGAACATTCCCTTACTTCGAGCACGTTTGAAACACTCTTTTGGAAGAATCTGGAAGTGGACATTTGGAGCGCTTTGATGCCTTTGGTGAAAAGGAAACGTCTTCCAATAAAAGCCAGACAGAAGCATTACCAGAAATTTCTTTCGGATATTTCCATTCAACTCATAGAGAAGAACATGGCCTTTCATAGAGCAGGTTTGAAACACTCTTTTTGTAGTTTGTGGAAGTGGACATTTCGATCGCCTTGACGCCTACGGTGAAAAAGGAAATATCTTCCCATAAAAAATAGACAGAAGCATTCTCAGAAACTTGTTGGTGATATGTGTCCTCAACTAACAGAGTTGAACTTTGCCATTGATAGAGAGCAGTTTTGAAACACTCTTTTTGTGGAATCTGCAAGTGGATATTTGGATAGCTTGGAGGATTTCGTTGGAAGCGGGAATTCAAATAAAAGGTAGACAGCAGCATTCTCAGAAATTTCTTTCTGATGTCTGCATTCAACTCATAGAGTTGAAGATTCCCTTTCATAGAGCAGGTTTGAAACACTCTTTCTGGAGTATCTGGATGTGGACATTTGGAGCGCTTTGATGCCTACGGTGAAAAGTAAATATCTTCCCATAAAAACGAGACAGAGTATTCTCAGAAACAAGTTTGTGATGTGTGTACTCAGCTAACAGAGTGGATCCTTTCTTTTTACAGAGCAGCTTTGAAACTCTATTTCTGTGGATTCTGCAAATTGATATTTGGGTTGATTTAACGATATCGTTGGAAAAGGGAATATCTTCATACAAAATCTAGACAGAAGCATTCTCACAAACTTCTTTGTGACGTGTGTCCTCAACTAACAGAGTTGAACCTTTCTTTTGATGCAGCAGTTTGGAAACACTGTTTTTGTAGCAACTGTAAGTGGATATTTGGATAGATCTAACGATTTCGTTGGAAACGGGAATATCATCATCTAAAATCTAGACAGAAGCACTATTAGAAACTACTTGGTGATATCTGCATTCAAGTCACAGAGTAGAACATTCCCTTACTTCGACCACGTTTGAAACACTCTTTTGGAAGAATCTGGAAGTGGACATTTGGAGCACTTTGATGCCTTTGGTGAAAAGGAAACGTCTTCCAATAAAAGCCAGACAGAAGCATTCTCAGAAACTTGTTTGTGATGTGTGTACTCAACTAAAAGAGTTGAACCTTTCTATTGATAGAGCGGTTTTGAAACACTCTTTTTGTGGATTCTGCAAGTGGATATTTGGATTGCTTTGAGGATTTCGTTGGAAGCGGGAATTCATATAAAAACTAGACAGCAGCATTCCCAGAAATTTCTTTCGGATATTTCCATTCAACTCATTGAGATGAACATCGCCTTTCATAGAGCAGGTTTGAAACACTCTTTTTGTAGTTTGTGGAAGTGGACATTTCGATCTCCTTGACGCCTACAGTGAAAAAGGAAATATCTTCCCATAAAAAATAGACAGAAGCATTCTCAGAAACTTGTTTGTGATGTGTGCACCCAGCTAAAGGAGTTGAACATTTCTATTGATAGAGCAGTTTTGAAGCACTCTTTTTGTGGAAAATGCAAGTGGATATTTCGATAGCTTGGAGGATTTCGTTGGAAGCGGGAGTTCAAATAAAAGGTAGACAGCAGCATTCTCAGAAATTTCTTTCTGATGTCTGCATTCAACTCATAGAGTTGAAGATTCCCTTTCATAGAGCAGGTTTGAAACACTCTTTCTGGAGTATCTGGATGTGGACATTTGGAGCGCTTTGATGCCTACGGTGAAAAAGTAAATATCTTCCCAGAAAAACGAGACAGAAAGGATTCTCAGAAACAAGTTTGTGATGTGTGTACTCAGCTAACAGAGTGGAACCTTTCTTTTGACAGAGCAGCTTTGAAACTCTATTTTTGTGGATTCTGCAAATGGATATTTAGATTGCTTTAACGATATCGTTGGAAAAGGGAATATCGTCATACAAAATCTGGACAGAAGCTTTCTCAGAAACTTCTCTGTGATGTGTGTCCTCAACTCACAGAGTTGAACCTTTCTTTAGATGCAGCAGTTTGGAAACACTTTTTTTGTAGAAACTGTAAGTGGATATTTGGGTAGGTCTAACGATATCATTGGAAACGGGAATACCTTCATCTAAAGTATACACAGAAGCACTATTAGAAACTACTTGGTGATATCTGCATTCAAGTCACAGAGTTGAACATTCCCTTACTTTGAGCACGTTTGAAACACTCTTTTGGAAGAATCTGGAAGTGGACATTTGGAGCGCTTTGATGTCTTTGGTGAAAAGGAAACGTCTTCCAATAAAAGCCAGACAGAAGCATTCTCAGAAACTTGTTTGTGATGTGTGTACTCAACTAAAAGAGTTGAACCTTTCTATTGATAGAGCAGTTTTGAAACACTCTTTTTGTGGATTCTGCAAGTGGATATTTGGATTGCTTTGAGGATTTCGTTGGAAGCGGGAATTCGGTATAAAAACTAGACAGCAGCATTCCCAGAAATTTCTTTCGGATATTTCCATTCGACTCATAGAGATGAACATGGCCTTTCATAGAGCAGGTTTGAAACACTCTTTTTGTAGTTTGTGGAAGTGGACATTTCGATCGCCTTGACACCTACGGTGAAAAAGGAAATATCTTCCCATAAAAAATAGACAGAAGCATTCTCAGAAACTTGTTGGTGATATGTGTCCTCAACTAACAGAGTTGAACTTTGCCATTGATAGAGAGCAGTTTTGAAACACTCTTTTTGTGGAATCTGCAAGTGGATATTTGGATAGCTTGGAGGATTTCGTTGGAAGCGGGAATTCAAATAAAAGGTAGACAGCAGCATTCTCAGAAATTTCTTTCTGATGTCTGCATTCAACTCATAGAGTTGAACATTCCCTTTCATAGAGCAGGTTTGAAACACTCTTTCTGGAGTATCTGGATGTGGACATTTGGAGCACTTTGATGCCTACGGTGAAAAAGTAAATATCTTCCCATAAAAACGAGACAGAAGGATTCTCAGAAACAAGTTTGTGATGTGTGTACTCAGCTAACAGAGTGGAACCTTTCTTTTTACAGAGCAGCTTTGAAACTCTATTGTTGTGGATTCTGCAAATTGATATTTAGATTGCTTTAACGATATCATTGGAAAAGGGAATATCGTCATACAAAATCTAGACAGAAGCATTCTCACAAACTTCTTTGTGATGTGTGTCCTCAACTAACAGAGTTGAACTTTTCTTTTGATGCAGCAGTTTGGAAACACTGTTTTTGTAGAAACTGTAAGTGGATATTTGGATAGCTCTAACGATTTCATTGGAAACGGGAATATCATCATCTAAAATCTAGACAGAAACACTATTAGAAACTACTTGGTGATATCTGCATTCAAGTCACAGAGTTGAACATTCCCTTACTTTGAGCACGTTTCAAACACTCTTTTGGAAGAATCTGGAAGTGGACATTTGGAGCGCTTTGATGCCTTTGGTGAAAAGGAAACGTCTTCCAATAAAAGCCAGACAGAAGCATTCTCAGAAACTTGTTTGTGATGTGTGTACTCAACTAAAAGAGGTGAACCTTTCTATTGATAGAGCAGTTTTGAAACACTCTTTTTGTGGATTCTGCAAGTGGATATTTGGATTGCTTTGAGGATTTCGTTGGAAGCGGGAATTCATATAAAAACTAGACAGCAGCATTCCCAGAAATTTCTTTCGGATATTTCCATTCAACTCATAGAGGTGAACATGGCCTTTCATAGAGCAGGTTTGAAACACTCTTTTTGTAGTTTGTGGAAGTGGACATTTCGATCGCCTTGACGCCTACGCTGAAAAAGGAAATATCTTCCCATAAAAAATAGACAGAAGCATTCTCAGAAACTTGTTGGTGATATGTGTCCTCAACTAACAGAGTTGAACTTTGCCATTGATAGAGAGCAGTTTTGAAACACTCTTTTTGTGGAATCTGCAAGTGGATATTTGGATAGCTTGGAGGATTTCGTTGGAAGCGGGAATTCAAATAAAAGGTAGACAGCAGGATTCTGAGAAACAAGTTTGTGATGTGTGTACTCAGCTAACAGAGTGGAACCTTTCTTTTTACAGAGCAGCTTTGAAACTCTATTTTTGTGGATTCTGCAAATGGATATTTAGATTGCTTTAATGATATCGTTGGAAAAGGGAATATCGTCATACAAAATCTGGACAGAAGCATTCTCACAAACTTCTTTGTGATGTGTGTCCTCAACTAACAGAGTTGAACCTTTCTTTTGATGCAGCAGTTTGCAAACACCCTTTTGGTAGAAACTGTAACTGTATATTTGGATAGCTCTAACGATTTCGTTGGAAACGGGAATATCATCATCTAAAATCTAGACAGAAGCACTATTAGAAACTACTTGGTGATATCTGCATTCAAGTCACAGAGTTGAACATTCCCTTACTTTGAGTACGTTTCAAACACTCTTTTGGAAGAATCTGGAAGTGGACATTTGGAGCGCTTTGATGCCTTTGGTGAAAAGGAAACGTCTTCCAATAAAAGCCAGACAGAAGCATTCTCAGAAACTTTTTTGTGATGTGTGTACTCAACTAAAAGAGTTGAACCTTTCTATTGATAGAGCAGTTTTGAAACACTCTTTTTGTGGATTCTGCAAGTGGATATTTGGATTGCTTTGAGGATTTCGTTGGAAGCGGGAATTCATATAAACACTAGACAGCAGCATTCCCAGAAATTTCTTTCGGATATTTCCATTCGACTCATAGAGATGAACATGGCCTTTCATAGAGCAGGTTTGAAACACTCTTTTTGTAGTTTGTGGAAGTGGACATTTCGATCGCCTTGACGCCTACGGTGAAAAAGGAAATATCTTCCCATAAAAAATAGACAGAAGCATTCTCAGAAACTTGTTGGTGATATGTGTCCTCAACTAACAGAGTTGAACTTTGCCATTGATAGAGAGCAGTTTTGAAACACTCTTTTTGTGGAATCTGCAAGTGGATATTTGGATAGCTTGGAGGATTTCGTTGGAAGCGGGAATTCAAATAAAAGGTAGACAGCAGCATTCTCAGAAATTTCTTTCTGATGTCTGCATTCAACCTCATAGAGTTGAAGATTCCCTTTCATAGAGCAGGTTTGAAACACTCTTTCTGGAGTATCTGGATGTGGACATTTGGAGCGCTTTGATGCCTACGGTGAAAAAGTAAATATCTTCCCATAAAAACGACACAGAAGGATTCTCAGAAACAAGTTTGTGATGTGTGTACTCAGCTAACAGAGTGGAACCTCTCTTTTGATGCAGCAGTTTGGAAACACTCTTTTTGTAGAAACTGTAAGTGGATATTTGGATAGCTCTAATGATTTCGTTGGAAACGGGAATATCATCATCTAAAATCTAGACAGAAGCACTCTCAGAAACTACTTTTTGATATCTGCATTCAAGTCACAGAGTTGAACATGCGCTTTCTGAGAGCACTTTTGAAACACTCTTTTTGTAGTATCTGGAAGTGGACATTTGGAGCTCTTTGATGCCTTTGGTGAAAAAGGAAATGTCTTCCCATAAAAACTAGACAGAAGCATTCTCAGAAACTTGTTTGTGATGTGTGTACCCAGCCAAAGGAGTTGAACATTTCTATTGATAGAGCAGTTTTGAAACACTCTTGTTGTGGAAAATGCAGGTGGATATTTGGATAGCTTGGAGGATTTCGTTGCAAGCGGGAATTCAAATAAAAGGTAGACAGCCAGCATTCTCAGAAATTTCTTTCTGATGTCTGCATTCAACTCATAGAGTTGAAGATTCCCTTTCATAGAGCAGGTTTGAAACACTCGTTCTGGAGTATCTGGATGTGGACATTTGGAGCGCTTTGATGCCTACGGTGGAAAAGTAAATATCTTCCCATAAAAACGAGACAGAGGATTCTCAGAAACAAGTTTGTGATGTGTGTACTCAGCTAACAGAGTGGAACCTTTCTTTTTACAGAGCAGCTTTGAAACTCTATTTTTGTGGATTCTGCAAATTGATATTTAGATTGCTTTAACGATATCATTGGAAAAGGGAATATCGTCATACAAAATCTGGACAGAAGCATTCTCACAAACTTCTTTGTGATGTGTGTCCTCAACTAACAGAGTTGAACCTTTCTTTTGATGCAGCAATTTGGAAACACCCTTTTGGTAGAAACTGTAACTGGATATTTGGATAGCTCTAACGATTTCGTTGGAAACGGGAATATAATCATCTAAAATGTAGACAGAAGCACTATTAGAAACTACTTGGTGATATCTGCATTCAAGTCACAGAGTTGAACATTCCCTTACTTTGAGCACGTTTGAAACACTCTTTTGGAAGAATCTGGAAGTGGACATTTGGAGCGCTTTGATGCCTTTGGTGAAAAGGAAACGTCTTCCAATAAAAGCCAGAGAGAAGCATTCTCAGAAACTTGTTCGTGATGTGTGTACTCAACTAAAAGGGTTGAACCTTTCTATTGATAGAGCAGTTTTGAAACACTCTTTTTGTGGATTCTGCAAGTGGATATTTGGATTGCTTTGAGGATTTCGTTGGAAGCGGGAATTCGTATAAACACTAGACAGCAGCATTCCCAGAAATTTCTTTCGGATATTTCCATTCAACTCATAGAGATGAACATGGCCTTTCATAGAGCAGGTTTGAAACACTCTTTTTGTAGTTTGTGGAAGTGGACATTTCGATCGCCTTGACGCCTACGCTGAAAAAGGAAATATCTTCCCATAAAAAATAGACAGAAGCATTCTCAGAAACTTGTTGGTGATATGTGTCCTCAACTAACAGAGTTGAACTTTGCCATTGATAGAGAGCAGTTTTGAAACACTCTTTTTGTGGAATCTGCAAGTGGATATTTGGATAGCTTGGAGGATTTCGTTGGAAGCGGGAATTCAAATAAAAGGTAGACAGCAGGATTCTGAGAAACAAGTTTGTGATGTTTGTACTCAGCTAACAGATTGGAACCTCTCCTTTGATGCAGCAGTTTGGAAACACTCTTTTTGTAGAAACTGTAAGTGGATATTTGGATAGCTCTAATGATTTCGTTGGAAACGGGAATATCATCATCTAAAATCTAGACAGAAGCACTCTCAGAAACTACTTTGTGATATCTGCATTCAAGTCACAGAGTTGAACATTCGCTTTCTTAGAGCGCGTTTGAAACACTCTTTTTGTAGTGTCTGGAAGTGGACATTTGGAGCGCTTTGATGCCTTTGGTGAAAAAGGGAATGTCTTCCCATAAAAACTAGACAGAAGCATTCTCAGAAACTTGTTTGTGATGTGTGTACCCAGCCAAAGCAGTTGAACATTTCTATTGATAGAGCAGTTTTGAAACACTCTTGTTGTGGAAAATGCAGGTGGATATTTGGATAGCTTGGAGGATTTCGTTGGAAGCGGGAATTCAAATAAAAGGTAGACAGCAGCATTCTCAGAAATTTCTTTCTGATGTCTGCATTCAACTCATAGAGTTGAGGATTCCCTTTCATAGAGGAGGTTTGAAACACTCGTTCTGGAGTATCTGGATGTGGACATTTGGAGCGCTTTGATGCCTACGGTGGAAAAGTAAATATCTTCCCATAAAAACGAGACAGAAGGATTCTCAGAAACAAGTTTGTGATGTGTGTACTCAGCTAACAGAGTGGAACCTTTGTTTTTACAGAGCAGCTTTGAA
This sequence comes from Homo sapiens, assembly GCF_000001405.40. Classification (NCBI taxonomy): domain Eukaryota; kingdom Metazoa; phylum Chordata; class Mammalia; order Primates; family Hominidae; genus Homo; species Homo sapiens. The sequence goes on from NC_000021.9 coordinate 12,391,538, forward strand.
ACTCTAGTTTTGTGGATTCTGCAAATTGATATTTAGATTGCTTTAACGATATCGTTGGAAAAGGGAATATCGTCATACAAAATCTAGACAGAAGCATTCTCACAAACTTCTTTGTGATGTGTGTCCTCAACTAACAGAGTTGAACCTTTCTTTTGATGCAGCAGTTTGGAAACACTCTTTTTGTAGAAACTGTAAGTGGATATTTGGATAGCTCTAAAGATTTCGTTGGAAACGGGAATATCATCATCTAAAATCTAGACAGAAGCACTATTAGAAACTACTTGGTGATATCTGCATTCAAGTCACAGAGTTGAACATTCCCTTACTTTGAGCACGTTTGAAACACTCTTTTGGAAGAATCTGGAAGTGGACATTTGGAGCGCTTTGATGCCTTTGGTGAAAAGGAAACGTCTTCCAATAAAAGCCAGACAGAAGCATTCTCAGAAACTTGTTTGTGATGTGTGTACTCAACTAAAAGAGTTGAACCTTTCTATTGATAGAGCAGTTTTGAAACACTCTTTTTGTGGATTCTGCAAGTGGATATTTGGATTGCTTTGAGGATTTTGTTGTAAGCGGGAATTCGTATAAAAACTAGACAGCAGCATTCCCAGAAATTTCTTTCGGATATTTCCATTCAACTCATAGAGATGAACATGGCCTTTCATAGAGCAGGTTTGAAACACTCTTTTTGTAGTTTGTGGAAGTGGACATTTCGATCGCCTTGACGCCTACGGTGAAAAAGGAAATATCTTCCCATAAAAAATAGACAGAAACATTCTCAGAAACTTGTTGGTGATATGTGTCCTCAACTAACAGAGTTGAACTTTGCCATTGATAGAGAGCAGTTTTGAAACACTCTTTTTGTGGAATCTGCAAGTGGATATTTGGATAGCTTGGAGGATTTCGTTGGAAGCGGGAATTCAAATAAAAAGTAGACAGCAGCATTCTCAGAAATTTTTTTCTGATGTCTGCATTCAACTCATAGAGTTGAAGATTCCCTTTCATAGAGCAGGTTTGAAACACTCTTTCTGGAGTATCTGGATGTGGACATTTGGAGCGCTTTGATGCCTACGGTGAAAAAGTAAATATCTTCCCATAAAAACGAGACAGAAGGATTCTGAGAAACAAGTTTGTGATGTGTATACTCAGCTAACAGAGTGGAACCTCTCTTTTGATGCAGCAGTTTGGAAACACTCTTTTTGTAGAAACTGTAAGTGGATATTTGGAAGCTCTAATGATTTTGTTGGAAACGGGAATATCATCATCTAAAATCTAGACAGAAGCACTCTCAGAAACTACTTTGTGATATCTGCATTCAAGTCACAGAGTTGAATATTCGCTTTCTTAGAGCACGTTGGAAACACTCTTTTTGTAGTGTCTGGAAGTGGACATTTGGAGCGCTTTGATGCCTTTGGTGAAAAAGGGAATGTCTTCCCATAAAAACTAGACACAAGCATTCTCAGAAACTTGTTTGTGATGTGTGTACCCAACTAAAGGAGTTGAACATTTCTATTGATAGAGCAGTTTTGAAACACTCTTTTTGTGGAAAATGCAAGTGGATATTTGGATAGCTTGGAGGATTTCGTTGGAAGCGGGAATTCAAATAAAAGGTAGACAGCAGGATTCTGAGAAACAAGTTTGCGATGTGTGTACTCAGCTAACAGAGTGGAACCTTTCTTTTTACAGAGCAGCTTTGAAACTCTATTTTTGTGGATTCTGCAAATGGATATTTAGATTGCTTTAACGATATCGTTGGAAAAGGGAATATCGTCATACAAAATCTAGACAGAAGCATTCTCACAAACTTCTTTGTGATGTGTGTCCTCAACTAACAGAGTTGAACCTTTCTTTTGATGCAGCAGTTTGGAAACACTGTTTTTGTAGCAACTGTAAGTGGATATTTGGATAGCTCTAACGATTTCGTTGGAAACGGGAATATCATCATCTAAAATCTAGACAGAAGCACTATTAGAAACTACTTGGTGATATCTGCATTCAAGTCACAGAGTTGAACATTCCCTTACTATGAGCACGTTTGAAACACTCTTTTGGTAGAATCTGGAAGTGGACATTTGGAGCGCTTTGATGCCTTTGGTGAAAAGGAAACGTCTTCCAATAAAAGCCAGACAGAAGCATTAACAGAAACTTGTTTGTGATGTGTGTACTCAACTAAAAGAGTTGAACCTTTCTATTGATAGAGCAGTTTTGAAACACTCTTTTTGTGGATTCTGCAAGTGGATATTTGGATTGCTTTGAGGATTTCGTTGGAAGCAGGAATTCGTATAAAAACTAGACAGCAGCATTCCCAGAAATTTCTTTCGGATATTTCCATTCGACTCATAGAGATGAACATGGCCTTTCATAGAGCAGGTTTGAAACACTCTTTTTGTAGTTTGTGGAAGTGGACATTTCGATCGCCTTGACGCCTACGGTGAAAAAGGAAATATCTTCCCATAAAAAATAGACAGAAGCATTCTCAGAAACTTGTTGGTGATATGTGTCCTCAACTAACAGAGTTGAACTTTGCCATTGATAGAGAGCAGTTTTGAAACACTCTTTTTGTGGAATCTGCAAGTGGATATTTGGATAGCTTGGAGGATTTCGTTGGAAGCGGGAATTCAAATAAAAGGTAGACAGCAGCATTCTCAGAAATTTCTTTCTGATGTCTGCATTCAACTCATAGTGTTGAAGATTCCCTTTCATAGAGCAGGTTTGAAACACTCTTTCTGGAGTATCTGGATGTGGACATTTGGAGCGGTTTGATGCCTACGGTGAAAAAGTAAATATCTTCCCATAAAAACGAGACAGAAGGATTCTGAGAAACAAGTTTGTGATGTGTGTACTCAGCTAACAGAGTGGAACCTCTCTTTTGATGCAGCAGTTTGGAAACACTCTTTTTGTAGAAACTGTAAGTGGATATTTGGATAGCTCTAATGATTTCGGTTGGAAACGGGAATATCATCATCTAAAATCTAGACAGAAGCCCTCTCAGAAACTACTTTGTGATATCTGCATTCAAGTCACAGAGTTGAACATTCGCTTTCTTAGAGCACGTTTGAAACACTCTTTTTGTAGTGTCTGGAAGTGGACATTTGGAGCGCTTTGATGCCTTTGGTGAAAAAGGGAATGTCTACCCATAAAAACTAGACAGAAGCATTCTCACAAACTTGTTTGTGATGTGTGTACCCAGCCAAAGGAGTTGAACATTTCTATTGATAGAGCAGTTTTGAAACACTCTTGTTGTGGAAAATGCAGGTGGATATTTGGATAGCTTGGAGGATTTCGTTGGAAGCGGGAATTCAAATAAAAGGTAGACAGCAGCATTCTCAGAAATTTCTTTCTGATGTCTGCATTCAACTCATAGAGTTGAAGATTCCCTTTCATAGAGCAGGTTTGAAACACTGTTTCTGGAGTATCTGGATGTGGACATTTGGAGGGCTTTGATGCCTACGGTGAAAAAGTAAATATCTTCCCATAAAAACGAGACAGAAGGATTCTCAGAAACAAGTTTGTGATGTGTGTACTCAGCTAACAGAGTGGAACCTTTCTTTTTACAGAGCAGCTTTGAAACTCTATTTTTGTGGATTCTGCAAATTGATATTGAGATTGCTTTAACGATATCGTTGGAAAAGGGAATATCGTCATACAAAATCTAGACAGAAGCATTCTCACAAACTTCTTTGTGATGTGTGTCCTCAACTAACAGAGTTGAACCTTTCTTTTAATGCAGCAGTTTGGAAACACCCTTTTGGTAGAAACTGTAAGTGGATATTTTGATAGCTCTAACGATTTCGTTGGAAACGGGAATATCATCATCTAAAATCTAGACAGAAGCACTATTAGAAACTACTTGGTGATATCTGCATTCAAGTCACAGAGTTGAACATTCCCTTACTTTGAGCACGTTTGAAACACTCTTTTGGAAGAATCTGGAAGTGGACATTTGGAGCGCTTTGATGCCTTTGGTGAAAAGGAAACGTCTTCCAATAAAAGCCAGACAGAAGCATTCTCAGAAACTTGTTCGTGATGTGTGTACTCAACTAAAAGAGTTGAACCTTTCTATTGATAGAGCAGTTTTGAAACACTCTTTTTGTGGATTCTGCAAGTGGATATTTGGATTGCTTTGAGGATTTCGTTGGAAGCGGGAATTTGGTATAAACACTAGACAGCAGCATTCCCAGAAATTTCTTTCGGATATTTCCATTCAACTCATAGAGATGAACATGGCCTTTCATAGAGCAGGTTTGAAACACTCTTTTTGTAGTTTGTGGAAGTGGACATTTCGATCGCCTTGACGCCTACGGTGAAAAAGGAAATATCTTCCCATAAAAAATAGACAGAAGCATTCTCAGAAACTTGTTGGTGATATGTGTCCTCAACTAACAGAGTTGAACTTTGCCATTGATAGAGAGCAGTTTTGAAACACTCTTTTTGTGGAATCTGCAAGTGGATATTTGGATAGCTTGGAGGATTTCGTTGGAAGCGGGAATTCAAATAAAAGGTAGACAGCAGCATTCTCAGAAATTTCTTTGTGATGTTTGCATTCAACTCATAGAGTTGAACATTCCCTTTCATAGAGCAGGTTTGAAACATTCTTTCTGTACTATCTGGATGTGGACATTTGTAACGCTTTGATGCCTACGGTGAAAAAGTAAATATCTTCCCATAAAAACTAGACAGAAGGATTCTCAGAAACAAGTTTGTGATGTGTGTACTCAGCTAACAGAGTGGAACCTCTCTTTTGACGCAGCAGTTTGGAAACACTCTTTTTGTAGAAACTGTAAGTGGATATTTGGAAAGCTCTAATGATTTCGTTGGAAACGGGAATATCATCATCTAAAATCTAGACAGAAGCACTCTCAGAAACTACTTTGTGATATCTGCATTCAAGTCACAGAGTTGAACATTCGCTTTCTTAGAGCACTTTTGAAACACTCTTTTTGTAGTATCTGGAAGTGGACATTTGGAGCTCTTTGATGCCTTTGGTGAAAAAGGAAATGTCTTTCCATAAAAACTAGACAGAAGCATTCTCAGAAACTTGTTTGTGATGTGTGAACCCAGCGAAAGGAGTTGAACATTTCTATTGATAGAGCAGTTTTGAAACACTCTTTTTGTGGAATCTGCAAGTGGATATTTGGATAGCTTGGAGGTTTTCGTTGGAAGCGGGAATTCAAATAAAAGGTAGACAGCCAGCATTCTCAGAAATTTCTTTCTGATGTCTGCATTCAACTCATAGAGTTGAAGATTCCCTTTCATAGAGCAGGTTTGAAACACTCTTTCTGGAGTATCTGGATGTGGACATTTGGAGCGCTTTGATGCCTACGGTGAAAAAGTAAATATCTTCCCATAAAAACGAGACAGAAGGATTCTCAGAAACAAATTTGTGATGTGTGTACTCAGCTAACAGAGTGGAACCTTTCTTTTTACAGAGCAGCTTTGAAACTCTATTGTTGTGGATTCTGCAAATTGATATTTAGATTGCTTTAACGATATCGTTGGAAAAGGGAATACCGTCATACAAAATCTAGACAGAAGCATTCTCACAAACTTCTTTGTGATGTGTGTCCTCAACTAACAGAGTTGAACCTTTCTTTTGATGCAGCAGTTTGGAAACACTCTTTTTGTAGAAACTGTAACTGGATATTTGGATAGATCTAACGATTTCGTTGGAAACGGGAATATCATCATCTAAAATCTAGACAGAAACACTATTAGAAACTACTTGGTGATATCTGCATTCAAGTCACAGAGTTGAACATTCCCTTACTTCGACCACGTTTGAAACACTCTTTTGGAAGAATCTGGAAGTGGACATTTGGAGCGCTTTGATGCCTTTGGTGAAAAGGAAACGTCTTCCAATAAAAGCCAGACAGAAGCATTCTCAGAAACTTGTTTGTGATGTGTGTACTCAACTAAAAGAGTTGAACCTTTCTATTGATAGAGCAGTTTTGAAACACTCTTTTTGTGGATTCTGCAAGTGGATATTTGGATTGCTTTGAGGATTTCGTTGGAAGCGGGAATTCATATAAAAACTAGACAGCAGCATTCCCAGAAATTTCTTTCGGATATTTCCATTCAACTCATAGAGATGAACATGGCCTTTCATAGAGCAGGTTTGAAACACTCTTTTTGTAGTTTGTGGAAGTGGACATTTCGATCGCCTTGACGCCTACGGTGAAAAAGGAAATATCTTCCCATAAAAAATAGACAGAAGCACTCTCAGAAACTTGTTGGTGATATGTGTCCTCAACTAACAGAGTTGAACTTTGCCATTGATAGAGAGCAGTTTTGAAACACTCTTTTTGTGGAATCTGCAAGTGGATATTTGGATAGCTTGGAGGATTTCGTTGGAAGCGGTAATTCAAATAAAAGGTAGACAGCAGCATTCTCAGAAATTTCTTTCTGATGTCTGCATTCAACTCATAGAGTTGAGCATTCCCTTTCATAGGGCAGGTTTGAAATACTCTTTCTGTAGTATCTGGATGTGGACATTTGGAGCGCTTTGAGGCCTACGAAGAAAAAGTAAATATCTTCCCATAAAAACGAGACAGAAGGATTCTCAGAAACAAGTTTGTGATGTGTGTACTCAGCTAACAGAGTGGAACCTCTCTTCTGATGCAGCAGTTTGGAAACACTCTTTTTGTAGAAACTGTAAGTGGATATTTGGATAGCTCTAATGATTTCGTTGGAAATGGGAATATCATCAACTAAAATCTAGACAGAAGCACTCTCAGAAACTACTTTGTGATATCTGCATTCAGGTCACAGAGTTGAACATTCGCTTTCTTAGAGCACGTTTGAAACACTCTTTTTGTAGTGTCTGGAAGTGGACATTTGGAGCGCTTTGATGCCTTTGGTGAAAAAGGGAATGTCTTCCCATAAAAACTAGACAGAAGCATTCTCAGAAACTTGTTTGTGATGTGTGTACCCAGCCAAAGGAGTTGAACATTTCTATTGATAGAGCAGTTTTGAAACACTCTTGTTGTGGAAAATGCAGGTGGATATTTGGATAGCTTGGAGGATTTCGTTGGAAGCAGGAATTCAAATAAAAGGTAGACAGCAGCATTCTCAGAAATTTCTTTCTGATGTCTGCATTCAACTCATAGAGTTGAAGATTCCCTTTCATAGAGCAGGTTTGAAACACTCTTTCTGGAGTATCTGGATGTGGACATTTGGAGCGCTTTGATGCCTACGGTGGAAAAGGAAATATCTTCCCATAAAAACGAGACAGAAGGATTCTCAGAAACAAGTTTGTGATGTGTGTACTCAGCTAACAGAGTGGAACATTTCTTTTTACAGAGCAGCTTTGAAACTCTATTTTTCTGGATTCTGCAAATTGATATTTAGATTGCTTTAACGATATCGTTGGAAAAGGGAATATCGTCATACAAAATCTAGACAGAAGCATTCTCACAAACTTGTTTGTGATGTGTGTCCTCAACTAACAGAGTTGAACCTTTCTTTTGATGCAGCAATTTGGAAACACCCTTTTGGTAGAAACTGTAACTGGATATTTGGATAGCTCTAACGATTTCGTTGGAAACGGGAATATCATCATCTAAAATGTAGACAGAAGCACTATTAGAAACTACTTGGTGATATCTGCATTCAAGTCACAGAGTTGAACATTCCCTTACTTTGAGCACGTTTGAAACACTCTTTTGGAAGAATCTGGAAGTGGACATTTGGAGCGCTTTGATGCCTTTGGTGAAAAGGAAACGTCTTCCAATAAAAGCCAGACAGAAGCATTCTCAGAAACTTGTTCGTGATGTGTGTACTCAACTAAAAGAGTTGAACCTTTCTATTGATAGCGCAGTTTTGAAACACTCTTTTTGTGGATTCTGCAAGTGGATATTTGGATTGCTTAGAGGATTTCGTTGGAAGCGGGAATTCGTATAAACACTAGACAGCAGCATTCCCAGAAATTTCTTTCGGATATTTCCATTCAACTCATAGAGATGAACATGGCCTTTCATAGAGCAGGTTTGAAACACTCTTTTTGTAGTTTGTGGAAGTGGACATTTCGATCGCCTTGACGCCTACGCTGAAAAAGGAAATATCTTCCCATAAAAAATAGACAGAAGCATTCTCAGAAACTTGTTGGTGATATGTGTCCTCAACTAACAGAGTTGAACTTTGCCATTGATAGAGAGCAGTTTTGAAACACTCTTTTTGTGGAATCTGCAAGTGGATATTTGGATAGCTTGGAGGATTTCGTTGGAAGCGGGAATTCAAATAAAAGGTAGACAGCAGCATTCTCAGAAATTTCTTTCTGATGTCTGCATTCAACTCATAGAGTTGAAGATTCCCTTTCATAGAGCAGGTTTGAAACACTCTTTCTGGAGTATCTGGATGTGGACATTTGGAGCGCTTTGATGCCTACGGTGAAAAAGTAAATATCTTGCCATAAAAACGACACAGAAGGATTCTCAGAAAGAAGTTTGTGATGTGTGTACTCAGCTAACAGAGTGGAACCTCTCTTTTGAAGCAGCAGTTTGGAAACACTCTTTTTGTAGAAACTGTAAGTGGATATTTGGATAGCTCTAATGATTTCGTTGGAAACGGGAATATCATCATCTAAAATCTAGACAGAAAGCCCTCTCAGAAACTACTCTGTGATATCTGCATTCAAGTCACAGAGTTGAACATTCGTTTTCTTAGAGCACGTTTGAAACACTCTTTTTGTAGTGTCTGGAAGTGGACATTTGGAGCGCTTTGATGCCTTTGGTGAAAAAGGGAATGTCTTCCCATAAAAACTAGACAGAAGCATTCGCAGAAACTTGTTTGTGATGTGTGCACCCAGCTAAAGGAGTTGAACATTTATTGATAGAGCAGTTTTGAAGCACTCTTTTTGTGGAAAATGCAAGTGGATATTTGGATAGCTTGGAGGATTTCGTTGGAAGCGGGAGTTCAAATAAAAGGTAGACAGCAGCATTCTCAGAAATTTCTTTCTGATGTCTGCATTCAACTCATAGAGTTGAAGATTCCCTTTCATAGAGCAGGTTTGAAACACTCTTTCTGGAGTATCTGGATGTGGACATTTGGAGCGCTTTGATGCCTACGGTGAAAAAGTAAATATCTTCCCATAATAACGAGACAGAAGGATTCTGAGAAACAAGTTTGTGATGTGTGTACTCAGCTAACAGAGTGGAACCTTTCTTTTTACAGAGCAGCTTTGGAACTCTATTTTTGTGGATTCTGCAAATGGATATTTAGATTGCTTTAATGATATCGCTGGAAAAGGGAATATGGTCATACAAAATCTAGACAGAAGCATTCTCACAAACTTCTTTGTGATGTGTGTCCTCAACTAACAGAGTTGAACTTTTCTTTTGATGCAGCAGTTTGGAAACACTCTTTTTGTAGAAACTGTAAGTGGATATTTGGATAGCTCTAACGATTTCGTTGGAAACGGGAATATCATCATCTAAAATCTAGACAGAAGCACTATTAGAAACTACTTGGTGATATCTGCATTCAAGTCACAGAGTTGAACATTCCCTTACTTTGAGCACGTTTGAAACACTCTTTTGGAAGAATCTGGAAGTGGACATTTGGAGCGCTTTGATGCCTTTGGTGAAAAGGAAACGTCTTCCAATAAAAGCCAGACAGAAGCATTCTGAGAAACTTGTTCGTGATGTGTGTACTCAACTAAAAGAGTTGAACCTTTCTATTGATAGAGCAGTTTTGAAACACTCTTTTTGTGGATTCTGCAAGTGGATATTTGGATTGCTTTGAGGATTTCGTTGGAAGCGGGAATTCGGTATAAACACTAGACAGCAGCATTCCCAGAAATTTCTTTCGGATATTTCCATTCAACTCATAGAGATGAACATGGCCCTTCATAGAGCAGGTTTGAAACACTCTTTTTGTAGTTTGTGGAAGTGGACATTTCGATCGCCTTGACGCCTACGGTGAAAAAGGAAATATCTTCCCATAAACAATAGACAGAAGCATTCTCAGAAACTTGTTGGTGATATGTGTCCTCAACTAACAGAGTTGAACTTTGCCATTGATAGAGAGCAGTTTTGAAACACTCTTTTTGTGGAATCTGCAAGTGGATATTTGGATAGCTTGGAGGATTTCGTTGGAAGCGGGAATTCAAATTAAAGGTAGACAGCAGCATTCTCAGAAATTTTTTCTGATGTCTGCATTCAACTCATAGAGTTGAAGATTCCCTTTCATAGAGCAGGTTTGAAACACTCTTTCTGGAGTATCTGGATGTGGACATTTGGAGCGCTTTGATGCCTACGGTGAAAAAGTAAATATCTTCCCATAAAAACGAGACAGAAGGATTCTGAGAAACAAGTTTGTGATGTGTGTACTCAGCTAACAGAGTGGAACCTCTCTTTTGATGCAGCAGTTTGGAAACACTCTTTTTGTAGAAACTGTAAGTGGATATTTGGATAGCTCTAATGATTTTGTTGGAAACGGGATTATCATCATCTAAAATCTAGACAGAAGCACTCTCAGAAACTACTTTGTGATATCTGCATTCAAGTCACAGAGTTGAACATTCGCTTTCTTAGAGCACGTTGGAAACACTCTTTTTGTAGTGTCTGGAAGTGGACATTTGGAGCGCTTTGATGTCTTTGGTGAAAAAGGGAATGTCTTCCCATAAAAACTAGACAGAAGCATTCTCAGAAACTTGTTTGTGATGTGTGTACCCAGCTAAAGGAGTTGAACATTTCTATTGATAGAGCAGTTTTGAAACACTCTTTTTGTGGAAAATGCAAGTGAATATTTGGATAGCTTGGAGGATTTCGTTGGAAGAGGGAATTCAAATAAAAGGTAGACAGCCAGCATTCTCAGAAATTTCTTTCTGATGTCTGCATTCAACTCATAGAGTTGAAGATTCCCTTTCATAGAGCAGGTTTGAAACACTCTTTCTGGAGTATCTGGATGTGGACATTTGGAGCGCTTTGATGCCTACGGTGGAAAAGTAAATATCTTCCCATAAAAACGAGACAGAGGATTCTGAGAAACAAGTTTGTAATGTGTGTACTCAGCTAACAGAGTGGAACCTTTCTTTTTACAGAGCAGCTTTGAAACTCTATTTTTGTGGATTCTGCAAATTGATATTTAGATTGCTTTAACGATATCGTTGGAAAAGGGAATATCGTCATACAAAATCTAGACAGAAGCATTCTCACAAACTTCTTTGTGATGTGTGTCCTCAACTAACAGAGTTGAACCTTTCTTTTGATGCAGCAATTTGGAAACACCCTTTTGGTAGAAACTGTAACTGGATATTTGGATAGCTCTAACGATTTCGTTGGAAACGGGAATATCATCATCTAATATCTAGACAGAAGCACTATTAGAAACTACTTGGTGATATCTGCATTCAAGTCACAGAGTTGAACATTCCCTTACTTTGAGCACGTTTGAAACACTCTTTTGGAAGAATCTGGAAGTGGACATTTGGAGCGCTTTGATGCCTTTGGTGAAAAGGAAACGTCTTCCAATAAAAGCCAGACAGAAGCATTCTCAGAAACTTGTTCGTGATGTGTGTACTCAACTAAAAGAGTTGAACCTTTCTATTGATAGAGCAGTTTTGAAACACTCTTTTTGTCGATTCTGCAAGTGGATATTTGGATTGTTTGAGGATTTCGTTGGAAGCGGGAATTCGTATAAAAACTAGACAGCAGCATTCCCAGAAATTTCTTTCGGATATTTCCATTCAACTCATAGAGATGAACATGGCCTTTCATAGAGCAGGTTTGAAACACTCTTTTTGTAGTTTGTGGAAGTGGACATTTCGATCGCCTTGACGCCTACGGTGAAAAAGGAAATATCTTCCCATAAAAAATAGACAGAAGCATTCTCAGAAACTTGTTGGTGATATGTGTCCTCAACTAACAGAGTTGAACTTTGCCATTGATAGAGAGCAGTTTTGAAACACTCTTTTTCCGGAATCTGCAAGTGGATATTTGGATAGCTTGGAGGATTTCGTTGGAAGCGGGAATTCAAATAAAAGGTAGACAGCAGCATTCTCAGAAATTTCTTTCTGATGTCTGCATTCAACTCATAGAGTTGAACATTCCCTTTCATAGGGCAGGTTTGAAATACTCTTTCTGTAGTATCTGGATGTGGACATTTGGAGCGCTTTGATGCCTACGGTGAAAAAGTAAATATCTTCCCATAAAAACGAGACAGAAGGATTCTCAGAAACAAGTTTGTGATGTGTGTACTCAGCTAACAGAGTGGAACCACTCTTTTGATGTCAGCAGTTTGGAAACACTCTTTTTGTAGAAACTGTAAGTGGATATTTGGATAGCTCTAATGATTTCGTTGGAAACGGGAATATCATCATGTAAAATCTAGACAGAAGCCCTCTCAGAAACTACTTTGTGATATCTGCATTCAAGTCACAGAGTTGAACATTCGCTTTCTTAGAGCACGTTGGAAACACTCTTTTTGTAGTGCCTGGAAGTGGACATTTGGAGCGCTTTGATGCCTTTGGTGAAAAAGGGAACGTCTTCCCATAAAAACTAGACAGAAGCATTCTCAGAAACTTGTTTGTGATGTGTGTACCCAGCTAAAGGAGTTGAACATTTCTATTGATAGAGCAGTTTTGAAAAACTCTTTTTGTGGAAAATGCAAGTGGATATTTGGATAGCTTGGAGGATTTCGTTGGAATCGGGAATTCAAATAAAAGGTAGACAGCAGCATTCTCAGAAATTACTTTCTGATGTCTGCATTCAACTCATAGAGTTGAAGATTCCCTTTCATAGAGCAGGTTTGAAACACTCTTTCTGTAGTATCTGGATGTGGACATTTGGAGCGCTTTGATACCTACGGTGAAAAAGTAAATATCTTCCCATAAAAACTAGACAGAAGGATTCTCAGAAACAAGTTTGTGATGTGTGTACTCAGCTAACAGAGTGGAACCTCTCTTTTGATGCAGCAGTTTGGAAACACTCTTTTTGTAGAAACTGTAAGTGGATATTTGGATAGCTCTAATGATTTCGTTGGAAACGGGAATATCATCATCTAAAATACTAGACAGAAGCCCTCTCAAAAACTACTTTGTGATATCTGCATTCAAGTCACAGAGTTGAACATTCGCTTTCTTAGAGCACGTTTGAAACACTCTTTTTGTAGTGTCTGGAAGTGGACATTTGGAGCGCTTTGATGCCTTTGGTGAAAAAGGGAATGTCTTCCCATAAAAACTAGACAGAAGCATTCTCAGAAACTTGTTTGTGATGTGTGTACCTAGCTAAAGGAGTTGAACATTTCTATTGATAGAGCAGTTTTGAAACACTCTTTTTGTGGAAAATGCAGGTGGATATTTGGATAGGTTGGAAGATTTCGTTGGAAGCGGGAATTCAAATAAATGGTAGACAGCAGCATTCTCAGAAATTTCTTTCTGATGTCTGCATTCAACTCATAGAGTTGAAGATTCCCTTTCATAGAGCAGGTTTGAAACACTCTTTCTGGAGTATCTGGATGTGGACATTTGGAGCGCTTTGATGCCTACGGTGGAAAAGTAAATATACTTCCCATAAAAACGAGACAGAAGGATTCTGAGAAACAAGTTTGTGATGTGTGTACTCAGCTAACAGAAGTGGAACCTTTCTTTTTACAGAGCAGCTTTGAAACTCTATTTTTGTGGATTCTGCAAATGGATATTTAGATTGCTTTAACGATATCGTTGGAAAAGGGAATATCGTCATACAAAATCTAGACAGAAGGATTCTCACAAACTTCTTTGTGATGTGTGTCCTCAACTAACAGAGTTGAACCTTTCTTTTGATGCAGCAGTTTGGAAACACTCTTTTTGTAGAAACTGTAAGTGGATATTTGGATAGCTCTAACGATTTCGTTGGAAACGGGAATATCATCCTGTAAAATCTGGACAGAAGCACTATTAGAAACTACTTGGTGATATCTGCATTCATGTCACAGAGTTGAACATTCCCTTACTTTGAGCACGTTTCAAACACTCTTTTGGAAGAATCTGGAAGTGGACATTTGGAGCGCTTTGATGCCTTTGGTGAAAAGGAAACGTCTTCCAATAAAAGCCAGACAGAAGCATTCTCAGAAACTTGTTTGTGATGTGTGTACTCAACTAAAAGAGTTGAACCTTTCTATTGATAGAGCAGTTTTGAAACACTCTTTTTGTGGATTCTGCAAGTGGATATTTGGATTGCTTTGAGGATTTCGTTGGAAGCGGGAATTCGTATAAAAACTAGACAGCAGCATTCCCAGAAATTTCTTTCGGATATTTCCATTCGACTCATAGAGATGAACATGGCCTTTCATAGAGCAGGTTTGAAACACTCTTTTTGTAGTTTGTGGAAGTGGACATTTCGATCGCCTTGATGCCTACGGTGAAAAAGGAAATATCTTCCCATAAAAAATAGACAGAAGCATTCTCAGAAACTTGTTGGTGATATGTGTCCTCAACTAACAGAGTTGAACTTTGCCATTGATAGAGAGCAGTTTTGAAACACTCTTTTTGTGGAATCTGCAAGTGGATATTTGGATAGCTTGGAGGATTTCGTTGGAAGCGGGAATTCAAATAAAAGGTAGACAGCAGGATTCTCAGAAACAAGTTTGTGATGTGTGTACTCAGCTAACAGAGTGGATCCTTTCTTTTTACAGAGCAGCTTTGAAACTCTATTTCTGTGGATTCTGCAAATTGATATTTGGGTTGATTTAACGATATCGATGGAAAAGGGAATATCTTCATACAAAATCTAGACAGAAGCTTTCTCAGAAACTTCTTTGTGATGTGTGTCCTCAACTCACAGAGTTGAACCTTTCTTTAGATGCAGCAGTTTGGAAACACTCTTTTTGTAGAAACTGTAAGTGGATATTTGGGTAGGTCTAACGATATCGTTGGAAACGAGAATACCTTCATCTAAAGTATACACAGAATCAGTCTCAGAAACTACTTTGTGATATCTGCATTCCAGTCACAGAGTTGAAAACTCCCTTACTTAGAGCAGGTTTGAAACACTCTTTTTGTAGAATCTGGAAGTGGACATTTGGAGCGCTTTGATGCCTTTGGTTAAAAAGGAAATGTCTTCCCTTAAGAAGTAGACAGAAGCATTCTCAGAAACATGTTTGTGATGTGTGTACCCAGCTAAAGGAGTTGAACATTTCTATTGATAGAGCAGTTTTGAAACACTCTTTTTGTGGAAAATGCAAGTGGATATTTGGATAGCTTGGAGGATTTCGTTGGAAGCGGGAATTCAAATAAAAGGTAGACAGCAGCATTCTCAGAAATTTCTTTCTGATGTCTGCATTAAACTCATAGAGTTGAAGATTCCCTTTCATAGAGCAGGTTTGAAACACTCTTTCTGGAGTATCTGGATGTGGACATTTGGAGCGCTTTGATGCCTACGGTGAAAAAGTAAATATCTTCCCATAAAAACGAGACATAAGGATTCTGAGAAACAAGTTTGTGATGTGTGTACTCAGCTAACGGAGTGGAACCTCTCTTTTGATGCAGCAGTTTGGAAACACTCTTTTTGTAGAAACTGTAAGTGGATATTTGGATAGCTCTAATGATTTCGTTGGAAACGGGAATATCATCATCTAAAATCTAGACAGAAGCACTCTCAGAAACTACTGTGTGATATCTGCATTCAAGTCACAGAGTTGAACATTCGCTTTCTTAGAGCACGTTTGAAACACTCTTTTTGTAGTGTCTGGAAGTGGACATTTGGAGCGCTTTGATTCCTTTGGTGAAAAAGGGAATGTCTACCCATAAAAACTAGACAGAAGCATTGTCAGAAACTTGTTTGTGATGTGTGTACCCAGCCAAAGGAGTTGAACATTTCTATTGATAGAGCAGGTTTGAAACACTCTTTTTGTGGAAAATGCAGGTGGATATTTGGATAGCTTGGAGGATTTCGTTGGAAGCGGGAATTCAAATAAAAGGTAGACAGCAGCATTCTCAGAAATTTCTTTCTGATGTCTGCATTCAACTCATAGAGTTGAAGATTCCCTTTCATGGAGCAGGTTTGAAACAGTCTTTCTGGAGTATCTGGATGTGGACATTTGGAGCGCTTTGATGCCTACGGTGAAAAAGTAAATATCTTCCCATAAAAACGAGACAGAAGGATTCTGAGAAACAAGTTTGTGATGTGTGTACTCAGCTAACAGAGTGGAACCTCTCTTTTGATGCAGCAGTTTGGAAACACTCTTTTTGTAGAAACTGTAAGTGGATATTTGGATAGCTCTAATGATTTCGTTGGAAACGGGAATATCATCATCTAAAATCTAGACAGAAGCCCTCTCAGAAACTACTTTGTGATATCTGCATTCAAGTCACAGAGTTGAACCTTCGCTTTCTTAGAGCACGTTTGAAACACTCTTTTTGTAGTGTCTGGAAGTGGACATTTGGAGCGCTTTGATGCCTTTGGTGAAAAAGGGAATGTCTTCCCATAAAAACTAGACAGAAGCATTCTCAGAAACTTGTTTGTGATGTGTGTACCCAGCTAAAGGAGATGAACATTTCTATTGATAGAGCAGTTTTGAAACACTCTTTTTGTGGAAAATGCAAGTGGATATTTGGATAGCTTGGAGGATTTCGTTGGAAGCGGGAATTCAAATAAAAGGTAGACAGCAGCATTCTCAGAAATTTCTTTCTGATGTCTGCATTCAACTCATAGAGTTGAAGATTCCCTTTCATAGGGCAGGTTTGAAACACTCTTTCTGGAGTATCTGGATGTGCACATTTGGAGCGCTTTGATGCCTACGGTGGAAAAGTAAATATCTTCCCATAAAAACGAGACAGAAGGATTCTCAGAAACAAGTTTGTGATGTGTGTACTCAGCTAACAGAGTGGAACCTTTCTTTTTACAGAGCAGCTTTGAAACTCTAGTTTTGTGGATTCTGCAAATTGATATTTAGATTGCTTTAACGATATCGTTGGAAAAGGGAATATCGTCATACAAAATCTAGACAGAAGCATTCTCACAAACTTCTTTGTGATGTGTGTCCTCAACTAACAGAGTTGAACCTTTCTTTTGTTGCAGCAATTTGGAAACACCCTTTTGGTAGAAACTGTAACTGGATATTTGGATAGCTCTAACGATTTCGTTGGAAAAGGGAATATCATCATCTAAAATGTAGACAGAAGCCCTCTCAGAAACTACTTTGTGATATCTGCATTCAAGTCACAGAGTTGAACATTCGCTTTCTTAGAGCACGTTTGAAACACTCTTTTGGAAGAATCTGGAAGTGGACATTTGGAGCGCTTTGATGCCTTTGGTGAAAAGGAAACGTCTTCCAATAAAAGCCAGACAGAAGCATTCTCAGAAACTTGTTTGTGATGTGTGTACTCAACTAAAAGAGTTGAACCTTTCTATTGATAGCGCAGTTTTGAAACACTCTTTTTGTGGATTCTGCAAGTGGATATTTGGATTGCTTTGAGGATTTCGTTGGAAGCGGGAATTCATATAAAAACTAGACAGCAGCATTCCCAGAAATTTCTTTCGGATATTTCCATTCAACTCATAGAGATGAACATCGCCTTTCATAGAGCAGGTTTGAAACACTCTTTTTGTAGTTTGTGGAAGTGGACATTTCGATCGCCTTGACGCCTACGGTGAAAAAGGAAATATCTTCCCATAAAAAATAGACAGAAGCATTCTCAGAAACTTGTTGGTGATATGTGTCCTCAACTAACAGAGTTGAACTTTGCCATTGATAGAGAGCAGTTTTGAAACACTCTTTTTGTGGAATCTGCAAGTGGATATTTGGATAGCTTGGAGGATTTCGTTGGAAGCGGGAATTCAAATAAAAGGTAGACAGCAGCATTCTCAGAAATTTCTTTCTGATGTCTGCATTCAACTCATAGAGTTGAAGATTCCCTTTCATAGAGCAGGTTTGAAAGACTCTTTCTGGAGTATCTGGATGTGGACATTTGGAGCGCTTTGATGCCTACGGTGGAAAAGTAAATATCTTCCCATAAAAACGAGACAGAAGGATTCTCAGAAACAAGTTTGTGATGTGTGTACTCAGCTAACAGAGTGGAACCTTTCTTTTTACAGAGCAGCTTTGAAACTCTATTGTTGTGGATTCTGCAAATTGATATTTAGATTGCTTTAACGATATCGTTGGAAAAGGGAATACCGTCATACAAAATCTGGACAGAAGCACTCTCACAAACTTCTTTGTGATGTGTGTCCTCAACTAACAGAGTTGAACCTTTCTTTTGATGCAGCAATTTGGAAACACCCTTTTGGTAGAAACTGTAACTGGATATTTGGATAGCTCTAACGATTTCGTTGGAAACGGGAATATCATCATCTAAAATCTAGACAGAAGCACTATTAGAAACTACTTAGTGATATCTGCATTCAAGTCACAGAGTTGAACATTCCCTTACTTTGAGCACGTTTGAAACACTCTTTTGGAAGAATCTGGAAGTGGACATTTGGAGCGCTTTGATGCCTTGTGTGAAAAGGAAACGTCTTCCAATAAAAGCCAGACAGAAGCATTCTCAGAAACTTGTTTGTGATGTGTGTACTCAACTAAAAGAGTTGAACCTTTCTATTGATAGAGCAGTTTTGAAACACTCTTTTTGTGGATTCTGCAAGTGGATATTTGGATTGCTTTGAGGATTTCGTTGGAAGCGGGAATTCGTATAAAAACTAGACAGCAGCATTCCCAGAAATTTCTTTCGGATATTTCCATTCAACTCATAGAGATGAACATGGCCTTTCATAGAGCATGTTTGAAACACTCTTTTTGTAGTTTGTGGAAGTGGACATTTCGATCGCCTTGACGCCTACGGTGAAAAAGGAAATATCTTCCCATAAAAAATAGACAGAAGCATTCTCAGAAACTTGTTGGTGATATGTGTCCTCAACTAACAGAGTTGAACTTTGCCATTGATAGAGAGCAGTTTTGAAACACTCTTTTTGTGGAATCTGCAAGTGGATATTTGGATAGCTTGGAGGATTTCGTTGGAAGCGGGAATTCAAATAAAAGGTAGACAGCAGCATTCTCAGAAATTTCTTTCTGATGTCTGCATTCAACTCATAGAGTTGAAGATTCCCTTTCATAGAGCAGGTTTGAAACACTCTTTCTGGAGTATCTGGATGTGGACATTTGGAGCGCTTTGATGCCCACGGTGAAAAAGTAAATATCTTCCCAGAAAAACGAGACAGAAGGATTCTGAGAAACAAGTTTGTGATGTGTGTACTCAGCTAACAGAGTGGAACCTTTCTTTTTACAGAGCAGCTTTGAAACTCTATTTTTGTGGATTCTGCAAATGGATACTTAGATTGCTTTAACGATATCGTTGGAAAAGGGAATATCGTCATACAAAATCTAGACAGAAGCATTCTCACAAACAGCTTTGTGACGTGTGTCCTCAACTAACAGAGTTGAACTTTTCTTTTGATGCAGCAGTTTGGAAACACCCTTTTGGTAGAAACTGTAAGTGGATATTTGGATAGCTCTAACGATTTCGTTGGAAACGGGAATATCATCATCTAAAATCTAGACAGAAGCACTATTAGAAACTACTTGGTGATATCTGCATTCAAGTCACAGAGTTGAACATTCCCTTACTTCGACCACGTTTGAAACACTCTTTTGGAAGAATCTGGAAGTGGACATTTGGAGCGCTTTGATGCCTTTGTTGAAAAGGAAACGTCTTCCAATAAAAGCCAGACAGAAGCATTCTCAGAAACTTGTTTGTGATGTGTGTACTCAACTAAAAGAGTTGAACCTTTCTATTGATAGAGCAGTTTTGAAACACTCTTTTTGTGGATTCTGCAAGTGGATATTTGGATTGCTTTGAGGATTTCGTTGGAAGCGGGAATTCGTATAAAAACTAGACAGCAGCATTCCCAGAAATTTCTTTCGGATATTTCCATTCGACTCATAGAGATGAACATGGCCTTTCATAGAGCAGGTTTGAAACACTCTTTTTGTAGTTTGTGGAAGTGGACATTTCGATCGCCTTGACGCCTACGGTGAAAAAGGAAATATCTTCCCATAAAAAATAGACAGAAGCATTCTCAGAAACTTGTTGGTGATATGTGTCCTCAACTAACAGAGATGAACTTTGCCATTGATAGAGAGCAGTTTTGAAACACTCTTTTTGTGGAATCTGCAAGTGGATATTTGGATAGCTTGGAGGATTTCGTTGGAAGCGGGAATTCAAATAAAAGGTAGACAGCAGGTTTCTCAGAAACAAGTTTGTGATGTGTGTACTCAGCTAACAGAGTGGAACCTTTCTTTTTAAAGAGCAGCTTTGAAACTCTATTTTTGTGGATTCTGCAAATTGATATTTAGATTGCTTTAACGATATCGTTGGAAAAGGGAATATCGTCATACAAAATCTAGACAGAAGCATTCTCACAAACTTCTTTGTGATGTGTGTCCTCAACTAACAGAGTTGAAACTTTCTTTTGATGCAGCAATTTGGAAACAGCCTTTTGGTAGAAACTGTAACTGGATATTTGGATAGCTCTAGCGATTTCGTTGGAAACGGGAATATCATCATCTAAAATCTAGACAGAAGCACTATTAGAAATTACTTGGTGATATCTGCATTCAAGTCACAGAGTTGAACATTCCCTTACTTTGAGCACGTTTCAAACACTCTTTTGGAAGAATCTGGAAGTGGACATTTGGAGCGCTTTGATGCCTTTGGTGAAAAGGAAACGTCTTCCAATAAAAGCCAGACAGAAGCATTCTCAGAAACTTGTTTGTGATGTGTGTACTCAACTAAAAGAGTTGAACCTTTCTATTGATAGAGCAGTTTTGAAACACTCTTTTTGTGGATTCTGCAAGTGGATATTTGGATTGCTTTGAGGATTTCGTTGGAAGCGGGAATTCGTATAAAAACTAGACAGCAGCATTCCCAGAAATTTCTTTCGGATATTTCCATTCGACTCATAGAGATGAACATGGCCTTTCATAGAGCAGGTTTGAAACACTCTTTTTGTAGTTTGTGGAAGTGGACATTTCGATCGCCTTGACGCCTACGGTGAAAAAGGAAATATCTTCCCATAAAAAATAGACAGAAGCATTCTCAGAAACTTGTTGGTGATATGTGTCCTCAACTAACAGAGTTGAACTTTGCCATTGATAGAGAGCAGTTTTGAAACACTCTTTTTGTGGAATCTGCAAGTGGATATTTGGATAGCTTGGAGGATTTCGTTGGAAGCGGGAATTCAAATAAAAGGTAGACAGCAGCATTCTCAGAAATTTCTTTCTGATGTCTGCATTCAACTCATAGAGTTGAAGATTCTCTTTCATAGAGCAGGTTTGAAACACTCTTTCTGGAGTATCTGGATGTGGACATTTGGAGCGCTTTGATGCCTACGGTGAAAAAGTAAATATCTTCCCAGAAAAACGAGACAGAAGGATTCTCAGAAACACGTTTGTGATGTGTGTACTCAGCTAACAGAGTGGAACCTTTCTTTTTACAGAGCAGCTTTGAAACTCTATTTTTGTGGATTCTGCAAATTGATATTTAGATTGCTTTAACGATATCGTTGGAAAAGGGAATATCGTCATACAAAATCTGGACAGAAGCATTCTCACAAACTTCTTTGTGATGTGTGTCCTCAACTAACAGAGTTGAACCTTTCTTTTGATGCAGCAGTTTGGAAACACTGTTTTTGTAGCAACTGTAAGTGGATATTTGGATAGCTCTAACGATTTCGTTGGAAACGGGAATATCATCATCTAAAATCTAGACAGAAAGCACTATTAGCAAACTACTTGGTGATATCTGCATTCAAGTCACAGAGTTGAACATTCCCTTACTTTGAGCACGTTTCAAACACTCTTTTGGAAGAATCTGGAAGTGGACATTTGGAGCGCTTTGATGCCTTTGGTGAAAAGGAAACGTCTTCCAATAAAAGCCAGACAGAAAGCATTCTCAGAAACTTGTTTGTGATGTGTGTACTCAACTAAAAGAGTTGAACCTTTCTATTGATAGAGCAGTTTTGAAACACTCTTTTTGTGGATTCTGCAAGTGGATATTTGGATTGCTTTGAGGATTTCGTTGGAAGCGGGAATTCGTATAAAAACTAGACAGCAGCATTCCCAGAAATTTCTTTCGGATATTTCCATTCGACTCATAGAGATGAACATGGCCTTTCATAGAGCAGGTTTGAAACACTCTTTTTGTAGTTTGTGGAAGTGGACATTTCGATCGCCTTGACGCCTACGGTGAAAAAGGAAATATCTTCCCATAAAAAATAGACAGAAGCATTCTCAGAAACTTGTTGGTGATATGTGTCCTCAACTAACAGAGTTGAACTTTGCCATTGATAGAGAGCAGTTTTGAAACACTCTTTTTGTGGAATCTGCAAGTGGATATTTGGATAGCTTGGAGGATTTCGTTGGAAGCGGGATTTCAAATAAAAGGTAGACAGCAGCATTCTCAGAAATTTCTTTCTGATGTCTGCATTCAACTCATAGAGTTGAAGATTCCCTTTCATAGAGCAGGTTTGAAACACTCTTTCTGGAGTATCTGGATGTGGACATTTGGAGCGCTTTGATGCCTACGGTGAAAAAGTAAATATCTTCCCATAAAAACGACACAGAAGGATTCTCAGAAACAAGTTTGTGATGTGTGTACTCAGCTAACAGAGTGGAACCTCTCTTTTGATGCAGCAGTTTGGAAACACTCTTTTTGTAGAAACTGTAAGTGGATATTTGGATAGCTCTAATGATTTCGTTGGAAACGGGAATATCATCATCTAAAATCTAGACAGAAGGACTCTCAGAAACTACTTTTTGATATCTGCATTCAAGTCACAGAGTTGAACATTCGCTTTCTTAGAGCACTTTTGAAACACTCTATTTGTCGTATCTGGAAGTGGACATTTGGAGCTCTTTGATGCCTTTGGTGAAAAAGGAAATGTCTTCCCATAAAAACTAGACAGAAGCATTCTCAGAAACTTGTTTGTGATGTGTGTACCCAGCTAAAGGAGCTGAACATTTCTATTGATAGAGCAGTTTTGAAACACTCTTTTTGTGGAAAATGCAAGTGGATATTTGGATAGCTTGGAGGATTTCGTTGGAAGCGTGAATTCAAATAAAAGGTAGACAGCAGCATTCTCAGAAATTTCTTTCTGATGTCTCCATTCAACTCATAGAGTTGAAGATTCCCTTTCATAGAGCAGGTTTGAAACACTCTTTCTGGAGTATCTGGATGTGGACATTTGGAGCGCTTTGATGCCTACGGTGAAAAAGTAAATATCTTCCCATAAAAACGAGACAGAAGGATTCTCAGAAACAAGTTTGTGATGTGTGTACTCAGCTAACAGAGTGGAACCTTTCTTTTTACAGAGCAGCTTTGAAACTCTATTTTTGTGGATTCTGCAAATTGATATTTAGATTGCTTTAACGATATCGTTGGAAAAGGGAATATCGTCATACAAAATCTGGACTGAAGCATTCTCACAAACTTCTTTGTGATGTGTGTCCTCAACTAACAGAGTTGAACTTTTCTTTTGATTCAGCAGTTTGGAAACACTGTTTTTGTAGAAACTGTAAGTGGATATTTGGATAGCTCTAACGATTTCGTTGGAAACGGGAATATCATCATCTAAAATCTAGACAGAAGCACTATTAGAAACTACTTGGTGATATCTGCATTCAAGTCACAGTGTTGAACATTCCCTTACTTTGAGCACGTTTGAAACACTCTTTTGGAAGAATCTGGAAGTGGACATTTGGAACGTTTTGATGCCTTTGGTGAAAAGGAAACGTCTTCCAATAAAAGCCAGACAGAAGCATTCTCAGAAACTTGTTTGTGATGTGTGTACTCAACTAAAAGAGTTGAACCTTTCTATTGATAGAGCAGTTTTGAAACACTCTTTTTGTGGATTCTGCAAGTGGATATTTGGATTGCTTTGAGGATTTCGTTGGAAGTGGGAATTCGCATAAAAACTAGACAGCAGCATTCCCAGAAATTTCTTTCGGATATTTCCATTCGACTCATAGAGATGAACATGGCCTTTCATAGAGCAGGTTTGAAACACTCTTTTTGTAGTTTGTGGAAGTGGACATTTCGATCGCCTTGACGCCTACGGTGAAAAAGGAAATATCTTCCCATAAAAAATAGACAGAAGCATTCTCACAAACTTGTTGGTGATATGTGTCCTCAACTAACAGAGTTGAACTTTGCCATTGATAGAGAGCAGTTTTGAAACACTCTTTTTGTGGAATCTGCAAGTGGATATTTGGATAGCTTGGAGGATTTCGTTGGAAGCGGGAATTCAAATAAAAGGTAGACAGCAGCATTCTCAGAAATTTCTTTCTGATGTCTGCATTCAACTCATAGAGTTGAAGATTCCCTTTCATAGAGCAGGTTTGAAACACTCTTTCTGGAGTATCTGGATGTGGACATTTGGAGCGCTTTGATGCTTACGGTGAAAAAGTATAATCTTCCCATAAAAACGAGACAGAAGGATTCTGAGAAACAAGTTTGTGATGTGTGTACTCAGCTAACAGATTGGAACCTCTCTTTTGATGCAGCAGTTTGGAAACACTCGTTTTGTAGAAACTGTAAGTGCATATTTGGATAGCTCTAATGATTTCGTTGGAAACGGGAATATCATCATCTAAAATCTAGACAGAAGCACTCTCAGAAACTACTTTGTGATATCTGCATTCAAGTCACAGAGTTGAACATTCGCTTTCTTAGAGCACGTTTGAAACACTCTTTTTGTAGTGTCTGGAAGTGGACATTTGGAGCGCTTTGTTTCCTTTGGTGAAAAAGGGAATGTCTACCCATAAAAACTAGACAGAAGCATTCTCAGAAACTTGTTTGTGATGTGTGTACCCAGCCAAAGGAGTTGAACATTTCTATTGATAGAGCAGTTTTGAAACACTCTTTTTGTGTAAAATGCAGGTGGATATTTGGATAGCTTGGAGGATTTCGTTGGAAGCGGGAATTCAAATAAAAGGTAGACAGCAGCATTCTCAGAAATTTCTTTCTGATGTCTGCATTCAACTCATAGAGTTGAAGATTCCCTTTCATAGAGCAGGTTTGAAACACTTGTTCTGGAGTATCTGGATGTGGACATTTGGAGCGCTTTGATGCCTACGGTGGAAAAGTAAATATCTTCCCATAAAAACGAGACAGAAGGATTCTCAGAATCAAGTTTGTGATGTGTGTACTCAGCTAACAGAGTGGAACCTTTCTTTTTACAGAGCAGCTTTGAAACTCTATTTTTGTGGATTCTGCAAATTGATATTTAGATTGCTTTAACGATATCGTTGGAAAAGGGAATATCGTCATACAAAATCTAGACAGAAGCATTCTCACAAACTTCTTTGTGATGTGTGTCCTCAACTAACAGAGTTGAACCTTTCTTTTGATGCAGCAGTTTGGAAACACCCTTTTGGTAGAAACTGTAAGTGGATATTTGGATAGCTCTAACGATTTCGTTGGAAACGGTAATATCATAATCTAAAATCTAGACAGAAGCACTATTAGAAACTACTTGGTGATATCTGCATTCAAGTCACAGAGTTGAACATTCCCTTACTTTGAGCACGTTTGAAACACTCTTTTGGAAGAATCTGGAAGTGGACATTTGGAGCGCTTTGATGCCTTTGGTGAAAAGGAAACATCTTCCAATAAAAGCCAGACAGAAGCATTCTCAGAAACTTGTTTGTGATGTGTGTACTCAACTAAAAGAGTTGAACCTTTCTATTGATAGAGCAGTTTTGAAACACTCTTTTTGTGGATTCTGCAAGTGGATATTTGGATTGCTTTGAGGATTTCGTTGGAAGCGGGAATTCGTATAAAAACTAGACAGCAGCATTCCCAGAAATTTCTTTCGGATATTTCCATTCGACTCATAGAGATGAACATGGCCTTTCATAGAGCAGGTTTGAAACACTCTTTTTGTAGTTTGTGGAAGTGGACATTTCGATCGCCTTGACGCCTACGGTGAAAAAGGAAATATCTTCCCATAAAAAATAGACAGAAGCATTCTCAGAAACTTGTTGGTGATATGTGTCCTCAACTAACAGAGTTGAACTTTGCCATTGATAGAGAGCAGTTTTGAAACACTCTTTTTGTGGAATCTGCAAGTGGATATTTGGATAGCTTGGAGGATTTCGTTGGAAGCGGGAATTCAAATAAAAGGTAGACAGCAGCATTCTCAGAAATTTCTTTCTGATGTCTGCATTCAACTCATAGAGTTGAACATTCCCTTTCATAGAGCAGGTTTGAAACACTCTTTCTGGAGTATCTGGATGTGGACATTTGGAGCGCTTTGATGCCTACGGCGAAAAAGTATAATCTTCCCATAAAAACGAGACAGAAGCTTTCTCAGAAAATTCTTTGTGATGTGTGTCCTCAACTAACAGAGTTGAACCTTTCTTTAGATGCAGCAGTTTGGAAACACTCTTTTTGTAGAAACTGTAAGTGGATATTTGGATAGGTCTAACGATATCGTTGGAAACGGGAATATCTTCATCTAAAGTATACACAGAAGCAGTCTCAGAAACTACATTGTGATATCTGCATTCCAGTCACAGAGTTGAAAACTCCCTTACTTAGAGCAGGTTTGAAACACTCTTTTTGTAGAATCTGGAAGTGGACATTTGGAACGCTTTGATGCCTTTGGTGAAAAAGGAAATGTCTTCCCTTAAAAAGTAGACAGAAGCATTCTCAGAAACTTGTTTGTGATGTGTGTACCCAGCCAAAGGAGTTGAACATTTCTATTGATAGAGCAGTTTTGAAACACTCTTGTTGTGGAAATTGCAGGTGGATATTTGGATAGCTTGGAGGATTTCGTTGGAAGCGGGAATTCAAATAAAAGGTAGACAGCAGCATTCTCAGAAATTTCTTTCTGATGTCTGCATTCAACTCATAGAGTTGAAGATTCCCTTTCATAGAGCAGGTTTGAAACACTCTTTCTGGAGTATCTGGATGTGGACATTTGGAGCGCTTTGATGCCTATGGTGAAAAAGTAAATATCTTCCCAGAAAAACGAGACAGAAGGATTCTCTGAAACAAGTTTGTGATGTGTGTACTCAGCTAACTGAGTGGAACCTTTCTTTTTACAGAGCAGCTTTGAAACTCTATTTTTGTGGATTCTGCAAATTGATATTTAGATTGCTTTAACGATATCGTTGGAAAAGGGAATATCGTCATACAAAATCTGGACAGAAGCATTCTCACAAACTTCTTTGTGATGTGTGTCCTCAACTAACAGAGTTGAACCTTTCTTTTGATGCAGCAGTTTGGAAACACTCTTTTTGTAGAAACTGTAAGTGGATATTTGGATAGCTCTAACGATTTCGCTGGAAACGGGAATATCGTCATCTAAAATCTAGACAGAAGCACTATTACAAACTACTTGGTGATATCTGCATTCAAGTCACAGAGTTGAACATTCCCTTACTTTGAGCACGTTTGAAACACTCTTTTGGAAGAATCTGGAAGTGGACATTTGGAGCGCTTTGATACCTTTGTTGAAAAGGAAACGTCTTCCAATAAAAGCCAGACAGAAGCATTCTCAGAAACTTGTTTGTGATGTGTGTACTCAACTAAAAGAGTTGAACCTTTCTATTGATAGAGCAGTTTTGAAACACTCTTTTTGTGGATTCTGCAAGTGGATATTTGGATTGCTTTGAGGATTTCGTTGGAAGCGGGAATTCGTATAAAAACTAGACAGCAGCATTCCCAGAAATTTCTTTCGGATATTTCCATTCGACTCATAGACATGAACATGGCCTTTCATAGAGCAGGTTTGAAACACTCTTTTTGTAGTTTGTGGAAGTGGACATTTCGATCGCCTTGACGCCTACGGTGAAAAAGGAAATATCTTCCCATAAAAAATAGACAGAAGCATTCTCAGAAACTTGTTGGTGATATGTGTCCTCAACTAACAGAGTTGAACTTTGCCATTGATAGAGAGCAGTTTTGAAACACTCTTTTTGTGGAATCTGCAAGTGGATATTTGGATAGCTTGGAGGATTTCGTTGGAAGCGGGAATTCAAATAAAAGGTAGACAGCAGCATTCTCAGAAATTTCTTTCTGATGTCTGCATTCAACTCATAGAGTTGAACATTCCCTTTCATAGAGCAGGTTTGAAACACTCTTTCTGGAGTATCTGGATGTGGACATTTGGAGCGCTTTGATGCCTACGGTGAGAAAGTAAATATCTTCCCATAAAAACGAGACAGAAGGATTCTGAGAAACAAGTTTGTGATGTGTGTACTCAGCTAACAGAGTGGAACCTCTCTTTTTGATGCAGCAGTTTGGAAACACTCTTTTTGTAGAAACTGTAAGTGGATATTTGGATAGCTCTAATGATTTCGTTGGAAACGGGAATATCATCATCTAAAATCTAGACAGAAGCCCTCTCAGAAACTACTTTGTGATATCTGCATTCAAGTCACAGAGTTGAACATTCGCTTTCTTAGAGCACGTTGGAAACACTCTTTTTGTAGTGTCTGGAAGTGGACATTTGGAGCGCTTTGATGCCTTTGGTGAAAAAGGGAATGTGTTCCCATAAAAACTAGACAGAAGCATTCCCAGAAACTTGTTTGTGATGTGTGTACCCAGCTAAAGGAGTTGAATTTTGCATTGATAGAGAGCAGTTTTGAAACCCTCTTTTTGTGGAAAATGCAAGTGGATATTTGTATAGCTTGGAGGATTTCGTTGGAAGCGGGAATTCAAATAAAAGGTAGACAGCAGCATTCTCAGAAATTTCTTTCTGATGTCTGCATTCAACTCATAGAGTTGAAGATTCCCTTTCATAGAGCAGGTTTGAAACAGTCTTTCTGGAGTATCTGGATGTGGACATTTGGAGCGCTTTGATGCCTACGGTGAAAAAGTAAATATCTTCCCATAAAAACGAGACAGAAGGATTCTCAGAAACAAGTTTGTGATGTGTGTACTCAGCTAACAGAGTGGAACCTTTCTTTTTACAGAGCAGCTTTGAAACTCTATTTTTCTGGATTCTGCAAATTGATATTTAGATTGCTTTAACGATATCGTTGGAAAAGGGAATATCGTCATACAAAATCTAGACAGAAGCATTCTCACAAACTTCTTTGTGGTGTGTGTCCTCAACTAACAGAGTTGAACCTTTTTTTTGATGCAGCAATTTGGAAACACCCTTTTTGTAGAAACTGTAACTGGATATTTGCTTAGCTCTAACGATTTCGTTGGAAACGGGAATATCATCATCTAAAATCTAGACAGAAGCACTATTAGAAACTACTTGGTGATATCTGCATTCAAGTCACAGAGTTGAACATTCCCTTACTTTGAGCACGTTTGAAACACTCTTTTGGAAGAATCTGGAAGTGGACATTTGGAGCGCTTTGATGCCTTTGGTGAAAAGGAAACGTCTTCCAATAAAAGCCAGACAGAAGCATTCTCAGAAACTTGTTTGTGATGTGTGTACTCAACTAAAAGAGTTGAACCTTTCTATTGATAGAGCAGTTTTGAAACACTCTTTTTGTGGATTCTGCAAGTGGATATTTGGATTGCTTTGAGGATTTCGTTGGAAGCGGGAATTCGTATAAACACTAGACAGCAGCATTCCCAGAATTTTCTTTCGGATATTTCCATTCAACTCATAGAGATGAACATGGCCTTTCATAGAGCAGGTTTGAAACACTCTTTTTGTAGTTTGTGGAAGTGGACATTTCGATCGCCTTGACGCCTACGGTGAAAAAGGAAATATCTTCCCATAAAAAATAGACAGAAGCATTCTCAGAAACTTGTTTGTGATGTGTGTACCTAGCTAAAGGAGTTGAACATTTCTATTGATAGAGCAGTTTTGAAACACTCTTTTTGTGGAAAATGCAGGTGGATATTTGGATAGGTTGGAAGATTTCGTTGGAAGCGGGAATTCAAATAAAAGGTAGACAGCAGCATTCTCAGAAATTTCTTTCTGATGTCTGCATTCAACTCATAGAGTTGAAGATTCCCTTTCGTAGAGCAGGTTTGAAACACTCTTTCTGGAGTATCTGGATGTGGACATTTGGAGCGCTTTGATGCCTACGGTGAAAAAGTAAATATCTTCCCATAAAAACGAGACAGAAGGATTGTGAGAAACAAGTTTGTGATGTGTGTACTCAGCTAACAGAGTGGAACCTCTCTTTTGATGCAGCAGTTTGGAAACTCTCTTTTTGTAGAAACTGTAAGTGGATATTTGGATAGCTCTAATGATTTCGTTGGAAACGGGAATATCATCATCTAAAATCTAGACAGAAGCCCTCTCAGAAACTACTTTGTGATATCTGCATTCAAGTCACAGAGTTGAACATTCTGCTTTCTTAGAGCACGTTTGAAACACTCTTTTTGTAGTGTCTGGAAGTGGACATTTGGAGCGCTTTGATGTCTTTGGTGAAAAAGGGAATGTCTTCCCATAAAAACTAGACAGAAGCATTCTCAGAAACTTGTTTGTGATGTGTGTACCCAGCCAAAGGAGTTGAACATTTCTATTGATAGAGCAGTTTTGAAACACTCTTGTTGTGGAAAATGCAAGTGGATATTTGGATAGCTTGGAGGATTTCGTTGGAAGCCGGAATTCAAATAAAAGGTAGACAGCCAGCATTCTCAGAAATTTCTTTCTGATGTCTGCATTCAACTCATAGAGTTGAAGATTCCCTTTCATTGAGCAGGTTTGAAACAGTCTTTCTGGAGTATCTGGATGTGGACATTTGGAGCGCTTTGATGCCTACGGTGAAAAAGTAAATATCTTCCCATAAAAACGAGACAGAGGAATCTCAGAAACAAGTTTGTGATGTGTGTACTCAGCTAACAGAGTGGAACCTTTCTTTTTACAGAGCAGCTTTGAAACTCTATTTTTGTGGATTCTGCAAATGGATATTTAGATTGCTTTAACGATATCGTTGGAAAAGGGAATATCATCATACAAAATCTGGACAGAAGCATTCTGACAAACTTCTTTGTGATGTGTGTCCTCAACTAACAGAGTTGAACCTTTCTTTTGATGCAGCAGTTTGGAAACACCCTTTTGGTAGAAACTGTAAGTGGATATTTGGATAGCTCTAACGATTTCGTTGGAAACGGGAATATCATCATCTAAAATCTAGACAGAAGCACTACTAGAAACTACTTGGTGATATCTGCATTCAAGTCACAGAGTTGAACATTCCCTTACTTTGAGCACGTTTCAAACACTCTTTTGGAAGAATCTGGAAGTGGACATTTGGAGCGCTTTGATGCCTTTGGTGAAAAGGAAACGTCTTCCAATAAAAGCCAGACAGAAGCATTCTCAGAAACTTGTTTGTGATGTGTGTACTCAACTAAAAGAGTTGAACCTTTCTATTGATAGAGCAGTTTTGAAACACTCTTTTTGTGGATTCTGCAAGTGGATATTTGGATTGCTTTGAGGATTTCGTTGGAAGCGGGAATTCGTATAAAAACTAGACAGCAGCATTCCCAGAAATTTCTTTCGGATATTTCCATTCGACTCATAGAGATGAACATGGCCTTTCATAGAGCAGGTTTGAAACACTCTTTTTGTAGTTTGTGGAAGTGGACATTTCGATCGCCTTGACCGCCCACGGTGAAAAAGGAAATATCTTCCCATAAAAAATAGACAGAAGCATTCTCAGAAACTTGTTGGTGATATGTGTCCTCAACTAACAGAGTTGAACTTTGCCATTGATAGAGAGCAGTTTTGAAACACTCTTTTTCCTGAATCTGCAAGTGGATATTTGGATAGTTTGGAGGATTTAGTTGGAAGCGGGAATTCAAATAAAAGGTAGACAGCAGCATTCTCAGAAATTTCTTTCTGATGTCTGCATTCAACTCATAGAGTTGAAGATTCCCTTTCATAGAGCAGGTTTGAAACACTCTTTCTGGAGTATCTGGATGTGGACATTTGGAGCGCTTTGATGCCTACGGTGAAAAAGTAAATATCTTCCCAGAAAAACGAGACAGAAGGATTCTCAGAAACAAGTTTGTGATGTGTGTACTCAGCTAACAGAGTGGAACCTTTCTTTTTACAGAGCAGCTTTGAAAGTCTATTTTTGTGGATTCTGCAAATTGATATTTAGATTGCTTTAACGATATCGTTGGAAAAGGGAATATCGTCATACAAAATCTAGACAGAAGCATTCTCACAAACTTCTTTGTGATGTGTGTCCTCAACTAACAGACTTGAACCTTTCTTTTGATGCAGCAGTTTGGAAACACCCTTTTGGTAGAAACTGTAACTGGATATTTGGATAGCTCTAACGATTTCGTTGGAAACGGGAATATCATCATCTAAAATCTAGACAGAAGCACTATTAGAAACTACTTGTGATATCTGCATGCAAGTCACAGAGTTGAACATTCCCTTACTTTGAGCACGTTTGAAACACTCTTTTGTAAGAATCTGGAAGTGGACGTTTGGAGCTCTTTGATGCCTTTGGTGAAAAGGAAACATCTTCCAATAAAAGCCAGAAAGAAGCATTCTCAGAAACTTCTTTGTGATGTGTGTACTCAACTAAAAGTGTTGAACCTTTCTATTGATAGAGCAGTTTTGCAACACTCTTTTTGTGGATTCTGCAAGTGGATATTTGGATTGCTTTGAGGATTTCGTTGGAAGCGGGAATTCGTATAAAAACTAGACAGCAGCATTTTCAGAAATTTCTTTCGGATATTTCCATTCAACTCATAGAGATGAACATGGCCTTTCATAGAGCAGGTTTGAAACACTCTTTTTGTAGTTTGTGGAAGTGGACATTTTGATCGCCTTGACGCCTATGGTGAAAAAGGGAATATCTTCCCATAAAAAATAGACAGAAGCATTCTCAGAAACTTGTTGGTGATATGTGTCCTCAACTAACAGAGTTGAACTTTGCCATTGATAGAGAGCAGTTTTGAAACACTCTTTTTGTGGAATCTGCAAGTGGATATTTGGATAGCTTGGAGGATTTCGTTGGAAGCGGGAATTCAAATAAAAGGTAGACAGCAGCATTCTCAGAAATTTCTTTCTGATGTCTGCATTCAACTCATAGAGTTGAACATTCCCTTTCATAGAGCAGGTTTGAAACACTCTTTCTGTAGTATCTGGATGTGGACATTTGGAGCGCTTTGATGCCTACGGTGAAAAAGTATAATCTTCCCATAAAAACGAGACAGAAGGATTCTCAGAAACAAGTTTGTGATGTGTGTACTCAGCTAACAGAGTGGAACCTCTCTTTTGATGCAGCAGTTTGGAAACACTCTTTTTGTAGAAACTGTAAGTGGATATTTGGATAGCTCTAATGATTTCGTTGGAAACGGGAATATCATCATGTAAAATCTAGACAGAAGCACTCTCAGAAACTACTTTGTGATATCTGCTTTCAAGTCACAGAGTTGAACATTCGTTTTCTTAGAGCACTTTTGAAACACTCTTTTTGTAGTATCTGGAAGTGGACATTTGGAGCTCTTTGATGCCTTTGGTGAAAAAGGAAATGTCTTCCCATAAAAACTAGACAGAATCATTCTCAGAAACTTGTTTGTGATGTGTGTACCCAGCCAAAGGAGTTGAACATTTCTATTGATAGAGCAGTTTTGAAACACTCTTTTTGTGGAAAATGCAAGTGGATATTTGGATAGCTTGGAGGATTTCGTTGGAAGCGGGAATTCAAATAAAAGGTAGACAGCAGGATTCTCAGAAACAAGTTTGTGATGTGTGTACTCAGCTAACAGAGTGGAACCTTTCTTTTTACAGAGCAGCTTTGTAACTCTATTTTTGTGGATTCTGCAAATTGATATTTAGATTGCTTTAACGATATCGTTGGAAAAGGGAATATCGTCATACAAAATCTAGACAGAAGCATTCTCGCAAACTTCTTTGTGATGTGTGTCCTCAACTAACAGAGTTGAACCTTTCTTTTGATGCAGCAATTTGGAAACACCCTTTTGGTAGAAACTGTAACTGGATATTTGGATAGCTCTAACGATTTCGTTGGAAACGGGAATATCATCATCTAAAATGTAGACAGAAGCACTATTAGAAACTACTTGGTGATATCTGCATTCAAGTCACAGAGTAGAACATTCCCTTACTTCGAGCACGTTTGAAACACTCTTTTGGAAGAATCTGGAAGTGGACATTTGGAGCGCTTTGATGCCTTTGGTGAAAAGGAAACGTCTTCCAATAAAAGCCAGACAGAAGCATTCTCAGAAACTTGGTTGTGATGTGTGTACTCAACTAAAAGAGTTGAACCTTTCTATTGATAGAGCAGTTTTGAAACACTCTTTTTGTGGATTCTGCAAGTGGATATTTGGATTGCTTTGAGGATTTCGTTGGAAGCGGGAATTCATATAAAAACTAGACAGCAGCATTCCCAGAAATTTCTTTCGGATATTTCCATTCAACTCATAGAGATGAACATCGCCTTTCATAGAGCAGGTTTGAAACACTCTTTTTGTAGTTTGTGGAAGTGGACATTTCGATCGCCTTGACGCCTACGGTGAAAAAGGAAATATCTTCCCATAAAAAATAGACAGAAGCATTCTCAGAAACTTGTTGGTGATATGTGTCCTCAACTAACAGAGTTGAACTTTGCCATTGATAGAGAGCAGTTTTGAAACACTCTTTTTGTGGAATCTGCAAGTGGATATTTGGATAGCTTGGAGGATTTCGTTGGAAGCGGGAATTCAAATAAAAGGTAGACAGCAGCATTCTCAGAAATTTCTTTCTGATGTCTGCATTCAACTCATAGAGTTGAAGATTCCCTTTCATAGAGCAGGTTTGAAACACTCTTTCTGGAGTATCTGGATGTGGACATTTGGAGCGCTTTGATGCCTACGGTGAAAAAGTAAATATCTTCCCATAAAAACGCGACAGAAGGATTCTCAGAAACAACTTTGTGATGTGTGTACTCAGCTAACAGAGTGGAACCTCTCTTTTGATGCAGCAGTTTGGAAACACTCTTTTTGTAGAAACTGTAAGTGGATATTTGGATAGCTCTAATGATTTCGTTGGAAACGGGAATATCATCATCTAAAATCTAGACAGAAGCCCTCTCAGAAACTACGTTGTGATATCTGCATTCAAGTCACAGAGTTGAATATTCGCTTTCTTAGAGCACGTTTGAAACACTCTTTTTGTAGTGTCTGGAAGTGGACATTTGGAGCGCTTTGATGCCTTTGGTGAAAAAGGGAATGTCTTCCCATAAAAACTAGACAGAAGCATTCTCAGAAACTTGTTTGTGATGTGTGTACCCAGCTAAAGGAGTTGAACATTTCTATTGATAGAGCAGTTTTGAAACACTCTTTTTGTGGAAAATGCAAGTGGATATTTGGATAGCTTGGAGGATTTCGTTGGAAGCAGGAATTCAAATAAAAGGTAGACAGCAGCATTCTCAGAAATTTCTTTCTGATGTCTGCATTCAACTCATAGAGTTGAAGATTCCCTTTCCTAGAGCAGGTTTGAAACACTCTTTCTGGAGTATCTGGATGTGGACATTTGGAGCGCTTTGATGCCTACGGTGAAAAAGTAAATATCTTCCCATAAAAACGAGACAGAAGGATTCTGAGAGACAAGTTTGTGATGTGTGTACTCCAGCTAACAGAGTGGAACCTTTCTTTTTACAGAGCAGCTTTGAAACTCTATTTTTGTGGATTCTGCAAATGGATATTTAGATTGCTTTAACGATATCGTTGGAAAAGGGAATATCGTCATACAAAATCTGGACAGAAGCATTCTCACAAACTTCTTTGTGATGTGTGTCCTCAACTAACAGAGTTGAACCTTTCTTTTGATGCAGCAGTTTGGAAACACTGTTTTTGTAGCAACTGTAAGGGGATATTTGGATAGCTCTAACGATTTCGTTGGAAACGGGAATATCATCATCTAAAATCTAGACAGAAGCACTATTAGCAAACTACTTGGTGATATCTGCATTCAAGTCACAGAGTTGAACATTCCCTTACTTTGAGCACGTTTCAAACACTCTTTTGGAAGAATCTGGAAGTGGACATTTGGAGCGCTTTGATGCCTTTGGTGAAAAGGAAACGTCTTCCAATAAAAGCCAGACAGAAGCATTCTCAGAAACTTGTTTGTGATGTGTGTACTCAACTAAAAGAGTTGAACCTTTCTATTGATAGAGCAGTTTTGAAACACTCTTTTTGTGGATTCTGCAAGTGGATATTTGGATTGCTTTGAGGATTTCGTTGGAAGCGGGAATTCGTATAAAAACTAGACAGCCAGCATTCCCAGGAAATTTCTTTCGGATATTTCCATTCAACTCATAGAGATGAACATGGCCTTTCATAGAGCAGGTTTGAAACACTCTTTTTGTAGTTTGTGGAAGTGGACATTTCGATCGCCTTGACGCCTACGGTGAAAAAGGAAATATCTTCCCATAAAAAATAGACAGAAGCATTCTCAGAAACTTGTTGGTGATATGTGTCCTCAACTAACAGAGTTGAACTTTGCCATTGATAGAGAGCAGTTTTGAAACACTCTTTTTGTGGAATCTGCAAGTGGATATTTGGATAGCTTGGAGGATTTCGTTGGAAGCGGGAATTCAAATAAAAGGTAGACAGCAGCATTCTCAGAAATTACTTTCTGATGTCTGCATTCAACTCATAGAGTTGAAGATTCCCTTTCATAGAGCAGGTTTGAAACACTCTTTCTGGAGTATCTGGATGTGGACATTTGGAGCGCTTTGATGCCTACGGTGAAAAAGTAAATATCTTCCCATAAAAACGAGACAGAAGCATTCTCACAAACTTCTTTGTGATGTGTGTCCTCAACTAACAGAGTTGAACTTTTCTTTTGATGCAGCAGTTTGGAAACACTCTTTTTGTAGAAACTGTAAGTGGATATTTGGATAGCTCTAATGATTTCGTTGGAAACGGGAATATCATCATCTAAAATCTAGACAGAAGCCCTCTCAGAAACTACTTTGTGATATCTGCATTCAAGTCACAGAGTTGAACATTCGCTTTCTTAGAGCACGTTGGAAACACTCTTTTTGTAGTGTCTGGAAGTGGACATTTGGAGCGCTTTGATGCCTTTGGTGAAAAAGGGAATATCTTCCCATAAAAACTAGACAGAAGCATTCTCAGAAACTTGTTTGTGATGTGTGTACCCAGCCAAAGGAGTTGAACATTTCTATTAATAGAGCAGTTTTGAAACGCTCTTTTTGTGGAAAATGCAGGTGGATATTTGGATAGCTTGGAGGATTTCGTTGGAAGCGGGAATTCAAATAAAAGGTAGACAGCCAGCATTCTCAGAAAATTTCCTTCTGATGTCTGCATTCAACTCATAGAGTTGAAGACTCCCTTTCATAGAGCAGGTTTGAAACACTCTTTCTGGAGTATCTGGATGTGGACATTTGGAGCGCTTTGATGCCTACGGTGAAAAAGTAAATATCTTCCCATAAAAACGAGACAGAGGATTCTGAGAAACAAGTTTGTGATGTGTGTACTCAGCTAACAGAGTGGAACCTTTCTTTTTACAGAGCAGCTTTGAAACTCTATTTTTGTGGATTCTGCAAATGGATATTTAGATTGCTTTAATGATATCGCTGGAAAAGGGAATATGGTCATACAAAATCTAGACAGGAAGCATTCTCACAAACTTCTTTGTGATGTGTGTCCTCAACTAACAGAGTTGAACTTTTCTTTTGATGCAGCAGTTTGGAAACACTCTTTTTATAGAAACTGTAAGTGGATATTTGGATAGCTCTAACGATTTCGTTGGAAACGGGAATATCATCATCTAAAATCTAGACAGAAGCACTATTAGAAACTACTTGGTGATATCTGCATTCAAGTCAAAGAGTTGAACATTCCCTTACTTTGAGCACGTTTGAAACACTCTTTTGGAAGAATCTGGAAGTGGACATTTGGAGCGCTTTGATGCCTTTGGTGAAAAGGAAACGTCTTCTAATAAAAGCCAGACAGAAGCATTCTCAGAAACTTGTTTGTGATGTGTGTACTCAACTAAAAGAGTTGAACCTTTCTATTGATAGAGCAGTTTTGAAACACTCTTTTTGTGGATTCTGCAAGTGGATATTTGGATTGCTTTGAGGATTTCGTTGGAAGCGGGAATTCGTATAAAAACTAGACAGCAGCATTCCCAGAAATTTCTTTCGGATATTTCCATTCGACTCATAGAGATGAACATGGCCTTTCGTAGAGCAGGTTTGAAACACTCTTTTTGTAGTTTGTGGAAGTGGACATTTCGATCGCCTTGACGCCTACGGTGAAAAAGGAAATATCTTCCCATAAAAAATAGACAGAAGCATTCTCAGAAACTTGTTGGTGATATGTGTCCTCAACTAACAGAGTTGAACTTTGCCATTGATAGAGAGCAGTTTTGAAACACTCTTTTTGTGGAATCTGCAAGTGGATATTTGGATAGCTTGGAGGATTTCGTTGGAAGCGGGAATTCAAATAAAAGGTAGACAGCAGGATTCTCAGAAACAAGTTTGTGATGTGTGTACTCAGCTAACAGAGTGGAACCTCTCTTTTTACAGAGCAGCTTTGAAACTCTATTTTTGTGGATTCTGCAAATTGATATTTAGATTGCTTTAACGATATCGTTGGAAAAGGGAATATCGTCATACAAAATCTAGACAGAAAGCATTCTCACAAACTTCTTTGTGATGTGTGTCCTCAACTAACAGAGTTGAACCTTTCTTTTGATGCAGCAGTTTGGAAACACTCTTTTTGTAGCAACTGTAAGTGGATATTTGGATAGCTCTAACGATTTCGTTGGAAACGGGAATATCATCATCTAAAATCTAGACAGAAGCACTATTAGAAACTACTTGGTGATATCTGCATTCAAGTCACAGAGTTGAACATTCCCTTACTTTGAGCACGTTTCAAACACTCTTTTGGAAGAATCTGGAAGTGGACATTTGGAGCGCTTTGATGCCTTTGGTGAAAAGGAAACGTCTTCCAATAAAAGCCAGACAGAAGCATTCTCAGAAACTTGTTTGTGATGTGTGTACTCAACTAAAAGAGTTGAACCTTTCTATTGATAGAGCAGTTTTGAAACACTCTTTTTGTGGATTCTGCAAGTGGATATTTGGATTGCTTTGAGGATTTCGTTGGAAGCGGGAATTCGTATAAAAACTAGACAGCAGCATTCCCAGAAATTTCTTTCGGATATTTCCATTCGACTCATAGAGATGAACATGGCCTTTCATAGAGCAGGTTTGAAACACTCTTTTTGTAGTTTGTGGAAGTGGACATTTCGATCGCCTTGACGCCTACGGTGAAAAAGGAAATATCTTCCCATAAAAAATAGACAGAAGCATTCCCAGAAATTTCTTTCGGATATTTCCATTCGACTCATAGAGATGAACATGGCCTTTCATAGAGCAGGTTTGAAACACTCTTTTTGTAGTTTGTGGAAGTGGACATTTCGATCGCCTTGACGCCTACGGTGAAAAAGGAAATATCTTCCCATAAACTAACAGAGCATTCTCAGAAATTTCTTTCTGATGTCTCCATTCAACTCATAGAGTTGAAGATTCCCTTTCATAGAGCAGGTTTGAAACACTCTTTCTGGAGTATCTGGATGTGGACATTTGGAGCGCTTTGATGCCTACGGTGAAAAAGTAAATATCTTCCCATAAAAACGAGACAGAAGGATTCTCAGAAACAAGTTTGTGATGTGTGTAC
This sequence comes from Homo sapiens, assembly GCF_000001405.40. Classification (NCBI taxonomy): domain Eukaryota; kingdom Metazoa; phylum Chordata; class Mammalia; order Primates; family Hominidae; genus Homo; species Homo sapiens. The sequence goes on from NC_000021.9 coordinate 12,431,109, forward strand.
TCAGCTAACAGAGTGGAACCTTTCTTTTTACAGAGCAGCTTTCAAACTCTATTTTTGTGGATTCTGCAAATTGATATTTAGATTGCTTTAACGATATCGTTGGAAAAGGGAATATTGTCATACAAACTCTGGACAGAAGCATTCTCACAAAACTTCTTTGTGATGTGTGTCCTCAACTAACAGAGTTGAACCTTTCTTTTGATGCAGCAGTTTGGAAACACTCTTTTTGTAGAAACTGTAAGTGGATATTTGGATAGCTCTAACGATTTCGTTGGAAACGGGAATATCATCATCTAAAATCTAGACAGAAGCACTATTAGAAACTACTTGGTGATATCTGCATTCAAGTCACAGAGTTGAACATTCCCTTACTTTGAGCACGTTTCAAACACTCTTTTGGAAGAATCTGGAAGTGGACATTTGGAGCGCTTTGATGCCTTTGGTGAAAAGGAAACGTCTTCCAATAAAAGCCAGACAGAAGCATTCTCAGAAACTTGTTTGTGATGTGTGTACTCAACTAAAAGAGTTGAACCTTTCTATTGATAGAGCAGTTTTGAAACACTCTTTTTGTGGATTCTGCAAGTGGATATTTGGATTGCTTTGAGGATTTCGTTGGAAGCGGGAATTCGTATAAAAACTAGACAGCAGCATTCCCAGAAATTTCTTTCGGATATTTCCATTCAACTCATAGAGATGAACATGGCCTTTCATATTGAAACACTCTTTTTGTAGTTTGTGGAAGTGGACATTTCGATCGCCTTGACGCCTGTGGTGAAAAAGGAAATATCTTCCCATAAAAAATAGACAGAAGCATTCTCAGAAACTTGTTGGTGATATGTGTCCTCAACTAACAGAGTTGAACTTTGCCATTGATAGAGAGCAGTTTTGAAACACTCTTTTTGTGGAATCTGCAAGTGGATATTTGGATAGCTTGGAGGATTTCGTTGGAAGCGGGAATTCAAATAAAAGGTAGACAGCAGCATTCTCAGGAAATTTCTTTCTGATGTCTGCATTCAACTCATAGAGTTGAAGATTCCCTTTCATAGAGCAGGTTTGAAACACTCTTTCTGGAGTATCTGGATGTGGACATTTGGAGCGCTTTGATGCCTACGGTGGAAAAGTAAATATCTTCCCATAAAAACGAGACAGAAGGATTCTGAGAAACAAGTTTGTGATGTGTGTACTCGGCTAACAGAGTGGAACCTCTCTTTTGATGCAGCAGTTTGGAAACACTCTTTTTATAGAAACTGTAAGTGGATATTTGGATAGCTCTAATGATTTCGTTGGAAACGGGAATATCATCATCTAAAATCTAGACAGAAGCCCTCTCAGAAACTACTTTGTGATATCTGCATTCAAGTCACAGAGTTTAACATTCGCTTTCTTAGAGCACGTTTGAAACACTCTTTTTGTAGTGTCTGGAAGTGGACATTTGGAGCGCTTTGATGCCTTTGGTGAAAAAGGGAATGTCTTCCCATAAAAACTAGACAGAAGCATTCTCAGAAACTTGTTTGTGATGTGTGTACCCAGCCAAAGGAGTTGAACATTTCTATTGATAGAGCAGTTTTGAAACACTCTTTTTGTGGAAAATGCAGGTGGATATTTGGATAGCTTGGAGGATTTCGTTGGAAGCAGGAATTCAAATAAAAGGTAGACAGCAGCATTCTCAGAAATTTCTTTCTGATGTCTGCATTCAACTCATAGAGTTGAAGATTCCCTTTCATAGAGCAGGTTTGAAACACTCGTTCTGGAGTATCTGGATGTGGACATTTGGAGCGCTTTGATGCCTACGGTGGAAAATTATATATCTTCCCATAAAAACGAGACAGAAGGATTCTCAGAAACAAGTTTGTGATGTGTGTACTCAGCTAACAGAGTGGATCCTTTCTTTTTACAGAGCAGCTTTGAAATTCTATTTCTGTGGATTCTGCAAATTGATATTTGGGTTGATTTAACGACATCGTTGGAAAAGGGAATATCTTCATACAAAATCTAGACAGAAGTATTCTCACAAACTTCTTTGTGATGTGTGTCCTCAACTAACAGAGTTGAACCTTTCTTTTGATGCAGCAGTTTGGAAACACCCTTTTGGTAGAAACTGTAAGTGGATATTTGGATAGCTCTAACGATTTCGTTGGAAACGGGAATATCATCATCTAAAATCTAGACAGAAGCACTATTAGAAACTACTTGGTGATATCTGCATTCAAGTCACAGAGTTGAACATTCCCTTACTTCGAGCACGTTTGAAACACTCTTTTGGAAGTATCTGGAAGTGGACATTTGGAGCGCTTTGATGCCTTTGGTGAAAAGGAAACGTCTTCCAATAAAAGCCAGACAGAAGCATTCTCAGAAACTTGTTCGTGATGTGTGTACTCAACTAAAAGAGTTGAACCTTTCTATTGATAGAGCAGTTTTGAAACACTCTTTTTGTGGATTCTGCAAGTGGATATTTGGATTGCTTTGAGGATTTCTTTGGAAGCGGGAATTCGTATAAACACTAGACAGCAGCATTCCCAGAAATTTCTTTCGGATATTTCCATTCAACTCATAGAGATGAACATGGCCTTTCATAGAGCAGGTTTGAAACACTCTTTTTGTAGTTTGTGGAAGTGGACATTTCGATCGCCTTGACGCCTACGGTGAAAAAGGAAATATCTTCCCATAAAAAATAGACAGAAGCATTCTCAGAAACTTGTTGGTGATATGTGTCCTCAACTAACAGAGTTGAACTTTGCCATTGATAGAGAGCAGTTTTGAAACACTCTTTTTGTGGAATCTGCAAGTGGATATTTGGATAGCTTGGAGGATTTCGTTGGAAGCGGGAATTCAAATAAAAGGTAGACAGCAGCATTCTCAGAAATTTCTTTCTGATGTCTGCATTCAACTCATAGAGTTGAAGATTCCCTTTCATAGAGCAGGTTTGAAACACTCTTTCTGGAGTATCTGGATGTGGACATTTGGAGCGCTTTGATGCCTACGATGAAAAAGTAAATATCTTCCCAGAAAAACGAGACAGAAGGATTCTGAGAAACAAGTTTGTGATGTGTGTACTCAGATAACAGAGTGGAACCTCTCTTTTGATGCAGCAGTTTGGAAACACTCTTTTTGCAGAAACTGTAAGTGGATATTTGGATAGCTCTAATGATTTCGTTGGAAACGGGAATATCATCATCTAAAATCTAGACAGAAGCACTCTCAGAAACTACTTTGTGATATCTGCATTCAAGTCACAGAGTTGAACATTCGCTTTCTTAGAGCACGTTTGAAACACTCTTTTTGTAGTGTCTGGAAGTGGACATTTGGAGCGCTTTGATGGCTTTGGTGAAAAAGGGAACGTCTTCCCATAAAAACTAGACAGAAGCATTCTCAGAAACTTGTTTGTGATGTGTGTACCCAGCCAAAGGAGTTGAACGTTTCTATTGATAGAGCAGTTTTGAAACACTCTTGTTGTGGAAAATGCAAGTGGATATTTGGATAGTTTGGAGGATTTCGTTGGAAGCGGGAATTCAAATAAAAGGTAGACAGCAGCATTCTCAGAAATTTCTTTCTGATGTCTGCATTCAACTCATAGAGTTGAAGATTCCCTTTCATAGAGTAGGTTTGAAACACTCGTTCTGGAGTATCTGGATGTGGACATTTGGAGAGCTTTGATGCCTACGGTGAAAAAGTAAATATCTTCCCATAAAAACGAGACAGAAAGGATTCTGAGAAACAAGTTTGTGATGTGTGTACTCAGCTAACAGAGTGGAACCTTTCTTTTTACAGAGCAGCTTTGAAACTCTATTTTTGTGGATTCTGCAAATGGATATTTAGATTGCTTTAACGATATCGTTGGAAAAGGGAATATCGTCATACAAAATCTAGACAGAGCATTCTCACAAACTTCTTTGTGATGTGTGTCCTCAACTAACAGAGTTGAACCTTTCTTTTGATGCAGCAATTTGGAAACACCCTTTTGGTAGAAACTGTAACTGGATATTTGCTTAGCTCTAACGATTCCGTTGGAAACGGGAATATCATCATCTAAAATCTAGACAGAAGCACTATTAGAAACTACTTGGTGATATCTGCATTCAAGTGACAGAGTTGAACATTCCCTTACTTTGAGCACGTTTGAAACACTCTTTTGGAAGAATCTGGAAGTGGACATTTGGAGCGCTTTGATGCCTTTGTTGAAAAGGAAACGTCTTCCAATAAAAGCCAGACAGAAGCATTCTCAGAAACTTGTTCGTGAAGTGTGTACTCAACTAAAAGAGTTGAACCTTTCTATTGATAGAGCAGTTTTGAAACACTCTTTTTGTGGATTCTGCAAGTGGATATTTGGATTGCTTTGAGGATTTCGTTGGAAGCGGGAATTCGTATAAACACTAGACAGCAGCATTCCCAGATATTTCTTTCGGATATTTCCATTCAACTCATAGAGATGAACATGGCCTTTCATAGAGCAGGTTTGAAACACTCTTTTTGTAGTTTGTGGCAGTGGACATTTCGATCTCCTTGACGCCTACGGTGAAAAAGGAAATATCTTCCCATAAAAAATAGACAGAAGCATTCTCAGAAACTTGTTGGTGATATGTGTCCTCAACTAACAGAGTTGAACTTTGCCATTGATAGAGAGCAGTTTTGAAACACTCTTTTTGTGGAATCTGCAAGTGGATATTTGGATAGCTTGGAGGATTTCGTTGGAAGCGGGAATTCAAATAAAAGGTAGACAGCAGCATTCTCAGAAATTTCTTTCTGATGTCTGCATTCAACTCATAGAGTTGAAGATTCCCTTTCATAGAGCAGGTTTGAAACACTCGTTCTGGAGTATCTGGATGTGGACATTTGGAGCGCTTTGATGCCTACGGTGCAAAAGTAAATATCTTCCCATAAAAACGAGACAGAAGGATTCTGAGAAACAAGTTTGTGATGTGTGTACTCAGCTAACAGAGTGGAACCTCTCTTTTGATGCAGCAGTTTGGAAACACTCTTTTTGTAGAAAGTGTAAGTGGATATTTGGATAGCTCTAATGATTTCGTTGGAAACGGGAATATCATCATCTAAAATCTAGACAGAAGCACTCTCAGAAACTACTTTGTGATATCTGCATTCAAGTCACAGAGTTGAACATTCGCTTTCTTAGAGCACGTTTGAAACACTCTTTTTGTAGTCTCTGGAAGTGGACATTTGGAGCGCTTTGATGCCTTTGGTGAAAAAGGGAATGTCTTCCCATAAAAACTAGACAGAAGCATTCTCAGAAACTTGTTTGTGATGTGTGTACCCAGCCAAAGGAGTTGAACATTTCTATTGATAGAGCAGTTTTGAAACACTCTTGTTGTGGAAAATGCAAGTGGATATTTTGATAGCTTGGAGGATTTCGTTGGAAGCGGGAATTCAAATAAAAGGTAGACAGCAGCATTCTCAGAAATTACTTTCTGATGTCTGCATTCAACTCATAGAGTTGAAGATTCCCTTTCATAGAGCAGGTTTGAAACACTCTTTCTGTAGTATCTGGATGTGGACTTTTGGAGCGCTTTGATACCTACGGTGAAAAAGTAAATATCTTCCCATAAAAAGTAGACAGAAGGATATTCAGAAACAAGTTTGTGATATGTGTACTCAGCTAACAGAGTGTATCCTTTCTTTTTACAGAGCAGCTTTGAGACTCTATTTCTGTGGATTCTGCAAATTGATATTTGGGTTGATTTAACGATATCGTTGGAAAAGGGAATATCTTCATACAAAATCTAGACAGATAAGCATTCTCACAAACTTCTTTGTGATGTGTGTCCTCAACTAACAGAGTTGAACCTTTCTTTTGATGCAGCAATTTGGAAGCACCCTTTTGGTAGAAACTGTAACTGGATATTTGGATAGCTCTAACGATTTCGTTGGAAACGGGAATATCATCATCTAAAATGTAGACAGAAGCACTATTAGAAACTACTTGGTGATATTTGCATTCAAGTCACAGAGTTGAACATTCCCTTACTTCGACCACGTTTGAAACACTCTTTTGGAAGAATCTGGAAGTGGACATTTGGAGCGCTTTGATGCCTTTGGTGAAAAGGAAACGTCTTCCAATAAAAGCCAGACAGAAGCATTCTCAGAAACTTGTTCGTGATGTGTGTACTCAACTAAAAGAGTTGAACCTTTCTATTGATAGAGCAGTTTTGAAACACTCTTTTTGTGGATTCTGCAAGTGGATATTTGGATTGCTTTGAGGATTTCGTTGGAAGCGGGAATTCGTATAAACACTAGACAGCAGCATTCCCAGAAATTTCTTTCGGATATTTCCATTCAACTCATAGAGATGAACATGGCCTTTCATAGAGCAGGTTTGAAACACTCTTTTTGTAGTTTGTGGAAGTGGACATTTCGATCGCGTTGACGCCTACGCTGAAAAAGGAAATATCTTCCCATAAAAAATAGACAGAAGCATTCTCAGAAACTTGTTGGTGATATGTGTCCTCAACTAACAGAGTTGAACTTTGCCATTGATAGAGAGCAGTTTTGAAACACTCTTTTTGTGGAATCTGCAAGTGGATATTTGGATAGCTTGGAGGATTTCGTTGGAAGCGGTAATTCAAATAAAAGGTAGACAGCAGCATTCTCAGAAATTTCTTTCTGATGTCTGCATTCAACTCATAGAGTTGAAGATTCCCTTTCATAGAGCAGGTTTGAAACACTCTTTCTGGAGTATCTGGATGTGGACATTTGAAGCGCTTTGATGCCTACGGTGAGAAAGTAAATATCTTCCCATAAAAACGAGACAGAAGGATTCTGAGAAGCAAGTTTGTGATGTGTGTACTCAGCTAACAGAGTGGAACCTCTCTTTTGATGCAGCAGTTTGGAAACACTCTTTTTGTAGAAACTGTAAGTGGATATTTGGATAGCTCTAACGATTTCGTTGGAAACGGGAATATCATCATCTAAAATCTAGACAGAAGCCCTCTCAGAAACTACTTTGTGATATCTGCATTCAAGTCACAGAGTTGAACATTCGCTTTCTTAGAGCACGTTTGAAACACTCTTTTTGTAGTGTCTGGAAGTGGACATTTGGAGCGCTTTGATTCCTTTGGTGAAAAAGGGAACGTCTTCCCATAAAAACTAGACAGAAGCTTTCTCAGAAACTTGTTTGTGATGTGTGTACCCAGCGAAAGGATTTGAACATTTCTATTGATAGAGCAGTTTTGAAACACTCTTTTTGTGGAATCTGCAAGTGGATATTTGGATAGCTTGGAGGTTTTCGTTGGAAGCGGGAATTCAAATAAAAGGTAGACAGCAGCATTCTCAGAAATTTCTTTCTGATGTCTGCATTCAACTCATAGTAGTTGAAGATTCCCTTTCATAGAGCAGGTTTGAAACACTCTTTCTGGAGTATCTGGATGTGGACATTTGGAGCGCTTTGATGCCTACGGTGAAAAAGTAAATATCTTCCCATAAAAACGACACAGAAGGATTCTCAGAAACAAGTTTGTGATGTGTGTACTCAGCTAACAGAGTGGAACCTCTCTTTTGATGCAGCAGTTTGGAAACACTCTTTTTGTAGAAACTGTAAGTGGATATTTGGATAGCTCTAATGATTTCGTTGGAAACGGGAATATCATCATCTAAAATCTAGACAGAAGCAGTCTCAGAAACTACTTTGTGATATCTGCATTCCAGTCACAGAGTTGAAAACTCCCTTACTTAGAGCAGGTTTGAAACACACTTTTTGTAGAATCTGGAAGTGGATATTTGGAGTGCTTTGATGCCTTTGGTGAAAAAGGAAATGTCTTCCCTTAAAAAGTAGACAGAAGCTTTCTCAGAAACTTGTATGTGATGTGTGTACTCAACTAAAAGAGTTGAACCTTTCTATTGATAGAGCAGTTTTGAAACACTCTTTTTGTGGAATCTGCAAGTGGATATTTGGATTGCTTTGAGGACTTCGTTGGAAGCGGGAATTCATAAAAAAGTAGACAGCAGCATTCTCAGAAATTTCTTTCTGATGTCTGCATTCAACTCATAGAGTTGAAGATTCCCTTTCATAGAGCAGGTTTGAAACAGTCTTTCTGGTGTATCTGGATGTGGACATTTGGAGCGCTTTGATGCCTACGGTGAAAAAGTAAATATCTTCCCATAAAAACGAGACAGAAGGATTCTGAGAAACAAGTTTGTGATGTGTGTACTCAGCTAACAGAGTGGAACCTTTCTTTTTACAGAGCAGCTTTGAAACTCTATTTTTGTGGATTCTACAAATTGATATTTAGATTGCTTTAACGATATCGTTGGAAAAGGGAATATGGTCATACAAAATCTAGACAGAAGCATTCTCACAAACTTCTTTGTGATGTGTGTCCTCAACTAACAGAGTTGAACCTTTCTTTTGATGCAGCAGTTTGGAAACACTCTTTTTGTAGAAACTGTAAGTGGATATTTGGATAGCTCTAACGATTTCGCTGGAAACGGGAATATCGTCATCTAAAATCTAGACAGAAGCACTATTAGAAACTACTTGGTGATATCTGCATTCAAGTCAAAGAGTTGAACATTCCCTTACTTTGAGCACGTTTGAAACACTCTTTTGGAAGAATCTGGAAGTGGACATTTGGAGCGCTTTGATGCCTTTGGTGAAAAGGAAACGTCTTCCAATAAAAGCCAGACAGAAGCATTCTCAGAAACTTGTTTGTGATGTGTGTACTCAACTAAAAGAGTTGAACCTTTCTATTGATAGAGCAGTTTTGAAACACTCTTTTTGTGGATTCTGCAAGTGGATATTTGGATTGCTTTGAGGATTTCGTTGGAAGCGGGAATTCGTATAACAACTAGACAGCAGCATTCCCAGAAATTTCTTTCGGATATTTCCATTCAACTCATAGAGATGAACATGGCCTTTCATAGAGCAGGTTTGAAACACTCTTTTTGTAGTTTGTGGAAGTGGACATTTCGATCGCCTTGACGCCTACGGTGAAAAAGGAAATATCTTCCCATAAAAAATAGACAGAAGCATTTTCAGAAACTCGTTGGTGATATGTGTCCTCAACTAACAGAGTTGAACTTTGCCATTGATAGAGAGCAGTTTTGAAACACTCTTTTTGTGGAATCTGCAAGTGGATATTTTGATAGCTTGGAGGATTTCGTTGGAAGCGGAAATTCAAATAAAAGGTAGACAGCCAGCATTCTCAGAAATTTCTTTCTGATGTCTGCATTCAACTCATAGAGTTGAACATTCCCTTTCATAGAGCAGGTTTGAAATACTCTTTCTGTGGTATCTGGATGTGGACATTTGGAGCGCTTTGAGGCCTACGGTGAAAAAGTAAATATCTTCCCATAAAAACGAGACAGAGGATTCTGAGAAACAAGTTTGTGATGTGTGTACTCAGCTAACAGAGTGGAACCTCTCTTTTGATGCAGCAGTTTGGAAACACTCTTTTTGTAGAAACTGTAAGTAGATATTTGGATAGCTCTAACGATTTCGTTGGAAACGGGAATATCATCATCTAAAATCTAGACAGAAGCCCTCTCAGAAACTACTTTGTGATATCTGCATTCAACTCACAGAGTTGAACATTCGGTTTCTTAGAGCACGTTTGAAACACTCTTTTTGTAGTGTCTGGAAGTCGACATTTGGAGCGCTTTGATGCCTTTGGTGAAAAAGGGAATGTCTTCCCATAAAAACTAGACAGAAGCATTCTCAGAAACTTGTTTGTGATGTGTGTACCCAGAAAAAAGGAGTTGAACATTTCTATTGATAGAGCAGTTTTGAAACACTCTTTTTGTGGAAAATGCAGGTGGATATTTGGATAGCTTGGAGGATTTCGTTGGAAGCGGGAATTCAAATAAAAGGTAGACAGCAGCATTCTCAGAAATTTCTTTCTGATGTCTGCATTCAACTCATAGAGTTGAAGATTCCCTTTCATAGAGCAGGTTTGAAAAACTCTTTCTGGAGTATCTGGATGTGGACATTTGGAGCGCTTTGATGCCTACGGTGAAAAAGTAAATATCTTCCCATAAAAACGAGACAGAAGGATTCTCAGAAACAAGTTTGTGATGTGTGTACTCAGCTAACTGAGTGGAACCTTTCTTTTTACAGAGCAGCTTTGAAACTCTATTTTTGTGGATTCTGCAAATGGATATTTAGATTGCTTTAACGATATCGTTGGAAAAGGGAATATCGTCATACAAAATCTGGACAGAAGCATTCTCACAAACTTCTTTGTGATGTGTGTCCTCAACTATCAGAGTTGAACCTTTCTTTTGATGCAGCGGTTTGGAAACACTCTTTTTGTAGAAACTGTAAGTGGATATTTGGATAGCTCTAATGATTTCGTTGGAAACGGGAATATCATCATCTAAAATCTAGACAGAAGCACTATTAGAAACTACTTGGTGATACCTGCATTCAAGTCACAGAGTTGAACATTCCCTTACTTCGACCACGTTTGAAACACTCTTTTGGAAGAATCTGGAAGTGGACATTTGGAGCGCTTTGATGCCTTTGGTGAAAAGGAAACGTCTTCCAATAAAAGCCAGACAGAAGCATTCTCAGAAACTTGTTTGTGATGTGTGTACTCAATTAAAAGAGTTGAACCTTTCTATTAATAGTGTAGTTTTGAAACACTCTTTTTGTGGATTCTGCAAGTGGATATTTGGATTGCTTTGAGGATTTCGTTGGAAGCGGGAATTCGTATAAAAACTAGACAGCAGCATTCCCAGAAATTTCTTTCGGATATTTCCATTCAACTCATAGAGATGAACATGGCCTTTCATAGAGCAGGTTTGAAACACTCTTTTTGTAGTTTGTGGAAGTGGACATTTCGATCGCCTTGACGCCTACGCTGAAAAAGGAAATATCTTCCCATAAAAAATAGACAGAAGCATTCTCAGAAACTTGTTGGTGATATGTGTCCTCAACTAACAGAGTTGAACTTTGCCATTGATAGAGAGCAGTTTTGAAACACTCTTTTTGTGGAATCTGCGAGTGGATATTTGGATAGTTTGGAGGATTTCGTTGGAAGCGGGAATTCAAATAAAAGGTAGACAGCAGCATTCTCAGAAATTTCTTTCTGATGTTTGCATTCAACTCATAGAGTTGAACATTCCCTTTAATAGAGCAGGTTTGAAACACTCTTTCTGTACTATCTGGATGTGGACATTTGGAGCGCTTTGACGCCTACGGTGAAAAAGGAAATGTCTTCCCATAAAAAATTGAAGAAGGATTCTGAGAAACAAGTTTGTGATGTGTGTACTCAGCTAAGAGTGTGGAACCTCTCTTTTGATGCAGCAGTTTGGAAACACTCTTTTTGTAGAAACTATAAGTGGATATTTGGATAGCTGTAATGATTTCGTTGGAAACGGGAATATCATCATCTAAAATCTAGACAGAAGCCCTCTCAGAAACTACTTTGTGATATCTGCATTCAAGTCACAGAGTTGAACATTCGCTTTCTTAGAGCACGTTTGAAACACTCTTTTTGTAGTGTCTGGAAGTGGACATTTGGAGCGCTTTGATGCCTTTGGTGAAAAAGTGAATGTCTTCCCATAAAAACTAGACAGAAGCATTCTCAGAAACTTGTTTGTGATGTGTGTACCCAGCCAAAGGAGTTGAACATTTCTATTGATAGAGCAGTTTTGAAACACTCTTTTTGTGGAAAATGCAAGTGGATATTTGGATAGCTTGGAGGATATCGTTGGAAGCGGGAATTCAAATAAAAGGTAGACAGCAGCATTCTCAGAAATTTCTTTCTGATGTCTGCATTCAACTCGTAGAGTTGAAGATTCCCTTTCATAGAGCAGGTTTGAAACACTCTTTCTGGAGTATCTGGATGTGGACATTTGGAGCGCTTTGATGCCTACGGTGAAAAAGTAAATATCTTCCCATAAAAACGAGACAGAAGGATTCTCAGAAACAAGTTTTTGATGTGTGTACTCAGCCAAAAGAGTGGAACCTTTCTTTTTACAGAGCAGCTTTGAAACTGTATTTTTGTGGATTCTGCAAATTTATATTTAGATTGTTTTAACGATATCGTTGGAAAAGGGAATATCGTCATACAAAATCTAGACAGAAGCATTCTCACAAACTTCTTTGTGATGTGGGTCCTCAACTAACAGAGTTGAACCTTTCTTTTGATGCAGCAATTTGGAAACACCCTTTTGGTAGAAACTGTAACTGGATATTTGGATAGCTCTAACGATTTCGTTGGAAACGGGAATATGATCATCTAAAATCTAGACAGAAAGCACTATTAGAAACTACTTGGTGATATCTGCATTCAAGTCACAGAGTTGAACATTCCCTTACTTTGAGCACGTTTGAAACACTCTTTTGGAAGAATCTGGAAGTGGACATTTGGAGCGCTTTGATGCCTTTGGTGAAAAGGAAACGTCTTCCAATAAAAGCCAGACAGAAGCATTCTCAGAAACTTGTTTGTGATGTGTGTACTCAACTAAAAGAGTTGAACCTTTCTATTGATAGAGCAGTTTTGAAACACTCTTTTTGTGGATTCTGCAAGTGGATATTTGGATTGCTTTGAGGATTTCGTTGGAAGCGGGAATTCGTATAAAAACTAGACAGCAGCATTCCCAGAAATTTCTTTCGGATATTTCCATTCGACTCATAGAGATGAACATGGCCTTTCATAGAGCAGGTTTGAAACACTCTTTTTGTAGTTTGTGGAAGTGGACATTTTGATCGCCTTGACGCCTACGGTGAAAAAGGAAATATCTTCCCATAAAAAATAGACAGAAGCATTCTCAGAAACTTGTTGGTGATATGTGTCCTCAACTAACAGAGTTGAACTTTGCCATTGATAGAGAGCAGTTTTAAAACACTCTTTGTGTGGAATCTGCAAGTGGATATTTGGATAGCTTGGAGGATTTCGTTGGAAGCGGGAATTCAAATAAAAGGTAGACAGCAGCATTCTCAGAAATATCTTTCTGATGTCTGCATTCAACTCATAGAGTTGAAGATTCCCTTTCATAGAGCAGGTTTGAAACACTCTTTCTGGAGTATCTGGATGTGGACATTTGGAGCGCTTTGATGCCTACGGTGAAAAAGTAAATATCTTCCCATAAAAAGGAGACAGAAGGATTCTGAGAAACAAGTTTGTGATGTGTGTACTCAGCTAACAGAGTGGAACCTCTCTTTTGATGCAGCAGTTTGGAAACACTCTTTTTGTAGAAACTGTAAGTGGATATTTGGATAGCTCTAATCATTTCGTTGGAAACGGGAATATCATCATCTAAAATCTAGACAGAAGCACTCTCAGAAACTACTTTGTGATATGTGCATTCAAGTCACAGAGTTGAACATTCGCTTTCTTAGAGCACGTTGGAAACACTCTTTTTGTAGTGTCTGGAAGTGGACATTTGGAGCGCTTTGATGCCTTTGGTGAAAAAGGGAACGTCTTCCCATAAAAACTAGACAGAAGCATTCTCAGAAACTTGTTTGTGATGTGTGTACCCAGCCAAAGGAGTTGAACATTTCTATTGATAGAGCAGTTTTGAAACACTCGTTTTGTGGAAAATGCAGGTGGATATTTGGATAGCTTGGAGGATTTCGTTGGAAGCGGGAATTCAAATAAAAGGTAGACAGCAGCATTCTCAGAAATTACTTTCTGATGTCTGCATTCAACTCATAGAGTTGAAGATTCCCTTTCATAGAGCAGGTTTGAAACACTCTTTCTGTAGTATCTGGATGTGGACATTTGGAGCGCTTTGATATCTACGGTGAAAAAGTAAATATCTTCCCATAAAAACTAGACAGAAGGATTCTCAGAAACAAGTTTGTGATGTGTGTACTCAGCTAACAGAGTGGAACCTTTCTTTTTACAGAGCAGCTTTCAAACTCTATTTTTGTGGATTCTGCAAATTGATATTTAGATTGCTTTAACGATATCGTTGGAAAAGGGAATATTGTCATACAAAATCTGGACAGAAGCTTTCTCAGAAACTTCGTTGTGATGTGTGTCCTCAAGTAACAGAGTTGAACCTTTCTTTAGATGCAGCAGTTTGGAAACACTCTTTTTGTAGAAACTGTAAGTGGATATTTGGGTAGGTCTAACGATATCGTTGGAAACGGGAATATCTTCATCTAAAGTATACACAGAAGCACTATTAGAAACTACTTGGTGATATCTGCATTAAAGTCAAAGAGTTGAACATTCCCTTACTTTGAGCACGTTTGAAACACTCTTTTGGAAGAATCTGGAAGTGGACATTTGGAGCGCTTTGATGCCTTTGGTGAAAAGGAAACGTCTTCCAATAAAAGCCAGACAGAAGCATTCTCAGAAACTTGTTTGTGATGTGTGTACTCAACTAAAAGAGTTGAACCTTTCTATTGATAGAGCAGTTTTGAAACACTCTTTTTGTGGATTCTGCAAGTGGATATTTGGATTGCTTTGAGGATTTCGTTGGAAGCGGGAATTCGTATAAAAACTAGACAGCAGCATTCCCAGAAATTTCTTTCGGATATTTCCATTCGACTCATAGAAATGAACATGGCCTTTCATAGAGCAAGTTTGAAACACTCTTTTTGTAGTTTGTGGAAGTGGACATTTCGATCGCCTTGACGCCTACGGTGAAAAAGGAAATATCTTCCCATAAAAAATAGACAGAAGCATTCTCAGAAACTTGTTGGTGATATGTGTCCTCAACTAACAGAGTTGAACTTTGCCATTGATAGAGAGCAGTTTTGAAACACTCTTTTTGTGGAATCTGCAAGTGGATATTTGGATAGCTTGGAGGATTTCGTTGGAAGCGGGAATTCAAATAAAAGGTAGACAGCAGCATTCTGAGAAATTTCTTTCTGATGTCTGCATTCAACTCATAGAGTTGAAGATTCCCTTTCATAGAGCAGGTTTGAAACACTCTTTCTGTAGTATCTGGATGTGGACATTTGGAGCGCTTTGATGCCTACGGTGAAAAAGTATAATCTTCCCATAAAAACGAGACAGAAGGATTCTCAGAAACAAGTTTGTGATGTGTGTACTCAGCTAACAGAGTGGAACCTCTCTTTTGATGCAGCAGTTTGGAAACACTCTTTTTGTAGAAACTGTAAGTGGATATTTGGATAGCTCTAATGATTTCGTTGGAAACGGGAATATCATCTAAAATCGAGACAGAAGCAGTCTCAGAAACTACTTTGTGATATCTGCATTCCAGTCACATAGTTGAAAACTCTCTTACTTAGAGCAGGTTTGAAACACTCTTTTTGTAGAATCTGGAAGTGGACATTTGGAGCGCTTTGATGCCTTTGGTGAAAAAGGAAATGTCTTCCCTTAAAAAGTAGACAGAAGCATTCTCAGAAACTTGTTTGTGATGTGTGCACCCAGCTAAAGGAGTTGAACATTTCTATTGATAGAGCAGTTTTGAAGCACTCTTTTTGTGGAAAATGCAAGTGGATATTTGGATAGCTTGGAGGATTTCGTTGGAAGCGGGAGTTCAAATAAAAGGTAGACAGCAGCATTCTCAGAAATTTCTTTCTGATGTCTGCATTCAACTCATAGAGTTGAAGATTCCCTTTCATAGAGCAGGTTTGAAACACTCTTTCTGGAGTATCTGTATGTGGACATTTGGAGCGCTTTGATGCCTACGGTGAAAAAGTAAATATCTTCCCATAAAAACGAGACAGAAGGATTCTCAGAAACAAGTTTGTGATGTGTGTACTCAGCTAACAGAGTGGAACCTTTCTTTTTACAGAGCAGCTTTGAAACTCTATTGTTGTGGATTCTGCAAATTGATATTTAGATTGCTTTAACGATATCGTTGGAAAAGGGAATACCGTCATACAAAATCTAGACAGAAGCATTCTCACAAACTTCTTTGTGATGTGTGTCCTCAACTAACAGAGTTGAACCTTTCTTTTGATGCAGCAATTTGGAAGCACCCTTTTGATAGAAACTGTAACTGGATATTTGGATAGCTCTAACGATTTCGTTGGAAACGGGAATATCATCATCTAAAATCTAGACAGAAGCACTATTAGAAACTACTTGGTGATATCTGCATTCAAGTCACAGAGTTGAACATTCCCTTACTTCGAGCACGTTTGAAACACTCTTTTGGAAGAATCTGGAAGTGGACATTTGGAGCGCTTTGATGCCTTTGGTGAAAAGGAAACGTCTTCCAATAAAAGCCAGACAGAAGCATTCTCAGAAACTTGTTTGTGATGTGTGTACTCAACTAAAAGAGTTGAACCTTTCTATTGATAGAGCAGTTTTGAAACACTCTTTTTGTGGATTCTGCAAGTGGATATTTGGATTGCGTTGAGGATTTCGTTGGAAGCGGGAATTCGTATAAAAACTAGACAGCAGCATTCCCAGAAATTTCTTTCGGATATTTCCATTCAACTCATAGAGATGAACATGGCCTTTCATAGAGCAGGTTTGAAACACTCTTTTTGTAGTTTGTGGAAGTGGACATTTCGATCGCCTTGACGCCTACGCTGAAAAAGGAAATATCTTCCCATAAAAAATAGACAGAAGCATTCTCAGAAACTTGTTGGTGATATGTGTCCTCAACTAACAGAGTTGAACTTTGCCATTGATAGAGAGCAGTTTTGAAACACTCTTTTTGTGGAATCTGCAAGTGGATATTTGGATAGCTTGGAGGATTTCGTTGGAAGCGGGAATTCAAATAAAAGATAGACAGCAGCATTCTCAGAAATTTCTTTCTGATGTCTGCATTCAACTCATAGAGTTGAAGATTCCCTTTCATAGAGCAGGTTTGAAACACTCTTTCTGGAGTATCTGGATGTGGACATTTGGAGCGCTTTGATGCCTACGGTGGAAAAGTAAATATCTTCCCATAAAAACGAGACAGAAGGATTCTGAGAAACAAGTTTGTGATGTGTGTACTCGGCTAACAGAGTGGAACCTCTCTTTTGATGCAGCAGTTTGGAAACACTCTTTTTGTAGAAACTGTAAGTGGATATTTGGATAGCTCTAATGATTTCTTTGGAAACGGGAATATCATCATCTAAAATCTAGACAGAAGCACTCTCAGAAACTACTTTGTGATATCTGCATTCAAGTCACAGAGTTGAACATTCGCTTTCTTAGAGCACGTTTGAAACACTCTTTTTGTAGTGTCTGGAAGTGGACATTTGGAGCGCTTTGATGCCTTTGGTGAAAAAGGGAACGTCTTCCCATAAAAACTAGACAGAAGCATTCTCAGAAACTTGTTTGTGATGTGTGTACCCAGCCAAAGGAGTTGAACATTTCTATTGATAGAGCAGTTTTGGAACACTCTTGTTGTGGAAAATGCAGGTGGATATTTGGATAGCTTGGAGGATTTCGTTGGAAGCGGGAATTCAAATAAAAGGTAGACAGCAGCATTCTCAGAAATTTCTTTCTGATGTCTGCATTCAACTCATAGAGTTGAAGATTCCCTTTCATAGAGCAGGTTTGAAACACTCGTTCTGGGGTATCTGGATGTGGACATTTGGAGCGCTTTGATGCCTACGGTGGAAAAGTAAATATCTTCCCATAAAAACGAGACAGAAGGATTCTCAGAAACAAGTTTGTGATGTGTGTACTCAGCTAACAGAGTGGAACCTTTATTTTTACAGAGCAGCTTTGAAACTCTATTTTTGTGGATTCTGCAAATTGATATTTAGATTGCTTTAACGATATTGTTGGAAAAGGGAATATCGTCATACAAAATCTAGACAGAAGCATTCTCACAAACTTCTTTGTGATGTGTGTCCTCAACTAACAGAGTTGAACCTTTCTTTTGATGCAGCAATTTGGAAACACCCTTTTGGTAGAAACTGTAACTGGATATTTGCTTAGCTCTAACGATTTCGTTGGAAACGGGAATATCATCATCTGAAATCTAGACAGAAGCACTATTAGAAACTACTTGGTGATATCTGCATTCAAGTCACAGAGTTGAACATTCCCTTACTTTGAGCACGTTTGAAACACTCTTTTGGAAGAATCTGGAAGTGGACATTTGGAGCGCTTTGATGCCTTTGGTGAAAAGGAAACGTCTTCCAATAAAAGCCAGACAGAAGCATTCTCAGAAACTTGTTCGTGATGTGTGTACTCAACTAAAAGAGTTGAACCTTTCTATTGATAGAGCAGTTTTGAAACACTCTTTTTGTGGATTCTGCAAGTGGATATTTGGATTGCTTTGAGGATTTCGTTGGAAGCGGGAATTCGTATAAACACTAGACAACAGCATTCCCAGAAATTTCTTTCGGATATTTCCATTCAACTCATAGAGATGAACATGGCCTTTCATAGAGCAGGTTTGAAACACTCTTTTTGTAGTTTGTGGAAGTGGACATTTCGATCGCCTTGACGCCTACGGTGAAAAAGGAAATATCTTCCCATAAAAAATAGACAGAAGCATTCTCAGAAACTTGTTGGTGATATGTGTCCTCAACTAACAGAGTTGAACTTTGCCATTGATAGAGAGCAGTTTTGAAACACTCTTTTTGTGGAATCTGCAAGTGGATATTTGGATAGCTTGGAGGATTTCGTAGGAAGCGGGAATTCAAATAAAAGGTAGACAGCAGCATTCTCAGAAATTTCTTTCTGATGTCTGCATTCAACTCATAGAGTTGAAGATTTCCTTTCATAGAGCAGGTTTGAAACACTCTTTCTGGAGTATCTGGATGTGGACATTTGGAGCGCTTTGATGCCTACGGTGAAAAAGTAAATATCTTCCCATAAAAACGAGACAGAAGGATTCTCAGAAACAAGTTTGTGATGTGTGTACTCAGCTAACAGAGTGGAACCTCTCTTTTGATGCAGCAGTTTGGAAACACTCTTTTTGTAAAAACTGTAAGTGGATATTTGGATAGCTCTAATGATTTCGTTGGAAACGGGAATATCATCATCTAAAATCTAGACAGAAGCCCTCTCAGAAACTACTTTGTGATATCTGCATTCAAGTCACAGAGTTGAACATTCGCTTTCTTAGAGCACGTTTGAAACACTCTTTTTGTAGTGTCTGGAAGTGGACATTTGGAGCGCTTTGATGTCTTTGGTGAAAAAGGGAATGTCTTCCCATAAAAACTAGACAGAAGCATTCTCAGAAACTTGTTTGTGATGTGTGTACCCAGCCAAAGGAGTTGAACATTTCTATTGATAGAGCAGTTTTGAAACACTCTTGTTGTGGAAAATGCAGGTGGATATTTGAATAGCTTGGAGGATTTCGTTGGAAGCGGGAATTCAAATAAAAGGTAGACAGCAGCATTCTCAGAAATTTCTTTCTGATGTCTGCATTCAACTCATAGAGTTGAAGATTCCCTTTCATAGAGCAGGTTTGAAACACTCTTTCTGGAGTATCTGGATGTGGACATTTCGAGCGCTTTGATGCCTACGGTGAAAAAGTAAATATCTTCCCATAAAAACGAGACAGAGAAGGATTCTGAGAAACAAGTTTGTGATGTGTGTACTCAGCTAACAGAGTGGAACCTTTCTTTTTACAGAGCAGCTTTGAAACTCTATTTTTGTGGATTCTGCAAATGGATATTTAGATTGCTTTAACGATATCGTTGGAAAAGGGAATATCGTCATACAAAATCTAGACAGAAGCTTTCTCAGAAACTTCTTTGTGATGTGTGTCCTCAACTCACAGATTTGAACCTTTCTTTAGATGCAGCACTTTGGAAACACTCTTTTTGTAGAAACTGTAAGTGGATATTTGGGTAGGTCTAACGATATCGTTGGAAACGGGAATATCTTCATCTGAAGTATACACAGAAGCACTATTAGAAACTACTTGGTGATATCT
Source organism: Homo sapiens (assembly GCF_000001405.40). NCBI lineage: Eukaryota > Metazoa > Chordata > Mammalia > Primates > Hominidae > Homo > Homo sapiens. The sequence continues at coordinate 12,450,822 of NC_000021.9, forward strand.
GCATTCAAGTCACAGAGTTGAACATTCCCTTACTTTGAGCACGTTTCAAACACTCTTTTGGAAGAATCTGGAAGTGGACATTTGGAGCGCTTTGATGCCTTTGGTGAAAAGGAAACGTCTTCCCATAAAAGCCAGACAGAAGCATTCTCAGAAACTTGTTTGTGATGTGTGTACTCAACTAAAAGAGTTGAACCTTTCTATTGATAGAGCAGTTTTGAAACACTCTTTTTGTGGATTCTGCAAGTGGATATTTGGATTGCTTTGAGGATTTCGTTGGAAGCGGGAATTCGTATAAAAACTAGACAGCAGCATTCCCAGAAATTTCTTTCGGATATTTCCATTCGACTCACAGAGATGAACATGGCCTTTCATAGAGCAGGTTTGAAACACTCTTTTTGTAGTTTGTGGAAGTGGACATTTCGATCGCCTTGACGCCTACGGTGAAAAAGGAAATATCTTCCCATAAAAAATAGACAGAAGCATTCTCAGAAACTTGTTGGTGATATGTGTCCTCAACTAACAGAGTTGAACTTTGCCATTGATAGAGAGCAGTTTTGAAACACTCTTTTTGTGGAATCTGCAAGTGGATATTTGGATAGCTTGGAGGATTTCGTTGGAAGCGGGAATTCAAATAAAAGGTAGACAGCAGGATTCTGAGAAACAAATTTGTGATGTGTGTACTCAGCTAACAGAGTGGAACCTCTCTTTTGATGCAGCAGTTTGGAAACACTCTTTTTGTAGAAACTGTAAGTGGATATTTGGAAGCCCTAATGATTTTGTTGGAAACGGGATTATCATCATCTAAAATCTAGACAGAAGCCCTCTCAGAAACTACTTTGTGATATCTGCATTCAAGTCACAGAGTTGAACATTCACTTTCTTAGAGCACGTTGGAAACACTCTTTTTGTAGTGTCTGGAAGTGGACATTTGGAGTGCTTTGATGCCTTTGGTGAAAAAGGGAATGTCTTCCCATAAAAACTAGACAGAAGCATTCTCAGAAACTTGTTTGTGATGTGTGTACCCAGACAAAGGAGTTGAACATTTCTATTGATAGAGCAGTTTTGAAACACTCTTGTTGTGGAAAATGCAGGTGGATATTTGGATAGCTTGGAGGATTTCGTTGGAAGCGGGAATTCAAATAAAAGGTAGACAGCAGTATTCTCAGAAATTTCTTTCTGATGTCTGCATTCAACTCATAGAGTTGAAGATTCCCTTTCATAGAGCAGGTTTGAAACACTCTTTCTGGAGTATCTGGATGTGGACATTTGGAGCGCTTTGATGCCTACGGTGAAAAAGTAAATATCTTCCCATAAAAACGAGACAGAAGGATTCTGAGAGACAAGTTTGTGATGTGTGTACTCAGCTAACAGAGTGGAACCTTTCTTTTTACAGAGCAGCTTTGAAACTCTATTTTTGTGGATTCTGCAAATGGATATTTAGATTGCTTTAACGATATCGTTGGAAAAGGGAATATCGTCATACAAAAACGGACAGAAGCATTCTCACAAACTTCTTTGTGACGTGTGTCCTCAACTAACAGAGTTGAACCTTTCTTTTGATGCAGCAGTTTGGAAACACTGTTTTTGTAGCAACTGTAAGTGGATATTTGGATAGCTCTAACGATTTCGTTGGAAACGGGAATATCATCATCTAAATTCTAGACAGAAGCACTATTAGAAACTACTTGGTGATATCTGCATTCAAGTCACAGAGTTGAACATTCCCTTACTTTGAGCACGTTTCAAACACTCTTTTAGAAGAATCTGGAAGTGGACATTTGGAGCGCTTTGATGCCTTTGGTGAAAAGGAAACGTCTTCCAATAAAAGCCAGACAGAAGCATTCTCAGAAACTTGTTTGTGATGTGTGTACTCAACTAAAAGAGTTGAACCTTTCTATTGATAGAGCAGTTTTGAAACACTCTTTTTGTGGATTCTGCAAGTGGATATTTGGATTGCTTTGAGGATTTCGTTGGAAGCGGGAATTCGTATAAAAACTAGACAGCAGCATTCCCAGAAATTTCTTTCGGATATTTCCATTCGACTCATAGAGATGAACATGGCCTTTCATAGAGCAGGTTTGAAACACTCTTTTTGTAGTTTGTGGAAGTGGACATTTCGATCGCCTTGACGCCTACGGTGAAAAAGGAAATGTCTTCCCATAAAAAATTGAAGAAGCATTCTCAGAAACTTGTTGGTGATATGTGTCCTCAACTAACAGAGTTGAACTTTGCCATTGATAGAGAGCAGTTTTGAAACACTCTTTTTGTGGAATCTGCAAGTGGATATTTGGATAGCTTGGAGGATTTCGTTGGAAGCGGGAATTCAAATAAAAGGTAGACAGCAGCATTCTCAGAAATTTCTTTCTGATGTCTGCATTCAACTCATAGAGTTGAAGATTCCCTTTCATAGAGCAGGTTTGAAACACTCTTTCTGGAGTTTCTGGATGTGGACATTTGGAGCGCTTTGATGCCTACGGTGAAAAAGTAAATATCTTCCCAGAAAAACGAGACAGAGAAGGATTCTGAGAAACAAGTTTGTGATGTGTGTACTCAGCTAACAGAGTGGAACCTTTCTTTTTACAGAGCAGCTTTGAAACTCTATTTTTGTGGATTCTGCAAATGGATATTTAGATTGCTTTAATGATATCGCTGGAAAAGGGAATATGGTCATACAAAATCTAGACAGAAGCATTCTCACAAACTTCTTTGTGATGTGTGTCCTCAACTAACAGAGTTGAACCTTTCTTTTGATGCAGCAGTTTGGAAACACTGTTTTTGTAGCAACTGTAAGTGGATATTTGGATAGCTCTAACGATTTCGTTGGAAACGGGAATATCATCATCTAAAATCTAGACAGAAGCACTATTAGAAACTACTTGGTGATATCTGCATTCAAGTCACAGAGTTGAACATTCCCTTACTTTGAGCACGTTTCAAACACTCTTTTGGAAGAATCTGGAAGTGGACATTTGGAGCGCTTTGATGCCTTTGGTGAAAAGGAAACGTCTTCCAAAAAAAGCCAGACAGAAGCATTCTCAGAAACTTGTTCGTGATGTGTGTACTCAACTAAAAGAGTTGAACCTTTCTATTGATAGTGCAGTTTTGAAACACTCTTTTTGTGAATTCTGCAAGTGGATATTTGGATTGCTTTGAGGATTTCGTTGGAAGCGGGAATTCGTATAAACACTAGACAGCAGCATTCCCAGAAATTTCTTTCGGATATTTCCATTCGACTCATAGAGATGAACATGGCCTTTCATAGAGCAGGTTTGAAACACTCTTTTTGTAGTTTGTGGAAGTGGACATTTCGATCGCCTTGACGCCTACGGTGAAAAAGGAAATATCTTCCCATAAAAAATAGACAGAAGCATTCTCAGAAACTTGTTGGTGATATGTGTCCTCAACTAACAGAGTTGAACTTTGCCATTGACAGAGAGCAGTTTTGAAACACTCTTTTTGTGGAATCTGCAAGTGGATATTTGGATAGCTTGGAGGATTTCGTTGGAAGCGGGAATTCAAATAAAAGGTAGACAGCAGCATTCTCAGAAATTTCTTTCTGATGTCTGCATTCAACTCATAGAGTTGAAGATTCCCTTTCATAGAGCACGTTTGAAACACTCTTTCTGGAGTATCTGGATGTGGACATTTGGAGCGCTTTGATGCCTACGGTGAAAAAGTAAATATCTTCCCATAAAAACGAGACAGAAGGATTCTGAGAAACAAGTTTGTGATGTGTGTACTCAGCTAACAGACTGGAACCTCTCTTTTGATGCAGCAGTTTGGAAACACTCTTTTTGTAGAAACTGTAAGTGGATATTTGGATAGCTCTAATGATTCCGTTGGAAACGGGAATATCATCATCTAAAATCTAGACAGAAGCCCTCTCAGAAACTACTTTGTGATATCTGCATTCAAGTCACAGAGTTGAACATTCGCTTTCTTAGAGCACGTTTGAAACACTCTTTTTGTAGTGTCTGGAAGTGGAGATTTGGAGCGCTTTGATGCCTTTGGTGAAAAAGGGAACGTCTTCCCATAAAAACTAGACAGAAGCATTCTCAGAAACTTGTTTGTGATGTGTGTACCCAGCCAAAGGAGTTGAACATTTCTATTGATAGAGCAGTTTTGAAACACTCTTGTTGTGGAAAATGCAAGTGGATATTTGGATAGCTTGGAGGATTTCGTTGGAAGCGGGAATTCAAATAAAAGGTAGACAGCAGCATTCTCAGAAATTTCTTTCTGATGTCTGCATTCAACTCATAGAGTTGAAGATTCCCTTTCATAGAGTAGGTTTGAAACACTCGTTCTGGAGTATCTGGATGTGGACATTTGGAGCGCTTTGATGCCTACGGTGGAAAAGTAAATATCTTCCCATAAAAACGAGACAGAAAGGATTCTGAGAAACAAGTTTGTGATGTGTGTACTCAGCTAACAGAAGTGGAACCTTTCTTTTTACAGAGCAGCTTTGAAACTCTATTTTTGTGGATTCTGCAAATTGATATTTAGATTGCTTTAACGATATCGTTGGAAAAGGGAATATCGTCATACAAAACCTAGACAGAAGCATTCTCACAAACTTCTTTGTGATGTGTGTCCTCAACTAACAGAGTTGAACCTTTCTTTTGATGCAGCAATTTGGAAACACCCTTTTGGTAGAAACTGTAACTGGATATTTGGATAGCTCTAACGATTTCGTTGGAAACGGGAATATCATCATCTAAAATGTAGGCAGAAGCACTATTAGAAACTACTTGGTGATATCTGCATTCAAGTCACAGAGTTGAACATTCCCTTACTTGGAGCACGTTTGAAACACTCTTTTGGAAGAATCTGGAAGTGGACATTTGGAGCGCTTTGATGCCTTTGGTGAAAAGGAAACGTCTTCCAATAAAAGCCAGACAGAAGCATTCTGAGAAACTTGTTCGTGATGTGTGTACTCAACTAAAAGAGTTGAACCTTTCTATTGATAGAGCAGTTTTGAAACACTCTTTTTGTGGATTCTGCAAGTGGATATTTGGATTGCTTTGAGGATTTCGTTGGAAGCGGGAATTCGTATAAACACTAGACAGCAGCATTCCCAGAAATTTCTTTCGGATATTTCCATTCAACTCATAGAGATGAACATGGCCTTTCATAGAGCAGGTTTGAAACACTCTTTTTGTAGTTTGTGGAAGTGGACATTTCGATCGCCTTGACGCCTACGGTGAAAAAGGAAATATCTTCCCATAAAAAATAGACAGAAGCATTCTCAGAAACTTGTTGGTGATATGTGTCCTCAACTAACAGAGTTGAACTTTGCCATTGATAGAGAGCAGTTTTGAAACACTCTTTTTGTGGAATCTGCAAGTGGATATTTGGATAGCTTGGAGGATTTCGTTGGAAGCGGGAATTCAAATAAAAGACAGCAGCATTCTCAGAAATTTCTTTCTGATGTCTGCATTCAACTCATAGAGTTGAACATTCCCTTTCATAGAGCAGGTTTGAAACACTCTTTCTGGAGTATCTGGATGTGGACATTTGGAGCGCTTTTATGCCTACGGTGAAAAAGTAAATATCTTCCCATAAAAACGAGACAGAAGGATTCTGAGAAACAAGTTTGTGATGTGTGTACTCAGCTAACAGAGTGGAACCTCTCTTTTGATGCAGCAGTTTGGAAACACTCTTTTTGTAGAAACTGTAAGTGGATATTTGGATAGCTCTAATGATTTCTTTGGAAACGGTAATATCATCATCTAAAATCTAGACAGAAGCCCTCTCAGAAACTACTTTGTGATATCTGCATTGAAGTCACAGAGTTGAACATTCGCTTTCTTAGAGCACGTTGGAAACACTCTTTTTGTAGTGTCTGGAAGTGGACATTTGGAGCGCTTTGATGCCTTTGGTGAAAAAGGGAATGTCTTCCCATAAAAACTAGACAGAAGCATTCTCAGAAACTTGTTTGTGATGTGTGTACCCAGCTAAAGGAGTTGAACATTTCTATTGATAGAGCAGTTTCGAAACACTCTTTTTGTGGAAAATGCAGGTGGATATTTGGATAGCTTGGAGGATTTCGTTGGAAGCGGGAATTCAAATAAAAGGTAGACAGCAGCATTCTCAGAAATTTCTTTCTGATGTCTGCATTCAACTCATAGAGTTGAACATTCCCTTTCATAGAGCAGGTTTGAAACACTCTTTCTGGAGTATCTGGATGTGGACATTTGGAGCGCTTTGATTCCTACGGTGAAAAAGTAAATATCTTCCCATAAAAACGAGACAGAAGGATTCTGAGAGACAAGTTTGTGATGTGTGTACTCAGCTAACAGAGTGGAACCTTTCTTTTTACAGAGCAGCTTTGAAACTCTATTTTTGTGGATTCTGCAAATGGATATTTAGATTGCTTTAATGATATCGTTGGAAAAGGGAATATCGTCATACAAAATCTGGACAGAAGCATTCTCACAAACTTCTTTGTGATGTGTGTCCTCAACTAACAGAGTTGAACCTTTCTTTTGATGCAGCAGTTTGGAAACACTCTTTTTGTAGAAACTGTAAGTGGATAATTGGATAGCTGTAACGATTTCGTTGGAAACGGGAATATCGTCATCTAAAATTTAGACAGAAGCACTATTAGAAACTACTTGGTGATATCTGCATTCAAGTCAAAGAGTTGAACATTCCCTTACTTTGAGCACGTTTGAAACACTCTTTTGGAAGAATCTGGAAGTGGACATTTGGAGCGCTTTGATGCCTTTGGTGAAAAGGAAACGTCTTCCAATAAAAGCCAGACAGAAGCATTCTCAGAAACTTGTTCTTGACGTGTGTACTCAACTAAAAGAGTTGAACCTTTCTATTGATAGAGCAGTTTTGAAACACTCTTTTTGTGGATTCTGCAAGTGGATATTTGGATTGCTTTGAGGATTTCGTTGGAAGCGGGAATTCGTATAACAACTAGACAGCAGCATTCCCAGAAATTTCTTTCGGATATTTCCATTCGACTCATAGAGATGAACATGGCCTTTCATAGAGCAGGTTTGAAACACTCTTTTTGTAGTTTGTGGAAGTGGACATTTCGATCGCCTTGACGCCTACGGCGAAAAAGGAAATATCTTCCCATAAAAAATAGACAGAAGAATTCTCAGAAACTTGTTTGTGATGTGAATCCTCAACTGACAGAGGTGAACCTTGCCATTGATAGAGCAGTTTAGAAACACTCTTTTTGTGGAATCTGCATGTGGATATTTGGATAGCCTGGAGGATTTCGTTGGAAGCGGGAATTCAAATGAAAGGTAGACAGCAGCATTCTCAGAAATTTCTTTGTGATGTTTGCATTCAACTCATAGAGTTGAACATTCCCTTTCATAGAGCAGGTTTGAAACACTCTTTCTGTACTATCTGGATGTGGACATTGGGAACGCTTTGATGCCTATGGTGAAAAAGAAAATATCTTCCCATAAAAGCTAGACAGAAGGATTCTCAGAAACATGTTTGTGATGTGTGTCCTCAGCTAACAGAGTGGAACCTCTCTTTTGATGCAGCACTTTGGAAACTCTCTTTTTGTAGAAACTGTAAGTGGATATTTGGATAGCTCTAATGATTTCATTGGAAACGGGAATATCATCATCTAAAATCTAGACAGAAGCCCTCTCAGAAACTACTTTGTGATATCTGCATTCAAGTCACAGAGTTGAACATTCGCTTTCTTAGAGCACGTTTGAAACACTCTTTTTGTAGTGTCTGAAAGTGGACCTTTGGAGCGCTCTGATGCCTTTGGTGAAAAAGGGAATGTCTTCCCATAAAAACTAGACAGAAGCATTCTCAGGAAACTTGTTTGTGATGTGTGTACCCAGCTAATGGAGTTGAACATTTCTATTGATAGAGCAGTTTTGAAACACTCTTTTTGTGGAAAATGCAAGTGGATATTTGGATAGCTTGGAGGATTTCGTTGGAAGCGGGAATTCAAATAAAAGGTAGACAGCAGCATTCTCAGAAATTTCTTTCTGATGTCTGCATTCAACTCATAGAGTTGAAGATTCCCTTTCATTGAGTAGGTTTGAAACACTCGTTCTGGAGTATATGGATGTGGACATTTGGAGCGCTTTGATGCCTACGGTGGAAAAGTAAATATCTTCCCATAAAAACGAGACAGAAGGTATTCTGAGCAAACAAGTTTGTGATGTGTGTACTCAGCTAACAGAGTGGAACCTTTCTTTTTACAGAGCAGCTTTGAAACTCTATTTTTGTGGATTCTGCAAATGGATATTTAGATTGCTTTAATGATATCGCTGGAAAAGGGAATATGGTCATACAAAATCTAGACAGAAGCATTCTCACAAACTTCTTTGTGATGTGTGTCCTCAACTAACAGAGTTGAACCTTTCTTTTGATGCAGCAATTTGGAAACACCCTTTTGGTAGAAACTGTAACTGGATATTTGGATAGCTCTAACGATTTCCTTGGAAACGGGAATATCATCATCTAAAATCTAGACAGAAGCACTATTAGAAACTACTTGGTGATATCTGCATTCAAGTCACAGAGTTGAACATTCCCTTACTTTGAGCACGTTTGAAACACTCTTTTGGAAGAATCTGGAAGTGGACATTTGGAGCGCTTTGATGCCTTTGGTGAAAAGGAAACGTCTTCCAATAAAAGCCAGACAGAAGCATTCTCAGAAACTTGTTGGTGATGTGTGTACTCAACTAAAAGAGTTGAACCTTTCTATTGATAGAGCAGTTTTGAAACACTCTTTTTGTGGATTCTGCAAGTGGATATTTGGATTGCTTTGAGGATTTCGTTGGAAGCGGGAATTCGTATAAACACTAGACAGCAGCATTCCCAGAAATTTCTTTCGGATATTTCCATTCAACTCATAGAGATGAACATGGCCTTTCATAGAGCAGGTTTGAAACACTCTTTTTGTAGTTTGTGGAAGTGGACATTTCGATCGCCTTGACGCCTACGGTGAAAAAGGAAATATCTTCCCATGAAAAATAGACAGAAGCATTCTCAGAAACTTGTTGGTGATATGTGTCCTCAACTAACAGAGTTGAACTTTGCCATTGATAGAGAGCAGTTTTGAAACACTCTTTTTGTGGAATCTGCAAGTGGATATTTGGATAGCTTGGAGGATTTCGTTGGAAGCGGGAATTCAAATAAAAGGTAGACAGCAGCATTCTCAGAAATTTCTTTCTGATGTCTGCATTCAACTCATAGAGTTGAAGATTCCCTTTCATAGAGCAGGTTTGAAACACTCTTTCTGGAGTATCTGGATGTGGACATTTGGAGCGCTTTGATGCCTACGGTGAAAAAGTATAATCTTCCCATAAAAACGAGACAGAAGGATTCTGAGAAAAAAGTTTGTGATGTGTGTACTCAGCTAACAGAGTGGAACCTCTCTTTTGATGCAGCAGTTTGGAAACACTCTTTTTGTAGAAACTGTAAGTGGATATTTGGATAGCTGTAATGATTTCGTTGGAAACGGGAATATCATCATCTAAAATCTAGACAGAAGCCCTCTCAGAAACTACTTTGTGATATCTGCATTCAAGTCACAGAGTTGAACATTCGGTTTCTTAGAGCACGTTTGAAACACTCTTTTTGTAGTGTCTGGAAGTGGACATTTGGAGCGCTTTGATGCCTTTGGTGAAAAAGGGAATGTCTTCCCATAAAAACTAGACAGAAGCATTCTCAGAAACTTGTTTGTGATGTGTGTACCCAGCTAATGGAGTTGAACATTTCTATTGATAGAGCAGTTTTGAAACACTCTTTTTGTGGAAAATGCAAGTGGATATTTGGATAGCTTGGAGGATTTCGTTGGAAGCGGGAATTCAAATAAAAGGTAGACAGCAGCATTCTCAGAAATTTCTTTCTGATGTCTGCATTCAACTCATAGAGTTGAAGATTCCCTTTCATAGAGCAGGTTTGAAACACTCTTTCTGGAGTATCTGGATGTGTACATTTGGAGCGCTTTGATGCCTACGGTGAAAAAGTAAATATCTTCCCAGAAAAACGAGACAGAAGGATTCTGAGAAACAAGTTTGTGATGTGTGTACTCAGCTAACAGAGTGGAACCTTTCTTTTTACAGAGCAGCTTTGAAACTCTATTTTTGTGGATTCTGCAAATTGATATTTAGATTGCTTTAACGATATCGTTGGAAAAGGGAATATTGTCATACAAAATCTGGACAGAAGCATTCTCACAAACTTCTTTGTGACGTGTGTCCTCAACTAACAGAGTTGAACCTTTCTTTTGATGCAGCAGTTTGGAAACACTCTTTTTGTAGAAACTGTAAGTGGATATTTGGATAGCTCTAACGATTTCGTTGGAAACGGGAATATCATCATCTAAAATGCTAGACAGAAGCACTATTAGAAACTACTTTGTGATATCTGCATTCAAGTCACAGAGTTGAAGATTCGCTTTCTTAGAGCACGTTGGAAACACTCTTTTTGTAGTGTCTGGAAGTGGACATTTGGAGCGCTTTGATGCCTTTGGTGAAAAAGGGAATGTCTTCCCATAAAAACTAGACAGAAAGCATTCTCAGCAAACTTGTTTGTGATGTGTGTACCCAGCCAAAGGAGTTGAACATTTCTATTGATAGAGCAGTTTTGAAACGCTCTTTTTGTGGAAAATGCAGGTGGATATTTGGATAGCTTGGAGGATTTCGTTGGAAGCGGGAATTCAAATAAAAGGTAGACAGCAGCATTCCCAGAAATTTCTTTCGGATATTTCCATTCAACTCATAGAGATGAACATGGCCTTTCATATTGAAACACTCTTTTTGTAGTTTGTGGAAGTGGACATTTCGATCGCCTTGACGCCTACGGTGAAAAAGGAAATATCTTCCCATGAAAAATAGACAGAAGCATTCTCAGAAACTTGTTGGTGATATGTGTCCTCAACTAACAGAGTTGAACTTTGCCATTGATAGAGAGCAGTTTTGAAACACTCTTTTTGTGGAATCTGCAAGTGGATATTTGGATAGCTTGGAGGATTTCGTTGGAAGCGGGAATTCAAATAAAAGGTAGACAGCAGCATTCTCAGAAATTTCTTTCTGATGTCTGCATTCAACTCATAGAGTTGAAGATTCCCTTTCATAGAGCAGGTTTGAAACACTCTTTCTGGAGTATCTGGATGTGGACATTTGGAGCGCTTTGATACCTATGGTGAAAAAGTAAATATCTTCCCATAAAAACGAGACAGAAGGATTCTGAGAAACTAGTTTGTGATGTGTGTACTCAGCTAACAGAGTGGAACCTCTGTTTTGATGCAGCAGTTTGGAAACACTCTTTTTGTAGAAACTGTAAGTGGATATTTGGATAGCTCTGATGATTTCGTTGGAAACGGGAATATCATCATCTAAAATCTAGACAGAAGCACTCTCAGAAACTACTTTTTGATATCTGCATTCAAGTCACAGAGTTGAACATTCGGTTTCTTAGAGCACTTTTGAAACACTCTTTTTGTAGTATCTGGAAGTGGACATTTGGAGCTCTTTGATGCCTTTGGTGAAAAAGGAAATGTCTTCCCATAAAAACTAGACAGAAGCATTCTCAGAAACTTGTTTGTGATGTGTGCACCCAGCTAAAGGAGTTGAACATTTATTGATAGAGCAGTTTTGAAGCACTCTTTTTGTGGAAAATGCAAGTGGATATTTGGATAGTTTGGAGGATTTCGTTGGAAGCGGGAGTTCAAATAAAAGGTAGACAGCAGCATTCTCAGAAATTTCTTTGTGATGTTTGCATTCAACTCATAGAGTTGAACATTCCCTTTCATAGAGCAGGCTTGAAACACTCTTTCTGCACTATCTGGATGTGGACATTTGGAACGCTTTGATGCCTACGGTGAAAAAGTAAATATCTTCCCATAAAAACGAGACAGAAGGATTCTGAGAAACAAGTTTGTGATGTGTGTACTCAGCTAACAGAGTGGAACCTCTCTTTTGATGCAGCAGTTTGGAAACACTCTTTTTGTAGAAACTGTAAGTGGATATTTGGATAGCTCTAATGATTTCGTTGGAAACGGGAATATCATCATCTAAAGTCTAGACAGAAGCCCTCTCAGAAACTACTTTGTGATATCTGCATTCAAGTCACAGAGTTGAACATTCGCTTTCTTAGAGCACGTTTGAAACACTCTTTTTGTAGTGTCTGGAAGTGGACATTTGGAGCGCTTTGATTCCTTTGGTGAAAAAGGGAATGTCTACCCATAAAAACTACACAGAAGCATTCTCAGAAACTTGTTTGTGATGTGTGTACCCAGCCAAAGGGAGTTGAACATTTCTATTGATAGAGCAGTTTTGAAACACTCTTGTTGTGGAAAATGCAAGTGGATATTTGGATAGCTTGGAGGATTTCGTTGGAAGCGGGAATTCAAATAAAAGGTAGACAGCAGCATTCTCAGAAATTTCTTTCTGATGTCTGCATTCAACTGATAGAGTTGAAGATTCCCTTTCATAGAGCAGGTTTGAAACACTCGTTCTGGAGTATCTGGATGTGGACATTTGGAGCGCTTTGATGCCTACGGTGGAAAAGTAAATATCTTCCCATAAAAACGAGACAGAAGGATTCTGAGAAACAAGTTTGTGATGTGTGTACTCAGCTAACAGAGTGGAACCTTTCTTTTCACAGAGCAGCTTTGAAACTCTATTTTTGTGGATTCTGCAAATTGATATTTAGATTGCTTTAACGATATCGTTGGAAAAGGGAATATCGTCATACAAAATCTAGACAGAAGCATTCTCACAAACTTCTTTGTGATGTGTGTCCTCAACTAACAGAGTTGAACCTTTCTTTTGATGCAGCAATTTGGAAACACCCTTTTGGTAGAAACTGTAACTGCATATTTGGATAGCTCTAATGATTTCGTTGGAAACGGGAATATCATCATCTAAAATCTAGACAGAAGCACTATTAGAAACTACTTGGTGATATCTGCATTCAAGTCACAGAGTTGAACATTCCCTTACTTCGAGCACGTTTGAAACACTCTTTTGGAAGAATCTGGAAGTGGACATTTGGAGCCTTTTGATGCCTTTGGTGAAAAGGAAACGTCTTCCAATAAAAGCCAGACAGAAGCATTCTCAGAAACTTGTTCGTGATGTGTGTACTCAACTAAAAGAGTTGAACCTTTCTATTGATAGAGCAGTTTTGAAACACTCTTTTTGTGGATTCTGCAAGTGGATATTTGGATTGCTTTGAGGATTTCGTTGGAAGCGGGAATTCGTATAAACACTAGACAGCAGCATTCCCAGAAATTTCTTTCGGATATTTCCATTCAACTCATAGAGATGAACATGGCCTTTAATAGAGCAGGTTTGAAACACTCTTTTTGTAGTTTGTGGAAGTGGACATTTCGATCGCCTTGACGCCTACGGTGAAAAAGGAAATATCTTCCCATAAAAAATAGACAGAAGCATTCTCAGAAACTTGTTGGTGATATGTGTCCTCAACTAACAGAGTTGAACTTTGCCATTGATAGAGAGCAGTTTTGAAACACTCTTTTTGTGGAAAATGCAAGTGGATATTTGGATAGCTTGGAGGATTTCGTTGGAAGTGAGAATTCAAATAAAAGGTAGACAGCAGCATTCTCAGAAATTTCTTTCTGATGTCTGCATTCAACTCATAGAGTTGAAGATTCCCTTTCATAGAGCAGGTTTGAAACACTCTTTCTGGGGTATCTGGATGTGGACATTTGGAGCGCTTTGATGCCTACGGTGAAAAAGTAAATATCTTCCCATAAAAACGAGACAGAAGGATTCTGAGAAACAAGTTTGTGATGTGTGTACTCAGCTAACAGAGTGGAACCTCTCTTTTGATGCAGCAGTTTGGAAACACTCTTTTTGTAGAAACTGTAAGTGGATATTTGGATAGCTCTAATGATTTCGTTGGAAACGGGAATATCATCATTTAAAGTCTAGACAGAAGCCCTCTCAGAAACTACTTTGTGATATCTGCATTCAAGTCACAGAGTTGAACATTCGCTTTCTTAGAGCACGTTTGAAACACTCTTTTTGTAGTGTCTGGAAGTGGACATTTGGAGCGCTTTGATTCCTTTTGTGAAAAAGGGAATGTCTACCCATAAAAACTAGACAGAAGCATTCTCAGAAACTTGTTTGTGATGTGTGTACCCAGCTAAAGGATTTGAACATTTCTATTGATAGAGCAGTTTTGAAACACTCTTTTGGTGGAAAATGCAAGTGGATATTTGGATAGCTTGGAGGATTTCGTTGGAAGCGGGAATTCAAATAAAAGGTAGACAGCAGCATTCTCAGAAATTTCTTTCTGATGTCTGCATTCAACTCATAGAGTTGAAGATTCCCTTTCATAGAGCAGGTTTGAAACAGTCTTTCTGGAGTATCTGGATGTGGACATTTGGAGCGATGCCTACGGTGAAAAAGTAAATATCTTCCCATAAAAACGAGACAGAAGGATTCTGAGAAACAAGTTTGTGATGTGTGTACTCAGCTAACAGAGTGGAACCTTTCTTTTTACAGAGCAGCTTTGAAACTCTATTTTTGTGGATTCTGCAAATTGATATTTAGATTGCTTTAACGATATCGTTGGAAATGGGAATATCGTCATACAAAATCTGGACAGAAGCATTCTCACAAACTTCTTTGTGACGTGTGTCCTCAACTAACAGAGTTGAACCTTTCTTTTGATGCAGCAGTTTGGAAACACTCTTTTTGTAGCAACTGTAAGTGGATATTTGGATAGCTCTAACGATTTCGTTGGAAACGGGAATATCATCATCTAAAATCTAGACAGAAGCACTATTAGAAACTACTTGGTGATATCTGCATTCAAGTCACAGAGTTGAACATTCCCTTACTTTGAGCACGTTTCAAACACTCTTTTGGAAGAATCTGGAAGTGGACATTTGGAGTGCTTTGATGCCTTTGGTGAAAAGGAAACGTCTTCCAATAAAAGCCAGACAGAAGCATTCTCAGAAACTTGTTTGTGATGTGTGTACTCAACTAAAAGAGTTGAACCTTTCTATTGATAGAGCAGTTTTGAAACACTCTTTTTGTGGATTCTGCAAGTGGATATTTGGATTGCTTTGAGGATTTCGTTGGAAGCGGGAATTCGTATAAAAACTAGACAGCAGCATTCCCAGAAATTTCTTTCCGATATATCCATTCAACTCATAGAGATGAACATGGCCTTTCATAGAGCAGGTTTGAAACACTCTTTTTGTAGTTTGTGGAAGTGGACATTTCGATCGCCTTGACGCCTACGGTGAAAAAGGAAATATCTTCCCATAAAAAATAGACAGAAGCATTCTCAGAAACTTGTTGGTGATATGTGTCCTCAACTAACAGAGTTGAACTTTGCCATTGATAGAGAGCAGTTTTGAAACACTCCTTCTGTGGAATCTGCAAGTGGATATTTGGATAGCTTGGAGGATTTCGTTGGAAGCGGGAATTCAAATAAAAGGTAGACAGCAGCATTCTCAGAAATTTCTTTCTGATGTCTGCATTCAACTCATAGAGTTGAAGATTCCCTTTCATAGAGCAGGTTTGAAACACTCTTTCTCGAGTATCTGGATGTGGACATTTGGAGCGCTTTGATGCCTACGGTGAGAAAGTAAATATCTTCCCATAAAAACGAGACAGAAGGATTCTGAGAAACAAGTTTGTGATGTGTGTACTCAGCTAACAGAGTGGAACCTCTCTTTTGATGCAGCAGTTTGGAAACACTCTTTTTGTAGAAACTGTAAGTGGATATTTGGATAGCTCTAATGATTTCGTTGGAAACGGGAATATCATCATATAAAATCTAGACAGAAGCCCTCTCAGAAACTACTTTGTGATATCTGCATTCAAGTCACAGAGTTGAACATTCGCTTTCTTAGAGCACGTTTGAAACACTCTTTTTGTGGTGTCTGGAAGTGGACATTTGGAGCGCTTTGATGTCTTTGGTGAAAAAGGGAATGTCTTCCCATAAAAACTAGACAGAAGCATTCTCAGAAAGTTGTTTGTGATGTGTGTACCCAGCCAAAGGAGTTGAACATTTCTATTGATAGAGCAGTTTTGAAACACTCTTGTTGTGGAAAATGCAGGTGGATATTTGGATAGCTTGGAGGATTTCGTTGGAAGCGGGAATTCAAATAAAAGGTAGACAGCAGGATTCTCAGAAACAAGTTTGTGATGTGTGTACTCAGCTAACAGAGTGGATCCTTTCTTTTTACAGAGCAGCTTTGAAACTCTATATCTGTGGATTCTGCAAATTGATATTTGGGTTGATTTAACGATATCGTTGGAAAAGGGAATATCTTCATACAAAATCTAGAGAGAAGCATTCTCACAAACTTCTTTGTGATGTGTGTCCTCAACTAACAGAGTTGAACCTTTCTTTTGATGCAGCAATTTGGAAACACCCTTTTGGTAGAAACTGTAACTGGATATTTGGATAGCTCTAACGATTTCGTTGGAAACGGGAATATCATCATCTAAAATCTAGACAGAAGCACTATTAGAAACTACTTGGTGATATCTGCATTCAAGTCACAGAGTAGAACATTCCCTTACTTCGAGCACGTTTGAAACACTCTTTTGGAAGAATCTGGAAGTGGACATTTGGAGCGCTTTGATGCCTTTGGTGAAAAGGAAACGTCTTCCAATAAAAGCCAGACAGAAGCATTCTCAGAAACTTATTCGTGATGTGTGTACTCAACTAAAAGAGTTGAACCTTTCTATTGATAGAGCAGTTTAGAAACACTCTTTTTGTGGATTCTGCAAGTGGATATTTGGATTGCTTTGAGGATTTCGTTGGAAGCGGGAATTCGTATAAACACTAGACAGCAGCATTCCCAGAAATTTCTTTTGGATATTTCCATTCAACTCATAGAGATGAACATGGCCTTTCATATTGAAACACTCTTTTTGTAGTTTGTGGAAGTGGACATTTCGATCGCTTTGACGCCTACGGTGAAAAAGGAAATATCTTCCCATAAAAAATAGACAGAAGCATTCTCAGAAACTTGTTGGTGATATGTGTCCTCAACTAACAGAGTTGAACTTTGCCATTGATAGAGAGCAGTTTTGAAACACTCTTTTTGTGGAATCTGCAAGTGGATATTTGGATAGCTTGGAGGATTTCGTTGGAAGCGGGAATTCAAATAAAAGGTAGACAGCAGCATTCTCAGAAATTTCTTTCTGATGTCTGCATTCAACTCATAGAGTTGAAGATTCCCTTTCATAGAGCAGGTTTGAAACACTCTTTCTGGAGTATCTGGATGTGGACATTTGGAGCGCTTTGATGCCTACGGTGAAAAAGTAAATATCTTCCCAGAAAAACGAGACAGAGGATTCTGAGAAACAAGTTTGTGATGTGTGTACTCAGCTAACAGAGTGGAACCTCTCTTTTGATGCAGCAGTTTGGAAATACTCTTTTTGTAGAAACTGTAAGTGGATATTTGGATAGCTCTAATGATTTCGTTGGAAACGGGAATATCATCATCTAAAATCTAGACAGAAGCCCTCTCAGAAACTACTTTGTGATATCTGCATTCAAGTCACAGAGTTGAACATTCGCTTTCTTAGAGCACGTTTGAAACACTCTTTTTGTAGTGTCTGGAAGTGGACATTTGGAGCGCTTTGATGGCTTTGGTGAAAAAGGGAATGTCTTCCCATAAAAACTAGACAGAAGCATTCTCAGAAACTTGTTTGTGATGTGTGTACCCAGCTAAAGGAGTTGAACATTTCTATTGATAGAGCAGTTTTTAAACACTCTTTTTGTGGAAAATGCAAGTGGATATTTGGATAGCTTGGAGGATTTCGTTGGAAGCGGGAATTCAAATAAAAGGTAGACAGCAGCATTCTCAGAAATTTCCTTCTGATGTCTGCATTCAACTCATAGAGTTGAAGACTCCCTTTCATAAAGCAGGTTTGAAACACTCTTTCTGGAGTATCTGGATGTGGACATTTGGAGCGCTTGGATGCCTACGGTGAAAAAGTAAATATCTTCCCATAAAAACGAGACAGAAGGATTCTGAGAAACAAGTTTGTGATGGGCGTACTCAGCTAACAGAGTGGAACCTCTCTTTTGATGCAGCAGTTTGGAAAAACTCTTTTTGTAGAAACTGTAAGTGGATATTTGGATAGCTCTAATGATTTCGTTGGAAACGGGAATATCATCATCTAAAATCTAGACAGAAGCCCTCTCAGAAACTACTTTGTGATATCTGCATTCAAGTCACAGAGTTGAACATTCGCTTTCTTAGAGCACGTTGGAAACACTCTTTTTGTAGTGTCTGGAAGTGGACATTTGGAGCGCTTTGATTCCTTTGGTGAAAAAGGGAATGTCTACCCATAAAAACTAGACAGAAGCATTCTCAGAAACTTGTTTGTGATGTGTGTACCCACCCAAAGGAGTTGAACATTTCTATTGATAGAGCAGTTTTGAAACACTCTTTTTGTGGAAAATGCAGGTGGATATTTGGATAGCTTGGAGGATTTCGTTGGAAGCGGGAATTCAAATAAAAGTTAGACAGCAGCATTCTCAGAAATTTCTTTCTGATGTCTGCATTCAACTCATATAGTTGAAGATTCCCTTTCATAGAGCAGGTTTGAAACACTCGTTCTGGAGTATCCGGATGTGGACATTTGGAGCGCTTTGATGCCTACGGTGGAAAAGTAAATATCTTCCCATAAAAACGAGACAGAAGGATTCTCAGAAACAAGTTTGTGATGTGTGTACTCAGCTAACAGAGTGGAACCTTTCTTTTTACAGAGCAGCTTTGAAACTCTATTGTTGTGGATTCTGCAAATTGATATTTAGATTGCTTTAACGATATCGTTGGAAAAGGGAATACCGTCATACAAAATCTAGACAGAAGCATTCTCACAAACTTCTTTGTGATGTGTGTCCTCAACTAACAGAGTTGAACCTTTCTTTTGATGCAGCAATTTGGAAACACCCTTTTGGTAGAAACTGTAACTGGATATTTGGATAGCTCTAACGATTTCGTTGGAAACGGGAATATCATCATCTAAAATGTAGACAGAAGCACTATTAGAAACTACTTGGTGATATCTGCATTCAAGTCACAGAGTTGAACATTCCCTTACTTCGAGCACGTTTGAAACACTCTTTTGGAAGAATCTGGAAGTGGACATTTGGAGCGCTTTGATGCCTTTGGTGAAAAGGAAACGTCTTCCAATAAAAGCCAGACAGAAGCATTCTCAGAAACTTGTTCGTGATGTGTGTACTCAACTAAAAGAGTTGAACCTTTCTATTGATAGAGCAGTTTTGAAACACTCTTTTTGTGGATTCTGCAAGTGGATATTTGGATTGCTTTGAGGATTTCGTTGGAAGCGGGAATTCGTATAAACACTAGACAGCAGCATTCCCAGAAATTTCTTTCGGATATTTCCATTCAACTCATAGAGATGAACATGGCCTTTCATAGAGCAGGTTTGAAACACTCTTTTTATAGTTTGTGGAAGTGGACATTTCGATCGCCTTGACGCCTACGGTGAAAAAGGAAATATCTTCCCATAAAAAATAGACAGAAGCATTCTCAGAAACTTGTTGGTGATATGTGTCCTCAACTAACAGAGTTGAACTTTGCCATTGATAGAGAGCAGTTTTGAAACACTCTTTTTGTGGAATCTGCAAGTGGATATTTGGATAGCTTGGAGGATTTCGTTGGAAGCGGGAATTCAAATAAAAGGTAGACAGCAGCATTCTCAGAAATTTCTTTCTGATGTCTGCATTCAACTCATAGAGTTGAAGATTCCCTTTCATAGAGCAGGTTTGAAACACTCTTTCTGGAGTATCTGGATGAGGACATTTGGAGCGCTTTGATGCCTACGGTGAAAAAGTAAATATCTTCCCATAAAAACGAGACAGAAGGATTCTCAGAAACAAGTTTGTGATGTGTGTACTCAGCTAACAGAGTGGAACCTCTCTTTTGATGCAGCAGTTTGGAAACACTCTTTTTGTAGAAACTGTAAGTGGATATTTGGATAGCTCTAATGATTTCGTTGGAAACGGGAATATCATCATCTAAAATCTAGACAGAAGCACTCTCAGAAACTACTTTGTGATATCTGCATTCAAGTCACAGAGTTGAACATTCGCTTTCTTAGAGCACGTTTGAAACACTCTTTTTGTAGTGTCTGGAAGTGGACATTTGGAGCGCTTTGATTGCCTTTGGTGAAAAAGGGAATGTCTACCCATAAAAACTAGACAGAAGCTTTCTCAGAAACTTGTTTGTGATGTGTGTACCCAGCGAAAGGAGTTGAACATTTCTATTGATAGAGCAGTTTTGAAACACTCTTTTTGTGGAATCTGCAAGTGGATATTTGGATAGCTTGGAGGTTTTCGTTGGAAGCGGGAATTCAAATAAAAGGTAGACAGCAGCATTCTCAGAAATTTCTTTCTGATGTCTGCATTCAACTCATAGAGTTGAAGATTCCCTTTCATAGAGCAGGTTTGAAACACTCGTTCTGGAGTATCTAGATGTGGACATTTGGAGCGCTTTGATGCCTACGGTGGAAAAGTATATATCTTCCCATAAAAACGAGACAGAAGGATTCTCAGAAACAAGTTTGTGATGTGTGTACTCAGCTAACAGAGCGGAACCTTTCTTTTTACAGAGCAGCTTTGAAACTCTATTTTTGTGGATTCTGCAAATTGATATTTAGATTTCTTTAACGATATCGTTGGAAAAGGGAATATGGTCATACAAAATCTAGACAGAAGCATTCTCACAAACATCTTTGTGATGTGTGTCCTCAACTAACAGAGTTGAACCTTCCTTTTGATGCAGCAGTTTGGAAACACTCTTTTTGTAGAAACTGTAAGTGGATATTTGGATAGATTTAACGATTTCATTGGAAACGGGAATATCATCATCTAAAATCTAGACAGAAGCACTATTAGAAACTACTTGGTGATATCTGCATTCAAGTCACAGAGTTGAACATTCCCTTACTTTGAGCACGTTTGAAACACTCTTTTGGAAGAATCTGGAAGTGGACATTTGGAGCGCTTTGATGCCTTTGGTGAAAAGGAAACGTCTTCCAATAAAAGCCAGACAGAAGCATTCTCAGAAACTTGTTCGTGATGTGTGTACTCAACTAAAAGAGTTGAACCTTTCTATTGATAGAGCAGTTTTGAAACACTCTTTTTGTGGATTCTGCAAGTGGATATTTGGATTGCTTTGAGGATTTCGTTGGAAGCGGGAATTCGTATAAACACTAGACAGCAGCATTCCCAGAAATTTCTTTCGGATATTTCCATTCAAATCATAGAGATGAACATGGCCTTTCATAGAGCAGGTTTGAAACACTCTTTTTGTAGTTTGTGGAAGTGGACATTTCGATCGCCTTGACGCCTACGGTGAAAAAGGAAATATCTTCCCATAAAAAATAGACAGAAGCATTCTCAGAAACTTCTTGGTGATATGTGTCCTCAACTAACAGAGTTGAACTTTGCCATTGATAGAGAGCAGTTTTGAAACACTCTTTTTGTGGAATCTGCAAGTGGATATTTGGATAGCTTGGAGGATTTCGTTGGAAGCGGGAATTCAAATAAAAGGTAGACAGCAGCATTCTCAGAAATTTCTTTCTGATGTCTGCATTCAACTCATAGAGTTGAACATTCCCTTTCATAGAGCAGGTTTGAAACACTCTTTCTGGAGTATCTGGATGTGGACATTTGGAGCGCTTTGATGCCTACGGTGAAAAAGTAAATATCTTCCCATAAAAACGAGACAGAAGGATTCTGAGAAACAAGTTTGTGATGTGTGTACTCAGCTAACAGAGTGGAACCTCTCTTTTGATGCAGCAGTTTGGAAACACTCTTTTTGTAGAAACTGTAAGTGGATATTTGGATAGCTCTAATGATTCCGTTGGAAACGGGAATATCATCATCTAAAATCTAGACAGAAGCCCTCTCAGAAACTACTTTGTGATATCTGCATTCAAGTCACAGAGTTGAACATTCGCTTTCTTAGAGCACGTTGGAAACACTCTTTTTGTAGTGTCTGGAAGTGGACATTTGGAGCGCTTTGATGCCTTTGGTGAAAAAGGGAACGTCTTCCCATAAAAACTAGACAGAAGCATTCTCAGAAACTTGTTTGTGATGTGTGTACCCAGCCAAAGGAGTTGAACATTTCTATTGATAGAGCAGTTTTGAAACACTCTTTTTGTGGAAAATGCAAGTGGATATTTGGATAGCTTGGAGGATTTCGTTGGACGCGGGAATTCAAATAAAAGGTAGACAGCAGCATTCTCAGAAATTTCTTTCTGATGTCTGCATTCAACTCATAGAGGTTGAAGATTCCCTTTCATAGAGCAGGTTTGAAACACTCGTTCTGGAGTATCTGGATGTGGACATTTGGAGCGCTTTGATGCCTACGGTGGAAAAGTAAATATCTTCCCATAAAAACGAGACAGAAGGATTCTGAGAAACAAGTTTGTGATGTGTGTACTCAGCTAACAGAGTGGAACCTTTCTTTTTACAGAGCAGCTTTGAAACTCTATTTTTGTGGATTCTGCAAATGGATATTTAGATTGCTTTAACGATATCGTTGGAAAAGGGAATATCGTCATACAAAATGCTAGACAGAAGCATTCTCACAAACTTCTTTGTGATGTGTGTCCTCAACTAACAGAGTTGAACCTTTCTTTTGATGCAGCAATTTGGAAACACCCTTTTGGTAGAAACTGTAACTGGATATTTGGATAGCTCTAACGATTTTGTTGGAAACGGGAATATCATCATCTAAAATCTAGACAGAAGCACTATTAGAAACTACTTGGTGATATCTGCATTCAAGTCACAGAGTAGAACATTCCCTTACTTCGAGCACGTTTGAAACACTCTTTTGGAAGAATCTGGAAGTGGACATTTGGAGCGCTTTGATGCCTTTGGTGAAAAGGAAACGTCTTCCAATAAAAGCCAGACAGAAGCATTCTCAGAAACTTGTTGGTGATGTGTGTACTCAACTAAAAGAGTTGAACCTTTCTATTGATAGAGCAGTTTTGAAACACTCTTTTTGTGGATTCTGCAAGTGGATATTTGGATTGCTTTGAGGATTTCGTTGGAAGCGGGAATTCATATAAAAACTAGACAGCAGCATTTCCAGAAATTTCTTTCGGATATTTCCATTCAACTCATAGAGATGAACATGGCCTTTCATAGAGCAGGTTTGAAACACTCTTTTTGTAGTTTGTGGAAGTGGACATTTCGATCGCCCTGATGCCTATGGTGAAAAAGGAAATATCTTCTCATAAAAAATAGACAGAAGCATTCTCAGAAACTTGTTGGTGATATGTGTCCTCAACTAACAGAGTTGATCTTTGCCATTGATAGAGAGCAGTTTTGAAACACTCTTTTTGTGGAATCTGCAAGTGGATATTTGGATAGCTTGGAGGATTTCGTTGGAAGCGGGAATTCAAATAAAAGGTAGACAGCAGCATTCTCAGAAATTTCTTTCTGATGTCTGCATTCAACTCATAGAGTTGAAGATTCCCTTTCTTAGAGCAGGTTTGAAACACTCTTTCTGGAGTATCTGGATGTGGACATTTGGAGCGCTTGGATGCCTACGGTGAAAAAGTAAATATCTTCCCATAAAAACGAGACAGAAGGATTCTGAGAAACAAGTTTGTGATGTGTGTACTCAGCTAACAGAGTGGAACCTCTCTTTTGATGCAGCAGTTTGGAAACACTCTTTTTGTAGAAACTGTAAGTGGATATTTGGATAGCTCTAATGATTTCGTTGGAAACGGGAATATCATCATCTAATATCTAGACAGAAGCCCTCTCAGAAACTACTTTGTGATATCTGCATTCAACTCACAGAGTTGAACATTCGGTTTCTTAGAGCACGTTTGAAACACTCTTTTTGTAGTGTCTGGAAGTGGACATTTGGAGCGCTTTGATGCCTTTGGTGAAAAAGGGAACGTCTTCCCATAAAAACTAGACAGAAGCTTTCTCAGAAACTTGTTTTTGATGTGTGTACCCAGCGAAAGGAGTTGAACATTTCTATTGATAGAGCAGTTTTGAAACACTCTTTTTGTGGAATCTGCAAGTGGATATTTGGATAGCTTGGAGGTTTTCGTTGGAAGCGGGAATTCAAATAAAAGGTAGACAGCAGCATTCTCAGAAATTTCTTTCTGATGTCTGCATTCAACTCATAGAGTTGAAGATTCCCTTTCATAGAGCAGGTTTGAAACACTCTTTCTGGAGTATCTGGATGTGGACATTTGCAGCGCTTTGATGCCTACGGTGAAAAAGTAAATATCTTCCCATAAAAACGAGACAGAAGGATTCTGAGAAACAAGTCTGTGATGTGTGTACTCAGCTAACAGAGTGGAACCTTTCTTTTTACAGAGCAGCTTTGAAACTCTATTTTTGTGGATTCTGCAAATTGATATTTAGATTGCTTTAACGATATCGTTGGAAAAGGGAATATCGTCATACAAAATCTAGACAGAAGCATTCTCACAAACTTCTTTGTGATGTGTGTCCTCAACTAACAGAGTTGAACCTTTCTTTTGATGCAGCAATTTGGAAACACCCTTTTGGTAGAAACTGTAAGTGGATATTTGGATAGCTCTAACGATTTCATTGGAAACGGGAATATCATCATCTAAAATCTAGACAGAAGCACTATTAGAAACTACTTGGTGATATCTGCATTCAAGTCACAGAGTTGAACATTCCCTTACTTCGACCACGTTTGAAACACTCTTTTGGAAGAATCTGGAAGTGGACATTTGGAGCGCTTTGATGCCTTTGGTGAAAAGGAAACGTCTTCCAATAAATGCCAGACAGAAGCATTCTCAGAAACTTGTTCGTGATGTGTGTACTCAACTAAAAGAGTTGAACCTTTCTATTGATAGAGCAGTTTTGAAACACTCTTTTTGTGGATTCTGCAAGTGGATATTTGGATTGCTTTGAGGATTTCGTTGGAAGCGGGAATTCGTATAAACACTAGACAGCAGCATTCCCAGAAATTTCTTTCGGATATTTCCATTCAACTCATAGAGATGAACATGGCCTTTCATATTGAAACACTCTTTTTGTAGTTTGTGGAAGTGGACATTTCGATCGCCTTGACGCCTACGGTGAAAAAGGAAATATCTTCCCATAAAAAATAGACAGAAGCATTCTCAGAAACTTGTTGGTGATATGTGTCCTCAACTAACAGAGTTGAACTTTGCCATTGATAGAGAGCAGTTTTGAAACACTCTTTTTGTGGAATCTGCAAGTGGATATTTGGATAGCTTGGAGGATTTCGTTGGAAGCGGGAATTCAAATAAAAGGTAGACAGCAGGATTCTCAGAAACAAGTTTGTGATGTGTGTACTCAGCTAGCAGAGTGGAACCTTTCTTTTTACAGAGCAGCTTTGAAACTCTATTTTTGTGGATTCTGCAAATTGATATTTAGATTGCTTTAACGATATCGTTGGAAAAGGGAATATCATCATACAAAATCTAGACAGAAGCTTTCTCAGAAACTTCTTTGTGATGTGTGTCCTCAACTAACAGAGTTGAAACTTTCTGTTGATGCAGCAGTTTGGAAACACTCTTTTTGTAGAAACTGTAAGTGGATATTTGGGTAGGTCTAACGATATCGTTGGAAACGGGAATATCTTCATCTAACGTATACACAGAAGCACTATTAGAAACTACTTGGTGATATCTGCATTCAAGTCACAGAGTAGAACATTCCCTTACTTCGAGCACGTTTGAAACACTCTTTTGGAAGAATCTGGAAGTGGACATTTGGAGCGCTTTGATGCCTTTGGTGAAAAGGAAACGTCTTCCAATAAAAGACAGACAGAAGCATTCTCAGAAACTTGTTTGTGATGTGTGTACTCAACTAAAAGAGTTGAACCTTTCTATTGATAGAGCAGTTTTGAAACACTCTTTTTGTGGATTCTGCAAGTGGATATTTGGATTGCTTTGAGGATTTCGTTGGAAGCGGGAATTCATATAAAAACTAGACAGCAGCATTCCCAGAAATTTCTTTCGGATATTTCCATTCGACTCATAGAGATGAACATGGCCTTTCATAGAGCAGGTTTGAAACACTCTTTTTGTAGTTTGTGGAAGTGGACATTTCGATCGCCTTGACGCCTACGGTGAAAAAGGAAATATCTTCCCATAAAAAATAGACAGAAGCATTCTCAGAAACTTGTTTGTGATGTGTGTACCCAGCCAAAGGAGTTGAACATTTCTATTGATAGAGCAGTTTTGAAACACTCTTTTTGTGGAAAATGCAGGTGGATATTTGGATAGCTTGGAGGATTTCGTTGGAAGCGGGAATTCATATAAAAACTAGACAGCAGCATTCCCAGAAATTTCTTTCTGATGTCTGCATTCAACTCATAGAGTTGAAGATTCCCTTTCATAGAGCAGGTTTGAAACACTCGTTCTGGAGTATCTGGATGTGGACATTTGGAGCGCTTTGATGCCTACGGTGGAAAAGTAAATATCTTCCCATAAAAACGAGACAGAAGGATTCTCAGAAACATGTTTGTGATGTGTGTACTCAGCTAACAGAGTGGATCCTTTCTTTTTACAGAGCAGCTTTGAAACTCTATTTCTGTGGATTCTGCAAATTGATATTTGGGTTGATTTAACGATATCTTTGGAAAAGGGAATATCTTCATACAAAATCTAGAGAGAAGCATTCTCACAAACTTCTTTGTGATGTGTGTCCTCAACTAACAGAGTTGAACCTTTCTTTTGATGCATCAGTTTGGAAACACTCTTTTTGTAGAAACTGTAAGTGGATATTTGGATAGCTCTAACGATTTCGTTGGAAACGGGAATATCATCATCTAAAATCTAGACAGAAGCACTATTAGAAACTACTTGGTGATATCTGCATTCAAGTCACAGAGTTGAACATTCCCTTACTTTGAGCACGTTTCAAACACTCTTTTGGAAGAATCTGGAAGTGGACATTTGGAGCGCTTTGATGCCTTTGGTGAAAAGGAAACGTCTTCCAATAAAAGCCAGACAGAAGCATTCTCAGAAACTTGTTTGTGATGTGTGTACTCAACTAAAAGAGTTGAACCTTTCTATTGATAGAGCAGTTTTGAAACACTCTTTTTGTGGATTCTGCAAGTGGATATTTGGATTGCTTTGAGGATTTCGTTGGAAGCGGGAATTCGTATAAAAACTAGACAGCCAGCATTCCCAGAAATTTCTTTCGGATATTTCCATTCAACTCATAGAGATGAACATGGCCTTTCATAGAGCAGGTTTGAAACACTCTTTTTGTAGTTTGTGGAAGTGGACATTTCGATCGCCTTGACGCCTACGGTGAAAAAGGAAATATCTTCCCATAAACAATAGACAGAGCATTCTCAGAAACTTGTTGGTGATATGTGTCCTCAACTAACAGAGTTGAACTTTGCCATTGATAGAGAGCAGTTTTGAAACACTCTTTTTGTGGAATCTGCAAGTGGATATTTGGATAGCTTGGAGGATTTCGTTGGAAGCGGGAATTCAAATAAAAGGTAGACAGCAGCATTCTCAGAAATTTCTTTCTGATGTCTGCATTCAACTCATAGAGTTGAAGATTCCCTTTCATAGAGCAGGTTTGAAACACTCTTTCTGGAGTATCTGGATGTGGACATTTGGAGCGCTTTGATGCCTACGGTGAAAAAGTAAATATCTTCCCAGAAAAACGAGACAGAAGGATTCTGAGAAACAAGTTTGTGATGTGTGTACTCAGCTAACAGAGTGGAACCTCTCTTTTGATCCAGCAGTTTGGAAACACTCTTTTTGTAGAAACTGTAAGTGGATATTTGGATAGCTCTAATGATTTCGTTGGAAACGGGAATATCATCATCTAAAATCTAGACAGAAGCCCTCTCAGAAACTACTTTGTGATATCTGCATTCAAGTCACAGAGTTGAACATTCGCTTTCGTAGAGCACGTTGGAAACACTCTTTTTGTAGTGTCTGGAAGTGGACATTTGGAGCGCTTTGATGCCTTTGGTGAAAAAGGGAATGTCTTCCCATAAAAACTAGACAGAAGCATTCTCAGAAACTTGTTTGTGATCTGTGTACCCAGCGAAAGGAGTTGAACATTTCTATTGATAGAGCAGTTTTGAAACACTCTTTTTGTGGAATCTGCAAGTGGATATTTGGATAGCTTGGAGTTTTTCGTTGGAAGCGGGAATTCAAATAAAAGCTAGACAGCAGCATTCTGAGAAATTTCTTTCTGATGTCTGCATTCAACTCATAGAGTTGAAGATTCCCTTTCATAGAGCAGGTTTGAAACACTCTTTCTGGAGTATCTGGATGTGGACATTTGGAGCGCTTTGATGCCTACGGTGAAAAAGTAAATATCTTCCCATAAAAACGAGACAGAAGGATTCTCAGAAACAAGTTTGTGATGTGTGTACTCAGCTAACAGAGTGGAACCTCTCTTTTGATGCAGCAGTTTGGAAACACTCTTTTTGTGGAAACTGTAAGTGGATATTTGGATAGCTCTAATGATTTCGTTGGAAACGGGAATATCATCATCTAAAACCTAGACAGAAGCCCTCTCAGAAACTACTTTGTGATATCTGCATTCAAGTAACAGAGTTGAACATTCGGTTTCCTAGAGCACGTTTGAAACACTCTTTTCGTAGTGTCAGGAAGTGGACATTTGGAGCGCTTTGATGCCTTTGGTGAAAAAGGGAATGTCTTCCCATAAAAACTAGACAGAAGCATTCTCAGAAACTTGTTTGTGATGTGTGTACCCAGCAAAAGGAGTTGAACATTTCTATTGATAGAGCAGTTTTGAAACACTCTTGTTGTGGAAAATGCAGGTGGATATTTGGATAGCTTGGAGGATTTCGTTGGAAGCGGGAATTCAAATAAAAGGTAGACAGCAGCATTCTCAGAAATTTCTTTCTGATGTCTGCATTCAACTCATAGAGTTGAAGATTCCCTTTCATAGAGCAGGTTTGAAACACTCGTTCTGGAGTATCTGGATGTGGACATTTGGAGCGCTTTGATGCCTACGGTGGAAAAGTAAATATCTTCCCATAAAAACGAAACAGAAGGATTCTCAGAAACAAGTTTGTGATGTGTGTACTCAGCTAACAGAGTGGAACCTTTCTTTTTACAGAGCAGCTTTGAAACTCTGTTTTTGTGGATTCTGCAAATTGATATTTAGATTGCTTTAACGATATCGTTGGAAAAGGGAATATCGTCATACAAAATCTAGACAGAAGCATTCTCACAAACTTCTTTGTGATGTGTGTCCTCAACTAACAGAGTTGAACCTTTCTTTTGATGCAGCAGTTTGGAAACACTGTTTTTGTAGCAACTGTAAGTGGATATTTGGATAGCTCTAACGATTTCGTTGGAAACGGGAATATCATCATCTAAAATCTAGACAGAAGCACTATTAGAAACTACTTGGTGATATCTGCATTCAAGTCACAGAGTTGAACATTCCCTTACTTTGAGCACGTTTCAAACACTCTTTTGGAAGAATCTGGAAGTGGACATTTGGAGCGCTTTGATGCCTTTGGTGAAAAGGGAAACGTCTTCCAAAAAAAGCCAGACAGAAGCATTCTCAGAAACTTGTTTGTGATGTGTGTACTCAACTAAAAGAGTTGAACCTTTCTATTGATAGAGCAGTTTTGAAACACTCTTTTTGTGGATTCTGCAAGTGGATATTTGGATTGCTTTGAGGATTTCGTTGGAAGCGGGAATTCGTATAAAAACTAGACAGCAGCATTCCCAGAAATTTCTTTCGGATATTTCCATTCGACTCATAGAGATGAACATGGCCTTTCATAGAGCAGGTTTGAAACACTCTTTTTGTAGTTTGTGGAAGTGGACATTTCGATCGCCTTGACGCCTACGGTGAAAAAGGAAATATCTTCCCATAAAAAATAGACAGAAGAATTCTCAGAAACTTGTTTGTGATGTGTATCCTCAACTGACAGAGTTGAACCTTGCCATTGATAGAGCAGTTTAGAAACACTGTTTTTGTGGAATCTGCAAGTGGATATTTGGATAGCCTGGAGGATTTCGTTGGAAGCGGGAATTCAAATAAAAGGTAGACAGCAGCATTCTCAGAAATTTCTTTGTGATGTTTGCATTCAACTCATAGAGTTGAACATTCCCTTTCATAGAGCAGGTTTGAAACACTCTTTCTGTACTATCTAGATGTGGACATTTGGAACGCTTTGATGCCTACGGTGGAAAAGTAAATATCTTCCCATAAAAGCTAGACAGAAGGATTCTCAGAAACAAGTTTGTGATGTGTGTTCTCAGCTAACAGAGTGGAACCTCTCTTTTCATGCAGCAGTTTGGAAACACTCTTTTTGTAGAAACTGTAAGTGGATATTTGGATAGCTCTAATGATTTCGTTGGAAACGGGAATATCATCATCTAAAATCTAGACAGAAGCCCTCTCAGAAACTACTTTGTGATATCTGCATTCAAGTCACAGAGTTGAACATTCGCTTTCTAAGAGCACGTTTGAAACACTCTTTTTGTAGTGTCTGGAAGTGGACATTTGGAGCGCTTTGATGCCTTTGGTGAAAAAGGGAACGTCTTCCCATAAAAACTAGACAGAAGCATTCTCAGAAACTTGTTTGTGATGTGTGTACCCAGCCAAAGGAGTTGAAGATTTCTATTGATAGAGCAGTTTTGAAACACTCTTGTTGTGGAAAATGCAGGTGGATATTTGGATAGCTTGGAGGATTTCGTTGGAAGCGGGAATTCAAATAAAAGGTAGACAGCAGCATTCTCAGAAATTTCTTTCTGATGTCTGCATTCAACTCATAGAGTTGAAGATTCCCTTTCATAGAGCAGGTTTGAAACACTCTTTGTGGAGTATCTGGATGTGGACATATGGAGCGCTTTGATGCCTACGGTGAAAAGGTAAATATCTTCCCATAAAAACGAGACAGAAGGATTCTCAGAAACAAGTTTGTGATGTGTGTACTCAGCTAACAGAGTGGATCCTTTCTTTTTAAAGAGCAGCTTTGAAACTCTATTTCTGTGGATTCTGCAAATTGATATTTGGGTTGATTTAACAATATCGTTGGAAAAGGGAATATCTTCATACAAAATCTAGACAGAAGCATTCTCACAAACTTCTTTGTGATGTGTGTCCTCAACTAACAGAGTTGAACCTTTCTTTTGATGCAGCAGTTTGGAAACACTCTTTTTGTAGAAACTGTAAGGGGATATTTGGATAGCTCTAACGATTTCGTTGGAAACGGGAATATCATCATCTAAAATCTAGACAGAAGCACTATTAGAAACTACTTGGTGATATCTGCATTCAAGTCACAGAGTTGAACATTCCCTTACTTTGAGCACGTTTCAAACACTCTTTTGGAAGAATCTGGAAGTGGACATTTGGAGCGCTTTGATGCCTTTGGTGAAAAGGAAACGTCTTCCAATAAAAGCCAGACAGAAGCATTCTCAGAAACTTGTTTGTGATGTGTGTACTCAACTAAAAGAGTTGAACCTTTCTATTGATAGAGCAGTTTTGAAACACTCTTTTTGTGGATTCTGCAAGTGGATATTTAGATTGCTTTGAGGATTTCGTTGGAAGCGGGAATTCGTATAAAAACTAGACAGCAGCATTCCCAGAAATTTCTTTCGGATATTTCCATTCAACTCATAGAGATGAACATGGCCTTTCATAGAGCAGGTTTGAAACACTCTTTTTGTAGTTTGTGGAAGTGGACATTTCGATCGCCTTGACGCCTACGGTGAAAAAGGAAATATCTTCCCATAAAAAATAGACAGGAGCATTCTCAGAAACTTGTTGGTGATATGTGTCCTCAACTAACAGAGTTGAACTTTGCCATTGATAGAGAGCAGTTTTGAAACACTCTTTTTGTGGAATCTGCAAGTGGATATTTGGATAGCTTGGAGGATTTCGTTGGAAGCGGGAATTCAAATAAAAGGTAGACAGCAGCATTCTCAGAAATTTCTTTCTGATGTCTGCATTCAACTCATAGAGTTGAAGATTCCCTTTCATAGAGCAGGTTTGAAACACTCTTTCTGGAGTGTCTGGATGTGGACATTTGGAGCGCTTTGATGCCTACGGTGAAAAAGTAAATATCTTCCCATAAAAACGAGACAGAAGGATTCTGAGAAACAAGTTTGTGATGTGTGTACTCAGCTAACAGAGTGGAACCTCTCTTTTGATGCAGCAGTTTGGAAACACTCTTTTTGTAGAAACTGTAAGGGGATATTTGGATAGCTCTAATGATTTCGTTGGAAACGGGAATATCATCATCTAAAATCTAGACAGAAGCCCTCTCAGAAACTACTTTGTGATATCTGCATTCAAGTCACAGAGTTGAATATTCGCTTTCTTAGAGCACGTTTGAAACCCTCTTTTTGTAGTGTCTGGAAGTGGACATTTGGAGCGCTTTGATGCCTTTGGTGAAAAAGGGAATGTCTTCCCATAAAAACTAGACAGAAGCATTCTCAGAAACTTGTTTGTGATGTGTGTACCCAGCTAAAGGAGTTGAACATTTCTATTGATAGAGCAGTTTTGAAACACTCTTTTTGTGGAAAATGCAAGTGGATATTTGGATAGCTTGGAGGATTTCGTTGGAAGAGGGAATTCAAATAAAAGGTAGACAGCAGCATTCTCAGAAATTTCTTTCTGATGTCTGCATTCAACTCATAGAGTTGAAGATTCCCTTTCATAGAGCAGGTTTGAAACACTCTTTCTGGAGTATCTGGATGTGGACATTTGGAGCGCTTTGATGCCTACGGTTAAAAAGTAAATATCTTCCCATAAAAACGAGACAGAAGGATTCTCAGAAACAAGTTTGTAATGTGTGTACTCAGCTAACACAGTGGAACCTTTCTTTTTACAGAGCAGCTTTGAAACTCTATTGTTGTGGATTCTGCAAATTGATATTTAGATTGCTTTAACGATATCGTTGGAAAAGGGAATACCGTCATACAAAATCTAGACAGAAGCATTCTCACAAACTTCTTTGTGATGTGTGTCCTCAACTAACAGAGTTGAACCTTTCTTTTGATGCAGCAATTTGGAAACACCCTTTTGGTAGAAACTGTAACTGGATATTTGGATAGCTCTAACGATTTCGTTGGAAAAGGGAATATCATCATCTAAAATGTAGGCAGAAGCACTATTAGAAACTACTTGGTGATATCTGCATTCAAATCACAGAGTAGAACATTCCCTTACTTCGAGCACGTTTGAAACACTCTTTTGGAAGAATCTGGAAGTGGACATTTGGAGCGCTTTGATGCCTTTGGTGAAAAGGAAACGTCTTCCAATAAAAGCCAGACAGAAGCATTCTCAGAAACTTGTTCGTGATGTGTGTACTCAACTAAAAGAGTTGAACCTTTCTATTGATAGAGCAGTTTTGAAACACTCTTTTTCTGGATTCTGCAAGTGGATATTTGGATTGCTTTGAGGATTTCGTTGGAAGCGGGAATTCATATAAAAACTAGACAGCCAGCATTCCCAGAAATTTCTTTCGGATATTTCCATTCAACTCATAGAGATGAACATCGCCTTTCATAGAGCAGGTTTGAAACACTCTTTTTGTAGTTTGTGGAAGTGGACATTTCGATCGCCTTGACGCCTACGGTGAAAAAGGAAATATCTTCCCATAAACAATAGACAGAGCATTCTCAGAAACTTGTTGGTGATATGTGTCCTCAACTAACAGAGTTGAACTTTGCCATTGATAGAGAGCAGTTTTGAAACACTCTTTTTGTGGAATCTGCAAGTGGATATTTGGATAGCTTGGAGGATTTCGTTGGAAGCGGGAATTCAAATAAAAGGTAGACAGCAGGATTCTGAGAAACAAGTTTGTGATGTGTGTACTCAGCTAACAGAGTGGAACCTCTCTTTTGATCCAGCAGTTTGGAAACACTCTTTTTGTAGAAACTGTAAGTGGATATTTGGATAGCTCTAACGATTTCGTTGGAAACGGGAATATCATCATCTAAAATCTAGACAGAAGCATTCTCACAAACTTCTTTGTGATGTGTGTCCTCAACTAACAGAGTTGAACCTTTCTTTTGATGCAGCAATTTGGAAACACCCTTTTGGTAGAAACTGTAAGTGGATATTTGGATAGCTCTAACGATTTCGTTGGAAACGGGAATATCATCATCTAAAATCTAGACAGAAGCACTATTAGAAACTACTTGGTGATATCTGCATTCAAGTCACAGAGTTGAACATTCCCTTACTTTGAGCACGTTTCAAACACTCTTTTGGAAGAATCTGGAAGTGGACATTTGGAGCGCTTTGATGCCTTTGGTGAAAAGGAAACGTCTTCCAATAAAAGCCAGACAGAAGCATTCTCAGAAACTTGTTTGTGATGTGTGTACTCAACTAAAAGAGTTGAACCTTTCTATTGATAGAGCAGTTTTGCAACACTCTTTTTGTGGATTCTGCAAGTGGATATTTGGATTGCTTTGAGGATTTCGTTGGAAGCGGGAATTCATATAAAAACTAGACAGCAGCATTCCCAGAAATTTCTTTCGGATATTTCCATTCAACTCATAGAGATGAACATGGCCTTTCATAGAGCAGGTTTGAAACACTCTTTTTGTAGTTTGTGGAAGTGGACATTTCGATCGCCTTGACGCCTACGGTGAAAAAGGAAATATCTTCCCATAAAAAATAGACAGATAAGCATTCTCAGAAACTTGTTGGTGATATGTGTCCTCAACTAACAGAGTTGAACTTTGCCATTGATAGAGAGCAGTTTTGAAACACTCTTTTTGTGGAATCTGCAAGTGGATATTTGGATAGCTTGGAGGATTTCGTTGGAAGCGGGAATTCAAATTAAAGGTAGACAGCAGCATTCTCAGAAATTTCTTTCTGATGTCTGCATTCAACTCATAGAGTTGAAGATTCCCTTTCATAGAGCAGGTTTGAAACACTCTTTCTGGAGTATCTGGATGTGGACATTTGGAGCGCTTTGATGCCTACGGTAAAAAGTAAATATCTTCCCATAAAAACGAGACAGAAGGATTCTGAGAAACAAGTTTGTGATGTGTGTACTCAGCTAACAGAGTGGAACCTTTCTTTTTACAGAGCAGCTTTGAAACTCTATTTTTGTGGATTCTGCAAATGGATATTTAGATTGCTTTAATGATATCGTTGGAAAAGGGAATATCGTCATACAAAATCTAGACAGAAGCATTCTCACAAACTTCTTTGTGATGTGTGTCCTCAACTAACAGAGTTGAACCTGTCTTTTGATGCAGCAATTTGGAAGCACCCTTTTGGTAGAAACTGTAACTGGATATTTGGATAGCTCTAACGATTTCGTTGGAAACGGGAATATCATCATCTAAAATGTAGACAGAAGCACTATTAGAAACTACTTGTTGATATCTGCATTCAAGTCACAGAGTTGAGCATTCCCTTACTTTGAGCACGTTTGAAACACTCTTTTGGAAGAATCTGGAAGTGGACATTTGCAGCGCTTTGATGCCTTTGGTGAAAAGGAAACGTCTTCCAATAAAAGCCAGACAGAAGCATTCTCAGAAACTTGTTTGTGATGTGTGTACTCAACTAAAAGAGTTGAACCTTTCTATTGATAGAGCAGTTTTGAAACACTCTTTTTGTGGATTCTGCAAGTGGATATTTGGATTGCTTTGAGGATTTCGTTGGAAGCGGGAATTCGTATAAAAACTAGACAGCAGCATTCCCAGAAATTTTTTCGGATATTTCCATTCGACTCATAGAGATGAACATGGCCTTTCATAGAGCAGGTTTGAAACACTCTTTTTGTAGTTTGTGGAAGTGGACATTTCGATCGCCTTGACGCCTACGGTGAAAAAGGAAATATCTTCCCATAAAAAATAGACAGAAGCATTCTCAGAAACTTGTTGGTGATATGTGTCCTCAACTAACAGAGTTGAACTTTGCCATTGATAGAGAGCAGTTTTGAAACACTCTTTTTGTGGAATCTGCAAGTGGATATTTGGATAGCTTGGAGGATTTCGTTGGAAGCGGGAATTCAAATAAAAGGTAGACAGCAGCATTCTCAGAAATTTCTTTCTGATGTCTGCATTCAACTCATAGAGTTGAAGATTCCCTTTCATAGAGCAGGTTTGAAACACTCTGGAGTATCTGGATGTGGACATTTGGAGCGCTTTGATGCCTACGGTGAAAAAGTAAATATCTTCCCATAAAAACGAGACAGAAGGATTCTCAGAAACAAGTTTGTGATGTGTATACTCAGCTAACAGAGTGGAACCTTTCTTTTTACAGAGCAGCTTTGAAACTCTACTTTTGTGGATTCTGCAAATTGATATTTAGATTGCTTTAACGATATCGTTGGAAAAGGGAATATCGTCATACAAAATCTAGACAGAAGCATTCTCACAAACTTCTTTGTGACGTGTGTCCTCAACTAACAGAGTTGAACCTTTCTTTTGATGCAGCAGTTTGGAAACACTGTTTTTGTAGCAACTGTAAGTGGATATTTGGATAGCTCTAACGATTTCGTTGGAAACGGGAATATCGTCATCTAAAATCTAGACAGAAGCACTATTAGAAACTACTTGGTGATATCTGCATTCAAGTCACAGAGTTGAACATTCCCTTACTTTGAGCACGTTTCAAACACTCTTTTGGAAGAATCTGGAAGTGGACATTTGGAGCGCTTTGATGCCTTTGGTGAAAAGGAAACGTCTTCCAATAAAAGCCAGACAGAAGCATTCTCAGAAACTTGTTTGTGATGTGTGTACTCAACTAAAAGAGTTGAACCTTTCTATTGATAGAGCAGTTTTGAAACACTCTTTTTGTGGATTCTGCAAGTGGATATTTGGATTGCTTTGAGGATTTCGTTGGAAGCGGGAATTCGTATAAAAACTAGACAGCAGCATTCCCAGAAATTTCTTTCGGATATTTCCATTCGACTCATAGAGATGAACATGGCCTTTCATAGAGCAGGTTTGAAACACTCTTTTTGTAGTTTGTGGAAGTGGACATTTCGATCGCCTTGACGCCTACGGTGAAAAAGGAAATATCTTCCCATAAAAAATAGACAGAAGCATTCTCATAAACTTGTTGGTGATATGTGTCCTCAACTAACAGAGTTGAACTTTGCCATTGATAGAGAGCAGTTTTGAAACACTCTTTTTGTGGAATCTGCAAGTGGATATTTGGATAGCTTGGAGGATTTCGTTGGAAGCGGGAATTCAAATAAAAGGTAGACAGCAGCATTCTCAGAAATTTCTTTCTGATGTCTGCATTCAACTCATAGAGTTGAAGATTCCCTTTCATAGAGCAGGTTTGAAACACTCTTTCTGGAGTATCTGGATGTGGACATTTGGAGCGCTTTGATGCCTACGGTGAAAAAGTAAATATCTTCCCATAAAAACGAGACAGAAAGGATTCTCAGAAACAAGTTTGTGATGTGTGTACTCAGCTAACAGAGTGGAACCTCTTTTCTGATGCAGCAGTTTGGAAACACTCTTTTTGTAGAAACTGTAAGTGGATATTTGGATAGCTCTAATGATTTCGTTGGAAACGGGAATATCATCATCTAAAATCTAGACAGAAGCACTCTCAGAAACCACTGTGTGATATCTGCATTCAAGTCACAGAGTTGAACATTCGCTTTCTTAGAGCACGTTTGAAACACTCTTTTTGTAGTGTCTGGAAGTGGACATTTGGAGCGCTTTGATTCCTTTGGTGAAAAAGGGAATGTCTACCCATAAAAACTAGACAGAAGCATTCTCAGAAACTTGTTTGTGATGTGTGTACCCAGCGAAAGGAGTTGAACATTTCTATTGATAGAGCAGTTTTGAAACACTCTTTTTGTGGAATCTGCAAGTGGATATTTGGATAGCTTGGAGGTTTTTGTTGGAAGCGGGAATTCAAATAAAAGGTAGACAGCAGCATTCTCAGAAATTTCTTTCTGATGTCTGCATTCAACTCATAGAGTTGAAGATTCCGTTTCATAGAGCAGGTTTGAAACACTCTTTCTGGAGTATCTGGATGTGGACATTTGGAGCGCTTTGATGCCTACGGTGGAAAAGTAAATATCTTCCCATAAAAACGAGACAGAAGGATTCTGAGAAACAAGTTTGTGATGTGTGTACTCAGCTAACAGAGTGGAACCTTTCTTTTTACAGAGCAGCTTTGAAACTCTATTTTTGTGGATTCTGCAAATGGATATTTAGATTGCTTTAACGATATCGTTGGAAAAGGGAATATCTTCATACAAAATCTAGACAGAAGCATTCTCACAAACTTCTTTGTGATGTGTGTCCTCAACTAACAGAGTTGAACCTTTCTTTTGATGCAGCAATTTGGAAACACCCTTTTGGTAGAAACTGTAAGTGGATATTTGGATAGCTCTAACGATTTCGTTGGAAACGGGAATATCATCATCTAAAATCTAGACAGAAGCACTATTAGAAACTACTTGGTGTTATCTGCATTCAAGTCACAGAGTAGAACATTCCCTTACTTCGAGCACGTTTGAAACACTCTTTTGGAAGAATCTGGAAGTGGACATTTGGAGCGCTTTGATGCCTTTGGTGAAAAGGAAACGTCTTCCAATAAAAGCCAGACAGAAGCATTCTCAGAAACTTGTTGGTGATGTGTGTACTCAACTAAAAGAGTTGAACCTTTCTATTGATAGAGCAGTTTTGAAACACTCTTTTTGTGGATTCTGCAAGTGGATATTTGGATTGCTTTGAGGATTTCGTTGGAAGCGGGAATTCATATAAAAACTAGACAGCCAGCATTCCCAGAAATTTCTTTCGGATATTTCCATTCAACTCATAGAGATGAACATCGCCTTTCATAGAGCAGGTTTGAAACACTCTTTTTGTAGTTTGTGGAAGTGGACATTTCGATCGCCTTGACGCCTACGGTGAAAAAGGAAATATCTTCCCATAAAAAATAGACAGAAGCATTCTCAGAAACTTGTTGGTGATATGTGTCCTCAACTAACAGAGTTGAACTTTGCCATTGATAGAGAGCAGTTTTGAAACACTCTTTTTGTGGAATCTGCAAGTGGATATTTGGATAGCTTGGAGGATTTCGTTGGAAGCGGGAATTCAAATAAAAGGTAGACAGCAGCATTCTCAGAAATTTCTTTCTGATGTCTGCATTCAACTCATAGAGTTGAAGATTCCCTTTCATAGAGCAGGTTTGAAACAC
Organism: Homo sapiens; assembly: GCF_000001405.40. Taxonomy (NCBI): domain Eukaryota; kingdom Metazoa; phylum Chordata; class Mammalia; order Primates; family Hominidae; genus Homo; species Homo sapiens. The sequence goes on from NC_000021.9 coordinate 12,489,936, forward strand.
TCGTTCTGGAGTATCTGGATGTGGACATTTGGAGCGCTTTGATGCCTACGGTGGAAAAGTAAATATCTTCCCATAATAACGAGACAGAAGGATTCTGAGAAACAAGTTTGTGATGGGCGTACTCAGCTAACAGAGTGGAACCTCTCTTTTGATGCAGCAGTTTGGAAACACTCTTTTTGTAGAAACTGTAAGTGGATATTTGGATAGCTCTAATGATTTCGTTGGAAACGGGAATATCATCATCTAAAATCTAGACAGAAGCCCTCTCAGAAACTACTTTGTGATATCTGCATTCAAGTCACAGAGTTGAACATTCGCTTTCTTAGAGCACGTTTGAAACACTCTTTTTGTAGTGGCTGGAAGTGGACATTTGGAGCGCTTTGATTCCTTTGGTGAAAAAGGGAATGTCTACCCATAAAAACTAGACAGAAGCATTCTCAGAAACTTGTTTGTGATGTGTGTACCCAGCTAAAGGAGTTGAACGTTTCTATTGATAGAGCAGTTTTGAAACACTCTTTTTGTGGAAAATGCTAGTGGATATTTCGATAGCTTGGAGGATTTTCCTTGGAAGCGGGAATTCAAATAAAAGGTAGACAGCAGGAGTCTGAGAAACAAGTTTGTGATGTGTGTACTCAGCTAACAGAGTGGAACCTCTCTTTTGATGCAGCAGTTTGGAAACACTCTTTTTGTAGAAACTGTAAGTGGATATTTGGATAGCTCTAAAGATTTTTTTGGAAACGGGAATATCATCATCTAAAATCTAGACAGAAAGCCCTCTCAGAAACTACTTTGTGATATCTGCATTCAAGTCACAGAGTTGAACATTCGCTTTCTTAGAGCACGTTGGAAACACTCTTTTTGTAGTGTCTGGAAGTGGACATTTGGAGCGCTTTGATGCCTTTGGTGAAAAAGGGAACGTCTTCCCATAAAAACTAGACAGAAGCATTCTCAGAAACTTGTTTGTGATGTGTGTACCCAGCCAAAGGAGTTGAACATTTCTATTGATAGAGCAGTTTTGAAACACTCTTTTTGTGGAAAATGCAAGTGGATATTTGGATAGCTTGGAGGATTTCGTTGGAAGCGGGAATTCAAATAAAAGGTAGACAGCAGGATTCTGAGAAACAAGTTTGTGATGTGTGTACTCAGCTAACAGAGTGGAACCTCTCTTTTGATGCAGCAGTTTGGAAACACTCTTTTTGTAGAAACTGTAAGTGGTTATTTGGATAGCTCTAATGATTTCGTTGGAAACGGGAATATCATCATCTAAAATCTAGACAGAAGCCCTCTCAGAAACTACTTTGTGATATCTGCATTCAAGTCACAGAGTTGAACATTCGCTTTCTTAGAGCACGCTGGAAACACTCTTTTTGTAGTGTCTGGAAGTGGACATTTGGAGCGCTTTGATGCCTTTGGTGAAAAAGGGAACGTCTTCCCATAAAAACTAGACAGAAGCATTCTCAGAAACTTGTTTGTGATGTGTGCACCCAGCTAAAGGAGTTGAACATTTCTATTGATAGAGCAGTTTTGAAGCACTCTTTTTGTGGAAAATGCAAGTGGATATTTGGATAGCTTGGAGGATTTCGTTGGAAGCGGGAGTTCAAATAAAAGGTAGACAGCAGCATTCTCAGAAATTTCTTTCTGATGTCTGCATTCAACTCATAGAGTTGAAGATTCCCTTTCATAGAGCAGGTTTGAAACACTCGTTCTGGAGTATCTGGATGTGGACATTTGGAGCGCTTTGATGCCTACGGTGGAAAAGTAAGTATCTTCCCATAAAAACGAGACATAAGGATTCTCAGAAACAAGTTTGTGATGTGTGTACTCAGCTAACAGAGTGGAACCTTTCTTTTTACAGAGCAGCTTTGAAACTCTATTTTTGTGGATTCTGCAAATGGATATTTAGATTGCTTTAATGATATCGCTGGGAAAGGGAATATGGTCATACAAAATCTAGACAGAAGCATTCTCACAAACTTCTTTGTGATGTGTGTCCTCAACTAACAGAGTTGAACCTTTCTTTTGATGCAGCAGTTTGGAAACACCCTTTTGGTAGAAACTGTAAGTGGATATTTGGATAGCTCTAACGATTTCGTTGGAAACGGGAATATCGTCATCTAAAATCTAGACAGAAGCACTATTAGAAACTACTTGGTGATATCTGCATTCAAGTCACAGAGTTGAACATTCCCTTACTTTGAGCACGTTTCAAACACTCTTTTGGAAGAATCTGGAAGTGGACATTTGGAGCGCTTTGATGCCTTTGGTGAAAAGGAAACGTCTTCCAATAAAAGCCAGACAGAAGCATTCTCAGAAACTTGTTTGTGATGTGTGTACTCAACTAAAAGAGTTGAACCTTTCTATTGATAGAGCAGTTTTGAAACACTCTTTTTGTGGATTCTGCAAGTGGATATTTGGATTGCTTTGAGGATTTCGTTGGAAGCGGGAATTCGTATAAAAACTAGACAGCAGCATTCCCAGAAATTTCTTTCGGATATTTCCATTCAACTCATAGAGATGAACATGGCTTTTCATAGAGCAGGTTTGAAACACTCTTTTTGTAGTTTGTGGAAGTGGACATTTCGATCGCCTTGACGCCTACGGTGAAAAAGGAAATATCTTCCCATAAAAAATAGACAGAAGCATTCTCAGAAACTTGTTGGTGATATGTGTCCTCAACTAACAGAGTTGAACTTTGCCATTGATAGAGAGCAGTTTTGAAACACTCTTTTTGTGGAATCTGCAAGTGGATATTTGGATAGCTTGGAGGATTTCGTTGGAAGCGGGAATTCAAATAAAAGGTAGACAGCAGCATTCTCAGAAATTTCTTTCTGATGTCTGCATTCAACTCATAAAGTTGAAGATTCCCTTTCATAGAGCAGGTTTGAAACACTCTTTCTGGAGTATCTGGATGTGGACATTTGGAGCGCTTTGATGCCTACGGTGGAAAAGTAAATATCTTCCCATAAAAACGAGACAGAAGGATTCTGAGAAACAAGTTTGTGATGTGTGTACTCAGCTAACAGAGTGGAACCTCTCTTTTGATGCAGCAGTTTGGAAACACTCTTTTTGTAGAAACTGTAAGTGGATATTTGGATAGCTCTAATGATTTCGTTGGAAACGGGAATATCATCATCTAAATCTAGACAGAAGCACTCTCAGAAACTACTTTGTGATATCTGCATTCAAGTCACAGAGTTGAACATTCGCTTTCTTAGAGCACGTTGGAAACACTCTTTTTGTAGTGTCTGGAAGTGGACATTTGGAGCGCATTGATGCCTTTGGTGAAAAAGGGAACGTCTTCCCATAAAAACTAGACAGAAGCATTCTCAGAAACTTGTTTGTGATGTGTGTACCCAGCTAAAGGAGTTGAACATTTCTATTGATAGAGCAGTTTTGAAACACTCTTTTTGTGGAAAATGCTAGTGGATATTTCGATAGCTTGGAGGATTTCCTTGGAAGCGGGAATTCAAATAAAAGGTAGACAGCAGCATTCTCAGAAATTACTTTCTGATGTCTGCATTCAACTCATAGAGTTGAAGATTCCCTTTCATAGAGCAGGTTTGAAACACTCTTTCTGTAGTATCTGGATGTGGACATTTGGGGCGCTTTGATACCTACGGTGAAAAGTAAATATCTTCCCATAAAAACTAGACAGAAGGATTCTCAGAAACAAGTTTGTGATGTGTGTACTCAGCTAACAGAGTGGAACCTTTCTTTTTACAGAGCAGCTTTGAAACTCTATTTTTGTGGATTCTGCAAATTGATATTTAGATTGCTTTAACGATATCGTTGGAAAAGGGAATATGGTCATACAAAATCTAGACAGAAAGCATTCTCACAAACTTCTTTGTGATGTGTGTCCTCAACTAACAGAGTTGAACCTTTCTTTTGATGCAGCAATTTGGAAACACCCTTTTGGTAGAAACTGTAACTGGATATTTGGATAGCTCTAACGATTTCGTTGGAAACGGGAATATCATCATCTAAAATGTAGACAGAAGCACTATTAGAAACTACTTGGTGATATCTGCATTCAAGTCAAAGAGTTGAACATTCCCTTACTTTGAGCACGTTTGAAACACTCTTTTGGAAGAATCTGGAAGTGGACATTTGGAGCGCTTTGATGCCTTTGGTGAAAAGGAAACGTCTTCCAATAAAAGCCAGACAGAAGCATTCTCAGAAACTTGTTTGTGATGTGTGTACTCAACTAAAAGAGTTGAACCTTTCTATTGATAGAGCAGTTTTGAAACACTCTTTTTGTGGATTCTGCAAGTGGATATTTGGATTGCTTTGAGGATTTCGTTGGAAGCGGGAATTCGTATAAAAACTAGACAGCAGCATTCCCAGAAATTTCTTTCGGATATTTCCATTCGACTCATAGAGATGAACATGGCCTTTCATAGAGCAGGTTTGAAACACTCTTTTTGTAGTTTGTGGAAGTGGACATTTCGATCGCCTTGACGCCTACGGTGAAAAAGGAAATATCTTCCCATAAAAAATAGACAGAAGCATTCTCAGAAACTTGTTGGTGATATGTGTCCTCAACTAACAGAGTTGAACTTTGCCATTGATAGAGAGCAGTTTTGAAACACTCTTTTTCCTGAATCTGCAAGTGGATATTTGGATAGCTTGGAGGATTTCGTTGGAAGCGGGAATTCAAATAAAAGTTAGACAGCAGCATTCTCAGAAATTTCTTTCTGATGTCTGCATTCAACTCATAGAGTTGAAGATTCCCTTTCATAGAGCAGGTTTGAAACACTCTTTCTGGAGTATCTGGATGTGGACATTTGGAGCGCTTTGATGCCTACGGTGAAAAAGTAAATATCTTCCCAGAAAAACGAGACAGAAGGATTCTCAGAAACAAGTTTGTGATGTGTGTACTCAGCTAACAGAGTGGAACCTCTCTTCTGATGCAGCAGTTTGGAAACACTCTTTTTGTAGAAACTGTAAGTGGATATTTGGATAGCTCTAATGATTTCGTTGGAAATGGGAATATCATCATCTAAAATCTAGACGGAATCCCTCTCAGAAACTACTTTGTGATATCTGCATTCAAGTCACAGAGTTGAACATTCGCTTTCTTAGAGCACGTTTGAAACACTCTTTTTGTAGTGTCTGGAAGTGGACATTTGGAGCGCTTTGATGCCTTTGGTGAAAAAGGGAATGTCTTCCCATAAAAACTAGACAGAAGCATTCTCAGAAACTTGTTTGTGATGTGTGTACCCAGCTAAAGGAGTTGAACATTTCTATTGATAGAGCAGTTTTGAAACACTCTTTTTGTGGAAAATGCAAGTGGATATTTGGATAGCTTGGAGGATTTCGTTGGAAGCGGGAATTCAAATAAAAGGTAGATAGCAGAATTCTCAGAAATTTCTTTCTGATGTCTGCATTCAACTCATAGAGTTGAAGATTCCCTTTCATAGAGCAGGTTTGAAACACTCGTTCTGGAGTATCTGGATGTGGACATTTGGAGCGCTTTGATGCCTACGGTGGAAAAGTAAATATCTTCCCATAAAAACGAGACAGAAGGATTCTCAGAAACAAGTTTGTGATGTGTGTACTCAGCTAACTGAGTGGAACCTTTCTTTTTACAGAGCAGCTTTGAAACTCTATTTTTGTGGATTCTGCAAATTGATATTTAGATTGCTTTAACGATATCGTTGGAAAAGGGAATGTCGTCATACAAAATCTGGACAGAAGCACTCTCAGAAACTTACTCGTGATGTGTGTCCTCAACTAAAGGAGTAGAACCTTTCTTTTCATAGAGAAGTTTTGAAACACTCTTTTTGTAGAAACTGTAAGTGGATATTTGGATAGCTCTAACGATTTCGTTGGAAACGGGAATATCATCATCTAAAATCTAGACAGAAGCACTATTAGAAACTACTTGGTGATATCTGCATTCAAGTCAAAGAGTTGAACATTCCCTTACTTTGAGCACGTTTGAAACACTCTTTTGGAAGAATCTGGAAGTGGACATTTGGAGCGCTTTGATGCCTTTGGTGAAAAGGAAACGTCTTCCAATAAAAGCCAGACAGAAGCATTCTCAGAAACTTGTTTGTGATGTGTGTACTCAACTAAAAGAGTTGAACCTTTCTAATGATAGCGCAGTTTTGAAACACTCTTTTTGTGGATTCTGCAAGTGGATATTTGGATTGCTTTGAGGATTTCGTTGGAAGCGGGAATTCATATAAAAACTAGACAGCAGCATTCCCAGAAATTTCTTTCGGATATTTCCATTCGACTCATAGAGATGAACATGGCCTTTCATAGAGCAGGTTTGAAACACTCTTTTTGTAGTTTGTGGAAGTGGACATTTTGATCGCCTTGACGCCTACGGTGAAAAAGGAATTATCTTCCCATAAAAAATAGACAGAAGCATTCTCAGAAACTTGTTGGTGATATGTGTCCTCAACTAACAGAGTTGAACTTTGCCATTGATAGAGAGCAGTTTTGAAACACTCTTTTTGTGGAATCTGCAAGTGGATATTTGGATAGCTTGGAGGATTTCGTTGGAAGCGGGAATTCAAATAAAAGGTAGACAGCAGCATTCTCAGAAATTTCTTTCTGATGTCTGCATTCAACTCACAGAGTTGAAGATTCCCTTTCATAGAGCAGGTTTGAAACACTCTTTCTGGAGTATCTGGATGTGGACATTTGGAGCGCTTTGATGCCTACGGTGAAAAAGTAAATATCTTCCCAGAAAAACGAGACAGAAGGATTCTCAGAAACAAGTTTGTGATGTGTGTACTCAGCTAACAGAGTGGAACCTTTCTTTTTACAGAGCAGCTTTGAAACTCTATTTTTGTGGATTCTGGAAATTGATATTTAGATTGCTTTAACGATATCGTTGGAAAAGGGAATATCGTCATACAAAATCTGGACAGAAGCATTCTCACAAACTTCTTTGTGATGTGTGTCCTCAACTAACAGAGTTGAACTTTTCTTTTGATGCAGCAGTTTGGAAACACTGTTTTTGTAGAAAATGTAAGTGGATATTTGGATAGCTCTAACGATTTCGTTGGAAACGGGAATATCATCATCTAAAATCTAGACAGAAGCACTATTAGAAACTACTTGGTGATATCTGCATTCAAGTCACAGAGTTGAACATTCCCTTACTTTGAGCACGTTTCAAACACTCTTTTGGAAGAATCTGGAAGTGGACATTTGGAGCGCTTTGATGCCTTTGGTGAAAAGGAAACGTCTTCCAATAAAAGCCAGACAGAAGCATTCTCAGAAACTTGTTTGTGATGTGTGTACTCAACTAAAAGGGTTGAACCTTTCTATTGATAGAGCAGTTTTGAAACACTCTTTTTGTGGATTCTGCAAGTGGATATTTGGATTGCTTTGAGGATTTCGTTGGAAGCGGGAATTCGTATAAAAACTAGACAGCAGCATTCCCAGAAATTTCTTTCGGATATTTCCATTCAACTCATAGAGATGAACATGGCCTTTCATAGAGCAGGTTTGAAACACACTTTTTGTAGTTTGTGGAAGTGGACATTTCGATCGCCTTGACGCCTACGCTGAAAAAGGAATTATCTTCCCATAAAAAATAGACAGAAGCATTCTCAGAAACTTGTTGGTGATATGTGTCCTCAACTAACAGAGTTGAACTTTGCCATTGATAGAGAGCAGTTTTGAAACACTCTTTTTGTGGAATCTGCAAGTGGATATTTGGATAGCTTGGAGGATTTCGTTGGAAGCGGGAATTCAAATAAAAGGTAGACAGCAGCATTCTCAGAAATTTCTTTCTGATGTCTGCATTCAACTCATAGAGTTGAACCTTCCCTTTCATAGAGCAGGTTTGAAATACTCTTTCTGTAGTATCTGGATGTGGACATTTGGAGCGCTTTGATGCCTACGGTGAAAAAGTAAATCTCTTCCCATAAAAACGAGACAGAAGGATTCTGAGAAACAAGTTTGTGATGTGTGTACTCAGCTAACAGAGTGGAACCACTCTTTTGATGCAGCAGTTTGGAAACACTCTTTTTGTAGAAACTGTAAGTGGATATTTGGATAGCTCTAATGATTTCGTTGGAAACGGGAATATCATCATCTAAAATCTAGACAGAAGCACTCTCAGAAACTACTTTGTGATATCTGCATTCAAGTCACAGAGTTGAACATTCGCTTTCTTAGAGCACGTTTGAAACAGTCTTTTTGTAGTGTCTGGAAGTGGACATTTGGAGCGCTTTGATGGCTTTGGTGAAAAAGGGAACGTCTTCCCATAAAAACTAGACAGAAGCATTCTCAGAAACTTGTTTGTGATGTGTGTACCCAGCCAAAGGAGTTGAACATTTCTATTGATAGAGCAGTTTTGAAACACTCTTTTTGTGGAAAATGCAAGTGGATATTTGGATAGCTTGGAGGATTTCGTTGGAAGCGTTAATTCAAATAAAAGGTAGACAGCAGGATTCTGAGAAACAAGTTTGTGATGTGTGTACTCAGCTAACAGAGTGGAACCTTTCTTTTTACAGAGCAGCTTTGAAACTCTATTTTTGTGGATTCTGCAAATGGATATTTAGATTGCATTAATGATATCGCTGGAAAAGGGAATATGGTCATACAAAATCTAGACAGAAGCATTCTCACAAACTTCTTTGTGATGTGTGTCCTCAACTAACAGAGTTGAACCTTTCTTTTGATGCAGCAGTTTGGAAACACTCTTTTTGTAGAAACTGTAAGTGGATATTTGGATAGCTCTAACGATTTCGTTGGAAACGGGAATATCATCATCTAAAATGCTAGACAGAAGCACTATTAGAAACTACTTGGTGATATCTGCATTCAAGTCACAGAGTTGAACATTCCCTTACTTTGAGCACGTTTGAAACACTCTTTTGGAAGAATCTGGAAGTGGACATTTGGAGCGCTTTGATGCCTTTGGTGAAAAGGAAACGTCTTCCAATAAAAGCCAGACAGAAAGCATTCTCAGCAAACTTGTTGGTGATGTGTGTACTCAACTAAAAGAGTTGAACCTTTCTATTGATAGAGCAGTTTTGAAACACTCTTTTTGTGGATTCTGCAAGTGGATATTTGGATTGCTTTGAGGATTTCGTTGGAAGCGGGAATTCGTATAAACACTAGACAGCAGCATTCCCAGAAATTTCTTTCGGATATTTCCATTCAACTCATAGAGATGAACATGGCCTTTCATAGAGCAGGTTTGAAACACTCTTTTTGTAGTTTGTGGAAGTGGACATTTCGATCGCCTTGACGCCTACGGTGAAAAAGGAAATATCTTCCCATAAACAATAGACAGAAGCATTCTCAGAAACTTGTTGGTGATATGTGTCCTCAACTAACAGAGTTGAACTTTGCCATTGATAGAGCGCAGTTTTGAAACACTCTTTTTGTGGAATCTGCAAGTGGATATTTGGATAGCTTGGAGGATTTCGTTGGAAGCGGTAATTCAAATAAAAGGTAGACAGCAGCATTCTCAGAAATTTCTTTCTGATGTCTGCATTCAACTCATAGAGTTGAAGATTCCCTTTCATAGAGCAGGTTTGAAACACTCTTTCTGGAGTATCTGGATGTGGACATTTGGAGCGCTTTGATGCCTACGGTGAGAAAGTAAATATCTTCCCATAAAAACGAGACAGTAAGGATTCTGAGAAACAAGTTTGTGATGTGTGTACTCAGCTAACAGAGTGGAACCTCTCTTTTGATGCAGCAGTTTGGAAACACTCTTTTTGTAGAAACTGTAAGTGGATATTTGGATAGCTCTAATGATTTCGTTGGAAACGGGAATATCATCATCTAAAATCTAGACAGAAGCCCTCTCAGAAACTACTTTGTGATATCTGCATTCAAGTCACAGAGTTGAACATTCGCTTTCTTAGAGCACGTTTGAAACACTCTTTTTGTAGTGTCTGGAAGTGGACATTTGGAGCGCTTTGATTCCTTTGGTGAAAAAGGGAATGTCTACCCATAAAAACTAGACAGAAGCATTCTCAGTAAACTTGTTTGTGATGTGTGTACCCAGCTAAAGGAGTTGAACATTTCTATTGATAGAGCAGTTTTGAAACACTCTTTTTGTGGAAAATGCAAGTGGATATTTGGATAGCTTGGAGGATTTCGTTGGAAGCGGGAATTCAAATAAAAGGTAGACAGGAGCATTCTCAGAAATTTCTTTCTGATGTCTGCATTCAACTCATAGAGTTGAAGATTCCCTTTCATAGAGCAGGTTTGAAACACTCGTTCTGGAGTATCCGGATGTGGATATTTGGAGCGCTTTGATGCCTACGGTGGAAAAGTAAATATCTTCCCATAAAAACGAGACAGAAGGATTCTCAGAAACAAGTTTGTGATGTGTGTACTCAGCTAACAGAGTGGAACCTTTCTTTTTACAGAGCAGCTTTGAAACTCTATTGTTGTGGATTCTGCAAATTGATATTTAGATTGCTTTAACGATATCGTTGGAAAAGGGAATACCGTCATACAAAATCCTAGACAGAAGTATTCTCACAAACTTCTTTGTGATGTGTGTCCTCAACTAACAGAGTTGAACCTTTCTTTTGATGCAGCAATTTGGAAACACCCTTTTGGTAGAAACTGTAACTGGATATTTGGATAGCTCTAACGATTTCGTTGGAAACGGGAATATCATCACCTAAAATCTAGACAGAAGCACTATTAGAAACTACTTGGTGATATCTGCATTCAAGTCACAGAGTAGAACATTCCCTTACTTCGAGCACGTTTGAAACACTCTTTTGGAAGAATCTGGAAGTGGACATTTGGAGCGCTTTGATGCCTTTGGTGAAAAGGAAACGTCTTCCAATAAAAGCCAGACAGAAGCATTCTCAGAAACTTGTTTGTGATGTGTGTACTCAACTAAAAGAGTTGAACCTTTCTATTGATAGAGCAGTTTTGAAACACTCTTTTTGTGGATTCTGCAAGTGGATATTTGGATTGCTTTGAGGATTTCGTTGGAAGCGGGAATTCATATAAAAACTAGACAGCAGCATTCCCAGAAATTTCTTTCGGATATTTCCATTCAACTCATAGAGATTAACATGGCCTTTCATAGAGCAGGTTTGAAACACTCTTTTTGTAGTTTGTGGAAGTGGACATTTCGATCGCCTTGACGCCTACCGTGAAAAAGGAAATATCTTCCCATAAAAAATAGACAGAAGCATTCTCAGAAACTTGTTGGTGATATGTGTCCTCAACTAACAGAGTTGAACTTTGCCATTGATAGAGAGCAGTTTTGAAACACTCTTTTTCCTGAATCTGCAAGTGGATATTTGGATAGCTTGGAGGATTTCGTTGGAAGCGGGAATTCAAATAAAAGGTAGACAGCAGCATTCTCAGAAATTTCTTTCTGATCTCTGCATTCAACTCATAGAGTTGAACATTTCCTTTCATAGGGCAGGTTTGAAATACTCTTTCTGTAGTATCTGGATGTGGACATTTGGAGCGCTTTGATGCCTACGGTGAAAAAGTAAATATCTTCCCATAAAAACGAGACAGAAGGATTCTGAGAAACAAGTTTGTGATGTGTGTACTCAGCTAACAGAGTGGAACCTCTCTTTTGATGCAGTAGTTTGGAAACACTCTTTTTGTAGAAACTGTAAGTGGATATTTGGATAGCTCTAATGATTTCGTTGGAAACGGGAATATCATCATCTAAAATCTCGACAGAATCAGTCTCAGAAACTACTTTGTGATATCTGCATTCCAGTCACAGAGTTGAAAACTCCCTTACTTAGAGCAGGTTTGAAACACTCTTTTTGTAGAATCTGGAAGTGGACATTTGGAGCGCTTTGATGCATTTGGTGAAAAAGGAAATGTCTTCCCTTAAAAAGTAGACAGAAGCATTCTCAGAAACTTGTTTGTGATGTGTGCACCCAGCTAAAGGAGTTGAACATTTATTGATAGAGCAGTTTTGAAGCACTCTTTTTGTGGAAAATGCAAGTGGATATTTGGATAGCTTGGAGGATTTCGTTGGAAGCGGGAGTTCAAATAAAAGGTAGACAGCAAGGATTCTGAGAAACAAGTTTGTGATGTGTGTACTCAGCTAACAGAGTGGAACCTTTCTTTTTACAGAGCAGCTTTGAAACTCTATTTTTGTGGATTCTGCAAATGGATATTTAGATTCCTTTAACGATATCGTTGGAAAAGGGAATATCGTCATACAAAATCTAGACAGAAGCATTCTCAGAAACTTCTTTGTGATGTGTGTCCTCAACTAACAGAGTTGAACATTTCTTTTGATGCAGCAGTTTGGAAACACTCTTTTTGTAGAAACTGTAAGTGGATATTTGGATAGCTCTAACGATTTCATTTGAAACGGGAATATCATCATCTAAAATCTAGACAGAAGCACTATTAGAAACTACTTGGTGATATCGGCATTCAAGTCACAGAGTTGAACATTCCCTTACTTTGAGCACGTTTCAAACACTCTTTTGGAAGAATCTGGAAGTGGACATTTGGAGCGCTTTGATGCCTTTGGTGAAAAGGAAACGTCTTCCAATAAAAGCCAGACAGAAGCATTCTCAGAAACTTGTTTGTGATGTGTGTACTCAACTAAAAGAGTTGAACCTTTCTATTGATAGAGCAGTTTTGAAACACTCTTTTTGTGGATTCTGCAAGTGGATATTTGGATTGCTTTGAGGATTTCGTTGGAAGCGGGAATTCGTATAAAAACTAGACAGCAGCATTCCCAGAAATTTCTTTCGGATATTTCCATTCGATTCATAGAGATGAACATGGCCTTTCATAGAGCAGGTTTGAAACACTCTTTTTGTAGTTTGTGGAAGTGGACATTTCGATCGCCTTGACGCCTACGGTGAAAAAGGAAATATCTTCCCATAAAAAATAGACAGAAGCATTCTCAGAAACTTGTTGGTGATATGTGTCCTCAACTAACAGAGTTGAACTTTGCCATTGATAGAGAGCAGTTTTGAAACACTCTTTTTGTGGAATCTGCAAGTGGATATTTGGATAGCTTGGAGGATTTCGTTGGAAGCGGGAATTCAAATAAAAGGTAGACAGCAGCATTCTCAGTAAATTTCTTTCTGATGTCTGCATTCAACTCATAGTAGTTGAAGATTCCCTTTCATAGAGCAGGTTTGAAACACTCTTTCTGGAGTATCTGGATGTGGACATTTGGAGCGCTTTGATGCCTACGGTGAAAAAGTAAATATCTTCCCAGAAAAACGAGACAGAAGGATTCTCAGAAACAAGTTTGTGATGTGTGTACTCAGCTAACAGAGTGGAAACTTTCTTTTTACAGAGCAGCTTTGAAACTCTATTTTTGTGGATTCTGCAAATTGATATTTAGATTGCTTTAACGATATCGTTGGAAAAGGGAATATCGTCATACAAAATCTAGACAGAAGCATTCTCACAAACTTCTTTGTGACGTGTGTCCTCAACTAACAGAGTTGAACCTTTCTTTTGATGCAGCAGTTTGGAAACACTGTTTCTGTAGCAACTGTAAGTGGATATTTGGATAGCTCTAACGATTTCGTTGGAAACGGGAATATCATCATCTAAAATCTAGACAGAAGCACTATTAGAAACTACTTGGTGATATCTGCATTCAAGTCACAGAGTTGAACATTCCCTTACTTTGAGCACGTTTCAAACACTCTTTTGGAAGAATCTGGAAGTGGACATTTGGAGCGCTTTGATGCCTTTGGTGAAAAGGAAACGTCTTCCAATAAAAGCCAGACAGAAGCATTCTCAGAAACTTGTTTGTGATGTGTGTACTCAACTAAAAGAGTTGAACCTTTCTATTGATAGAGCAGTTTTGAAACACTCTTTTTGTGGATTCTGCAAGTGGATATTTGGATTGCTTTGAGGATTTCGTTGGAAGCGGGAATTCGTATAAAAACTAGACAGCAGCATTCCCAGAAATTTCTTTCGGATATTTCCATTCGACTCATAGAGATGAACATGGCCTTTCATAGAGCAGGTTTGAAACACTCTTTTTGTAGTTTGTGGAAGTGGACATTTCGATCGCCTTGACGCCTACGGTGAAAAAGGAAATATCTTCCCATAAAAGATAGACAGAAGCATTCTCAGAAACTTGTTGGTGATATGTGTCCTCAACTAACAGAGTTGAACTTTGCCATTGATAGAGAGCAGTTTTGAAACACTCTTTTTGTGGAATCTGCAAGTGGATATTTGGATAGCTTGGAGGATTTCGTTGGAAGCGGGAATTCAAATAAAAGGTAGACAGCAGCATTCTCAGAAATTTCTTTCTGATGTCTGCATTCAACTCATAGAGTTGAAGATTCCCTTTCATAGAGGAGGTTTGAAACACTCTTTCTGGAGTATCTGGATGTGGACATTTGGAGCGCTTTGATGCCTACGGTGAAAAAGTAAATATCTTCCCATAAAAACGAGACAGAAGGATTCTGAGAAACAAGTTTGTGATGTGTGTACTCAGCTAACAGAGTGGAACCTCTCTTTTGATGCAGCAGTTTGGAAACACTCTTTTTGTAGAAACTGTAAGTGGATATTTGGATAGCTCTAATGATTTCGTTGGAAACGGGAATATCATCATCTTAAATCTAGACAGAAGCACTCTCAGAAACTACTTTGTGATATCTGCATTCAAGTCACAGAGTTGAACATTCGGTTTCTTAGAGCACGTTGGAAACACTCTTTTTGTAGTGTCTGGAAGTGGACATTTGGAGCGCTTTGATGCCTTTGGTGAAAAAGGGAATGTCTTCCCATAAAAACTAGACAGAAGCATTCTCAGAAACTTGTTTGTGCTGTGTCTACCCAGCTAAAGGAGTTGAACATTTCTATTGATAGAGCAGTTTTGAAACACTCTTTTTGTGGAAAATGCAGGTGGATATTTGGATAGCTTGGAGGATTTCGTTGGAAGCGGGGATTCAAATAAAAAGTAGACAGCAGCATTCTCAGAAATTTCTTTCTGATGTCTGCATTCAACTCATAGAGTTGAAGATTCTCTTTCATAGAGCAGGTTTGAAACACTCGTTCTGGAGTATCTGGATGTGGACATTTGGAGCGCTTTGATGCCTACGGTGGAAAAGTAAATATCTTCCCATAAAAACGAGACAGAAGGATTCTGAGAAACAGGTTTGTGATGTGTGTACTCAGCTAACAGAGTGGAACCTTTCTTTTTACAGAGCAGCTTTGAAACTCTATTTTTGTGGATTCTGCAAATGGATATTTAGATTGCTTTAATGATATCGCTGGAAAAGGGAATATGGTCATACAAAATCTAGACAGAAGCATTCTCACAAACTTCTTTCTGATGTGTGTCCTCAACTAACAGAGTTGAACCTTTCTTTTGATGCAGCAGTTTGGAAACACTCTTTTTGTAGAAACTGTAAGTGGATATTTGGATAGCTCTAACGATTTCGTTGGAAACGGGAATATCATCATCTAAAATCTAGACAGAAGCCCTCTCAGAAACTACTTTGTGATATCTGCATTCAAGTCACAGAGTTGAACATTCGCTTTCTTAGAGCACGTTTGAAACACTCTTTTTGTAGTGTCTGGAAGTGGACATTTGGAGCGCTTTGATGCCTTTGGTGAAAAAGGGGAACGTCTTCCCATAAAAACTAGACAGAAGCATTCTCAGAAACTTGTTTGTGATGTGTGTACCCAGCCAAAGGAGTTGAACATTTCTATTGATAGAGCAGTTTTGAAACACTCTTGTTGTGGAAAATGCAAGTGGATATTTGGATAGCTTGGAGGATTTCGTTGGAAGCGGGAATTCAAATAAAAGGTAGACAGCAGCATTCTCAGAAATTTCTTTCTGATGTCTGCATTCAACTCATAGAGTTGAAGATTCCCTTTCATAGAGCAGGTTTGAAACACTCGTTCTGGAGTATCTGGATGTGGACATTTGGAGCGCTTCGATGCCTACGGTGGAAAAGTAAATATCTTCCCATAAAAACGAGACAGAAGGATTCTCAGAAACAAGTTTGTGATATGTGTACTCAGCTAACAGAGTGGAACCTTTCTTTTTACAGAGCAGCTTTGAAACTCTATTTTTGTGGATTCTGCAAATTGATATTTAGATTGCTTTAACGATATCGTTGGAAAAGGGAATATCGTCATACAAAATCTAGACAGAAGCATTCTCACAAACTTCTTTGTGATGTGTGTCCTCAACTAACAGAGTTGAACCTTTCTTTTGATGCAGCAATTTGGAAACACCCTTTTGGTAGAAACTGTAAGTGGATATTTGGATAGCTCTAACGATTTCGTTGGAAACGGGAATATCATCATCTAAAATCTAGACAGAAGCACTATTAGAAACTACTTGGTGATATCTGCATTCAAGTCACAGAGTAGAACATTCCCTTACTTCGAGCACGTTTGAAACACTC
Organism: Homo sapiens; assembly: GCF_000001405.40. NCBI lineage: Eukaryota > Metazoa > Chordata > Mammalia > Primates > Hominidae > Homo > Homo sapiens. Next base: position 12,506,267 of record NC_000021.9, read on the forward strand.
TTTTGGAAGAATCTGGAAGTGGACATTTGGAGCGTTTTGATGCCTTTGGTGAAAAGGAAACGTCTTCCAATAAAAGCCAGACAGAAGCATTCTCAGAAACTTGTTGGTGATGTGTGTACTCAACTAAAAGAGTTGAACCTTTCTATTGATAGAGCAGTTTTGAAACACTCTTTTTGTGGATTCTGCAAGTGGATATTTGGATTGCTTTGAGGATTTCGTTGGAAGCGGGAATTCATATAAAAACTAGACAGCAGCATTCCCAGAAATTTCTTTCGGATATTTCCATTCAACTCATTGAGATGAACATCGCCTTTCATAGAGCAGGTTTGAAACACTCTTTTTGTAGTTTGTGGAAGTGGACATTTCGATCGCCTTGACGCCTACGGTGAAAAAGGAAATATCTTCCCATAAAAAATAGACAGAAGCATTCTCAGAAACTTGTTGGTGATATGTGTCCTCAACTAACAGAGTTGAACTTTGCCATTGATAGAGAGCAGTTTTGAAACACTCTTTTTGTGGAATCTGCAAGTGGATATTTGGATAGCTTGGAGGATTTCGTTGGAAGCGGGAATTCAAATAAAAGGTAGACAGCAGCATTCTCAGAAATTTCTTTCTGATGTCTGCATTCAACTCATAGAGTTGAAGATTCCTTTTCATAGAGCAGGTTTGAAACACTCTTTCTGGAGTATCTGGATGTGGACATTTGGAGCGCTTTGATGCCTACGGTGAAAAAGTATAATCTTCCCATAAAAACGAGACAGAAGGATTCTGAGAAACAAGTTTGTGATGTGTGTACTCAGCTAACAGAGTGGAACCCCTCTTTTGATGCAGCAGTTTGGAAACACTCTTTTTGTAGAAACTGTAAGTGGATATTTGGATAGCTCTAATGATTTCGTTGGAAACGGGAATATCATCATCTAAAATCTAGACAGAAGCCCTCTCAGAAACTACTTTGTGATATCTGCATTCAAGTCACAGAGTTGAACATTCGGTTTCTTAGAGCACGTTGGAAACACTCTTTTTGTAGTGTCTGGAAGTGGACATTTGGAGCGCTGTGATGCCTTTGGTGAAAAAGGGAATGTCTTCCCATAAAAACTAGACAGAAAGCATTCTCAGTAAACTTGTTTGTGATGTGTGTACCCAGCTAAAGGAGTTGAACATTTCTATTGATAGAGCAGTTTTGAAACACTCTTTTTGTGGAAAATGCAAGTGGATATTTGGATAGCTTGGAGGATTTCGTTGGAAGCGGGAATTCAAATAAAAGGTAGACAGCAGCATTCTCAGAAATTTCTTTCTGATGTCTGCATTCAACTCATAGAGTTGAAGATTCCCTTTCATAGAGCAGGTTTGAAACACTCTTTCTGGAGTATCTGGATGTGGACATTTGGAGCGCTTTGATGCCTACGGTGAAAAAGTAAATATCTTCCCATAAAAACGAGACAGAAGGATTCTCAGAAACAAGTTTGTGATGTGTGTACTCAGCTAACAGAGTGGAACCTTTCTTTTTACAGAGCAGCTTTGAAACTCTATTTTTGTGGATTCTGCAAATGGATATTTAGATTGCTTTAATGATATCGCTGGGAAAGGGAATATGGTCATACAAAATACTAGACAGAAGCATTCTCACAAACTTCTTTGTGATGTGTGTCCTCAACTAACAGAGTTGAACCTTTCTTTTGATGCAGCAATTTGGAAACACCCTTTTGGTAGAAACTGTAACTGTATATTTGGATAGCTCTAACGATTCCGTTGGAAACGGGAATATCATCATCTAAAATCTAGACAGAAGCACTATTAGAAACTACTTGGTGATATCTGCATTCAAGTCACAGAGTTGAACATTCCCTTACTTTGAGCACGTTTGAAACACTCTTTTGGAAGAATCTGGAAGTGGACATTTGGAGCGCTTTGATGCCTTTGGTGAAAAGGAAACGTCTTCCAATAAAAGCCAGACAGAAGCATTCTCAGAAACTTGTTCGTGATGTGTGTACTCAACTAAAAGAGTTGAACCTTTCTATTGATAGAGCAGTTTTGAAACACTCTTTTTGTGGATTCTGCAAGTGGATATTTGGATTGCTTTGAGGATTTCGTTGTAAGCGGGAATTCGTATAAACACTAGACAGCCAGCATTCCCAGAATTTCTTTCGGATATTTCCATTCAACTCATAGAGATGAACATGGCCTTTCATAGAGCAGGTTTGAAACACTCTTTTTGTAGTTTGTGGAAGTGGACATTTCGATCGCCTTGACGCCTACGGTGAAAAAGGAAATATCTTCCCATAAAAAATAGACAGAGCATTCTCAGAAACTTGTTGGTGATATGTGTCCTCAACTAACAGAGTTGAACTTTGCCATTGATAGAGAGCAGTTTTGAAACACTCTTTTTCCTGAATCTGCAAGTGGATATTTGGATAGTTTGGAGGATTTCGTTGGAAGCGGGAATTCAAATAAAAGGTAGACAGCAGCATTCTCAGAAATTTCTTTCTGATGTCTGCATTCAACTCATAGAGTTGAACATTCCCTTTCATAGGGCAGGTTTGAAATACTCTTTCTGTAGTATCTGGATGTGGACATTTGGAGCGGTTTGATGCCTACGGTGAAAAAGTAAATATCTTCCCATAAAAACGAGACAGAAGGATTCTGAGAAACAAGTTTGTGATGTGTGTACTCAGCTAACAGAGTGGAACCTCTGTTTTGATGCAGCAGTTTGGAAACACTCTTTTTGTAGAAACTGTAAGTGGATATTTGGATAGCTCTAATGATTTCGTTGGAAACGGGAATATCATCATCTAAAATCTAGACAGAAGCAGTCTCAGAATCTACTTTGTGATATCTGCATTCCAGTCACAGAGTTGAAAACTCCCTTACTTAGAGGAGGTTTGAAACACTCTTTTTGTAGAATCTGGAAGTGGACATTTGGAGCGCTTTGATGCCTTTGGTGAAAAAGGAAACGTCTTCCCTTAAAAAGTAGACAGAAGCATTCTCAGAAACTTGTTTGTGATGTGTGCACCCAGCTAAAGGAGTTGAACATTTATTGATAGAGCAGTTTTGAAGCACTCTTTTTGTGGAAAATGCAAGTGGATATTTGGATAGCTTGGAGGATTTCGTTGGAAGCGGGAGTTCAAATAAAAGGTAGACAGCAGCATTCTCAGAAATTTCTTTCTGATGTCTGCATTCAACTCATAGAGTTGAAGATTCCCTTTCATAGAGCAGGTTTGAAACGCTCTTTCTGGAGTATCTGGATGTGGACATTTGGAGCGCTTTGATGCCTACGGTGAAAAAGTAAATATCTTCCCATAAAAACGAGACAGAAGGATTCTCAGAAACAAGTTTGTGATGTGTGTACTCAGCTAACAGAGTGGAACCTTTCTTTTTACAGAGCAGCTTTGAAACTCTATTTTTGTGGATTCTGCAAATGGATATTTAGATTGCTTTAACGATATCATTGGAAAAGGGAATATCGTCATACAAAATCTGGACAGAAGCATTCTCACAAACTTCTTTGTGATGTGTGTCCTCAACTAACAGAGTTGAACCTTTCTTTTGATGCAGCAGTTTGGAAACACCCTTTTGGTAGAAACTGTAAGTGGATATTTGGATAGCTCTAACGATTTCGTTGGAAACGGGAATATCATCATCTAAAATCTAGACAGAAGCACTATTAGAAACTACTTGGTGATATCTGCATTCAAGTCACAGAGTTGAACATTCCCTTACTTTGAGCACGTTTCAAACACTCTTTTGGAAGAATCTGGAAGTGGACATTTGGAGCGCTTTGATGATGCCTTTGGTGAAAAGGAAACGTCTTCCAATAAAAGCCAGACAGAAGCATTCTCAGAAACTTGTTTGTGATGTGTGTACTCAACTAAAAGAGTTGAACCTTTCTATTGATAGAGCAGTTTTGAAACACTCTTTTTGTGGATTCTGCAAGTGGATATTTGGATTGCTTTGAGGATTTCGTTGGAAGCAGGAATTCGTATAAAATCTAGACAGCAGCATTCCCAGAAATTTCTTTCTGATATTTCCATTGAACTCATAGAGATGAACATGGCCTTTCATAGAGCAGGTTTGAAACACTCTTTTTGTAGTTTGTGGAAGTGGACATTTCGATCGCCTTGATGACTACGGTGAAAAAGGAAATATCTTCCCATAAAAAATAGACAGAAGAATTCTCAGAAACTTTTTGTGATGTGTATCCTCAACTGACAGAGTTGAACCTTGCCATTGATAGAGCAGTTTTGAAACACTCTTTTTGTGGAATCTGCAAGTGGATATTTGGATAGCCTGGAGGATTTCGTTGGAAGCGGGAATTCAAATGAAAGGTAGACAGCAGCATTCTCAGAAATTTCTTTGTGATGTTTGCATTCAACTCATAGAGTTGAACATTCCCTTTCATAGAGCAGGTTTGAAACACTCTTTCTGTACTATCTGGATGTGGACATTTGGAACGCTTTGATGCCTACGGTGAAAAAGTAAATATCTTCCCATAAAAATTAGACAGAAGGATTCTGAGAAACAAGTTTGTGATGTGTGTACTCAGCTAACAGAGTGGAACCTTTCTTTTTACAGAGCAGCTTTGAAACTCTATTTTTGTGGATTCTGCAAATGGATATTTAGATTGCTTTAATGATATCGTTGGAAAAGGGAATATCGTCATACAAAATCTAGACAGAAAGCATTCTCACAAACTTCTTTGTGATGTGTGTCCTCAACTAACAGAGTTGAACCTTTCTTTTGATGCAGCAATTTGGAAGCACCCTTTTGGTAGAAACTGTAACTGGATATTTGGATAGCTCTAACGATTTCGTTGGAAACGGGAATATCATCATCTAAAATGTAGACAGAAGCACTATTAGAAACTACTTGGTGATATCTGCATTTAAGTCACAGAGTTGAACATTCCCTTACTTTGAGCACGTTTCAAACACTCTTTTGGAAGAATCTGGAAGTGGACATTTGGAGCGCTTTGATGCCTTTGGTGAAAAGGAAACGTCTTCCAATAAAAGCCAGACAGAAGCATTCTCAGAAACTTGTTTGTGATGTGTGTACTCAACTAAAAGAGTTGAACCTTTCTATTGATAGAGCAGTTTTGAAACACTCTTTTTGTGGATTCTGCAAGTGGATATTTGGATTGCTTTGAGGATTTCGTTGGAAGCGGGAATTCGTATAAAAACTAGACAGCAGCATTCCCAGAAATTTCTTTCGGATATTTCCATTCGACTCATAGAGATGAACATGGCCTTTCATAGAGCAGGTTTGAAACACTCTTTTTGTAGTTTGTGGAAGTGGACATTTCGATCGCCTTGACGCCTACGGTGAAAAAGGAAATATCTTCCCATAAAAAATAGACCAGAAGCATTCTCAGAAACTTGTTGGTGATATGTGTCCTCAACTAACAGAGTTGAACTTTGCCATTGATAGAGAGCAGTTTTGAAACACTCTTTTTGTGGAATCTGCAAGTGGATATTTGGATAGCTTGGAGGATTTCGTTGGAAGCGGGAATTCAAATAAAAGGTAGACAGCAGCATTCTCAGAAATTTCTTTCTGATGTCTGCATTCAACTCATAGAGTTGAACATTCCCTTTCATAGAGCAGGTTTGAAACACTCTTTCTGGAGTATCTGGATGTGTACATTTGGAGCGCTTTGATGCCTACGGTGAAAAAGTAAATATCTTCCCATAAAAACGAGACAGAAGGATTCTGAGAAACAAGTTTGTGATGTGTGTACTCAGCTAACAGAGTGGAACCTCTCTTTTGATGCAGCAGTTTGGAAACACTCTTTTTGTAGAAACTGTAAGTGGATATTTGGATACCTCTAATGATTTCGTTGGAAACGGGAATATCATCATCTAAAATCTAGACAGAAGCACTCTCAGAAACTACTTTGTGATATCTGCATTCAAGTCACACAGTTGAACATTCGCTTTCTTAGAGCACGTTTGAAACACTCTTTTTGTAGTGTCTGGAAGTGGACATTTGGAGCGCTTTGATTCCTTTGGTGAAAAAGGGAATGTCTACCCATAAAAACTAGACAGAAGCATTCTCAGAAACTTGTTTGTGATGTGTGTACCCAGCCAAAGGAGTTGAACATTTCTATTGATAGAGCAGGTTTGAAACACTCTTTTTGTGGAAAATGCAGGTGGATATTTGGATAGCTTGGAGGATTTCGTTGGAAGCGGGAATTCAAATAAAAGGTAGACAGCAGCATTCTCAGAAATTCCCTTCTGATGTCTGCATTCAACTCATAGAGTTGAAGACTCCCTTTCATAGAGCAGGTTTGAAACACTCTTTCTGGAGTATCTGGATGTGGACATTTGGAGCGCTTTGATGCCTACGGTGAAAAAGTAAATATCTTCCCATAAAAACGAGACAGAAGGATTCTCAGAAAGAAGTTTGTGATGTGTGTACTCAGCTAACAGAGTGGAACCTTTCTTTTTACAGAGCAGCTTTGAAACTCTATTTTTGTGGATTCTGCAAATTGATATTTAGATTGCTTTAACGATATCGTTGGAAAAGGGAATATCGTCATACAAAATACTAGACAGAAGCATTCTCACAAACTTCTTTGTGATGTGTGTCCTCAACTAACAGAGTTGAACCTTTCTTTTGATGCAGCAATTTGGAAACACCCTTTTGGTAGAAACTGTAACTGGATATTTGGATAGCTCTAACGATTTCGTTGGAAACGGGAATATCATCATCTAAAATGTAGACAGAAGCACTATTAGAAACTACTTGGTGATATCTGCATTCAAGTCACAGAGTTGAACATTCCCTTACTTTGAGCACGTTTGAAACACTCTTTTGGAAGAATCTGGAAGTGGACATTTGGAGCGCTTTGATGCCTTTGGTGAAAAGGAAACTTCTTCCAATAAAAGCCAGACAGAAGCATTCTCAGAAACTTGTTCGTGATGTGTGTACTCAACTAAAAGAGTTGAACCTTTCTATTGATAGAGCAGTTTTGAAACACTCTTTTTGTGGATTCTGCAAGTGGATATTTGGATTGCTTTGAGGATTTCGTTGGAAGCGGGAATTCGTATAAACACTAGACAGCAGCATTCCCAGAAATTTCTTTCGGATATTTCCATTCAACTCATAGAGATGAACATGGCCTTTCATAGAGCAGGTTTGAAACACTCTTTTTGTAGTTTGTGGAGGTGGACATTTCGATCGCCTTGACACCTACGGTGAAAAAGGAAATATCTTCCTATAAAAAATAGACAGAAGCATTCTCAGAAACTTGTTGGTGATATGTGTCCTCAACTAACAGAGTTGAACTTTGCCATTGATAGAGAGCAGTTTTGAAACACTCTTTTTGTGGAATCTGCAAGTGGATATTTGGATAGCTTGGAGGATTTCGTTGGAAGCGGGAATTCAAATAAAAGGTAGACAGCAGCATTCTCAGAAATTTCTTTCTGATGTCTGCATTCAACTCATAGAGTTGAACATTCCCTTTCATAGAGCAGGTTTGAAACACTCTTTCTGGAGTATCTGGATGTGGACATTTGGAGCGCTTTATTGCCTACGGTGAAAAAGTAAATATCTTCCCATAAAAACGAGACAGAAGGATTCTGAGAAACAAGTTTGTGATGTGTGTACTCAGCTAACAGAGTGGAACCTCTGTTTTGATGCAGCAGTTTGGAAACACTCTTTTTGTAGAAACTGTAAGTGGATATTTGGATAGCTCTAATGATTTCGTTGGAAACGGGAATATCATCATCTAAATTCTAGACAGAAGCCCTCTCAGAAACTACTTTGTGATATCTGCATTCAAGTCACAGAGTTGAACATTCGCTTTCTTAGAGCACGTTTGAAACACTCTTTTTGTAGTGTCTGGAAGTGGACATTTGGAGCGCTTTCATGCCTTTGGTGAAAAAGGGAATGTCTTCCCATAAAAACTAGACAGAAGCATTCTCAGAAACTTGTTTGTGATGTGTGTACCCAGCTAAAGAGTTGAACATTTGTATTGATAGAGCAGTTTTGAAACACTCTTTTTGTGGAAAATGCAAGTGGATATTTTGATAGCTTGGAGGATTTCGTTGGAAGCGGGAATTCAAATAAAAGGTAGACAGCAGCATTCTCAGAAATTTCTTTCTGATGTCTGCATTCAACTCATAGAGTTGAAGATTCCCTTTCCTAGAGCAGGTTTGAAACACTCTTTCTGGAGTATCTGGATGTGGACATTTGGAGCGCTTTGATGCCTACGGTGAAAAAGTAAATATCTTCCCATAAAAACGAGACAGAAGGATTCTCAGAAACAAGTTTGTGATGTGTGTACTCAGCTAACAGAGTGGAACCTTTCTTTTTACAGAGCAGCTTTGAAACTCTATTTTTGTGGATTCTGCAAATTGATATTTAGATTGCTTTAACGATATCGTTGGAAAAGGGAATATCGTCATACAAAATCCTAGACAGAAGCATTCTCACAAACTTCTTTGTGATGTGTGTCCTCAACTAACAGAGTTGAACCTTTCTTTTGATGCAGCAGTTTGGAACACCCTTTTTGTAGAAACTGTAAGTGGATATTTGGATAGCTCTAACGATTTCGTTGGAAACGGGAATATCATCATCTAAAATCTAGAGAGAAGCAGTATTAGAAACTACTTGGTGATATCTGCATTCAAGTCACAGAGTTGAACATTCCCTTACTTTGAGCACGTTTCAAACACTCTTTTGGAAGAATCTGGAAGTGGACATTTGGAGCGCTTTGATGATGCCTTTGGTGAAAAGGAAACGTCTTCTAATAAAAGCCAGACAGAAGCATTCTCAGAAACTTGTTTGTGATGTGTGTACTCAACTAAAAGAGTTGAACCTTTCTATTGATAGAGCAGTTTTGAAACACTCTTTTTGTGGATTCTGCAAGTGGATATTTGGATTGCTTTGAGGATTTCGTTGGAAGCGGGAATTCGTATAAAAACTAGACAGCAGCATTCCCAGAAATTTCTTTCGGATATTTCCATTCAACTCATAGAGATGAACATGGCCTTTCATAGAGCAGGTTTGAAACACTCTTTTTGTAGTTTGTGGAGGTGGACATTTCGATCGCCTTGACGCCTACGGTGAAAAAGGAAATATCTTCCTATAAAAAATAGACAGAAGCATTCTCAGAAACTTGTTGGTGATATGTGTCCTCAACTAACAGAGTTGAACTTTGCCATTGATAGAGAGCAGTTTTGAAACACTCTTTTTGTGGAATCTGCAAGTGGATATTTGGATAGCTTGGAGGATTTCGTTGGAAGCGGGAATTCAAATAAAAGGTAGACAGCAGCATTCTCAGAAATTTCTTTCTGATGTCTGCATTCAACTCATAGAGTTGAAGATTCCCTTTCATAGAGCAGGTTTGAAACACTCTTTCTGGAGTATATGGATGTGGACATTTGGAGCGCTTTGATGCCTGCGGTGAGAAAGTAAATATCTTCCCATAAAAACGAGACAGAAGGATTCTGAGAAACAAGTTTGTGATGTGTGTACTCAGCTAACAGAGTGGAACCTCTCTTTTGATGCAGTAGTTTGGAAACACACTTTTTGTAGAAACTGTAAGTGGATATTTGGATAGCTCTAATGATTTCGTTGGAAACGGGAATATCATCATCTAAAATCTAGACAGAAGCCCTGTCAGAAACTACTTTGTGATATCTGCATTCAAGTCACAGAGTTGAACATTCGCTTTCTTAGAGCACGTTTGAAACACTCTTTTTGTAGTGTCTGGAAGTGGACATTTGGAGTGCTTTGATGCCTTTGGTGAAAAAGGGAATGTCTTCCCATAAAAACTAGACAGAAGCATTCTCAGAAACTTGTTTGTGATGTGTGTACCCAGCCAAAGGAGTTGAACATTTCTATTGATAGAGCAGTTTTGAAACACTCTTGTTGTGGAAAATGCAGGTGGATATTTGGATAGCTTGGAGGATTTCGTTGGAAGCGGGAATTCAAATAAAGGTAGACAGCAACATTCTCAGAAATTTCTTTCTGATGTGTGCATTCAACTCATAGAGTTGAAGATTCCCTTTCATAGAGCAGGTTTGAAACACTCTTTCTGGAGTATCTGGATGTGGACATTTGGACCGCTTTGATGCCTACGGTGAAAAACTAAATATGTTCCCATAAAAACGAGACAGAAGGATTCTCAGAAACAAGTTTGTGATGTGTGTACTCAGCTAACAGAGTGGAACCTTTCTTTTTACAGAGCAGCTTTGAAACTCTATTCTTGTGGATTCTGCAAATGGATATTTAGATTGCTTTAATGATATCGCTGGAAAAGGGAATATGGTCATACAAAATCTAGACAGAAGCATTCTCACAAACTTCTTTGTGATGTGTGTCCTCAACTAACAGAGTTGAACCTTTCTTTTGATGCAGCAGTTTGGAAACACTCTTTTTGTAGAAACTGTAAGTGGATATTTGGATAGCTCTAACGATTGCGTTGGAAACGGGAATATAATCATCTAAAATCTAGACAGAAGCACTATTAGAAACTACTTGGTGATATCTGCATTCAAGTCAAAGAGTTGAACATTCCCTTACTTTGAGCACGTTTGAAACACTCTTTTGGAAGAATCTGGAAGTGGACATTTGGAGCGCTTTGATGCCTTTGGTGAAAAGGAAACGTCTTCCAATAAAAGCCAGACAGAAGCATTCTCAGAAACTTGTTCTTGATGTGTGTACTCAACTAAAAGAGTTGAACCTTTCTATTGATAGAGCAGTTTTGAAACACTCTTTTTGTGGATTCTGCAAGTGGATATTTGGATTGCTTTGAGGATTTCTTTGGAAGCGGGAATTCGTATAACAACTAGACAGCAGCATTCCCAGAAATTTCTTTCGGATATTTCCATTCAACTCATAGAGATGAACATGGCCTTTCATAGAGCAGGTTTGAAACACTCTTTTTGTAGTTTGTGGAAGTGGACATTTCGATCGCCTTGACGCCTACGGTGAAAAAGGAAATATCTTCCCATAAAAAATAGACAGAAGCATTCTCAGAAACTTGTTGGTGATATGTGCCCTCAACTAACAGAGTTGAACTTTGCCATTGATAGAGAGCAGTTTTGAAACACTCTTTTTGTGGAATCTGCAAGTGGATATTTGGATAGCTTGGAGGATTTCGTTGGAAGCGGGAATTCAAATAAAAGGTAGACAGCAGCATTCTCAGAAATTTCTTTCTGATGTCTGCATTCAACTCATAGAGTTGAACATTCCCTTTCATAGAGCAGGTTTGAAATACTCTTTCTGTAGTATCTGGATGTGGACATTTGGAGCGCTTTGATGCCTATGGTGAAAAAGTAAATATCTTCCCATTAAAACGAGACGGAAGGATTCTGAGAAACAAGTTTGTGATGTGTGTACTCAGCTAACAGAGTGGAAATCTCTTTTGATGCAGCAGTTTCGAAACACTCTTTTTGTAGAAACTGTAAGTGGATATTTGGATAGCTCTAATGATTTCGTTGGAAACGGGAATATCATCATCTAAAATCTAGACAGAAGCACTCTCAGAAACTACTGTGTGATATCTGCATTCAAGTCACAGAGTTGAACATTCGCTTTCGTAGAGCACGTTTGAAACACTCTTTTTGTATTGGCTGGAAGTGGACATTTGGAGCGCTTTGATTCCTTTGGTGAAAAAGGGAATGTCTACCCATAAAAACTAGACAGAAGCGTTCTCAGAAACTTGTTTGTGATGTGTGTACCCAGCTAAAGGAGTTGAAAGTTTCTATTGATAGAGCAGTTTTGAAACACTCTTTTTGTGGAAAATGCAAGTGGATGTTTGGATAGCTAGGAGGATTTCGTTGGAAGCGGGAATTCAAATAAAAGGTAGACAGCAGGATTCTGAGAAACAAGTTTGTGATGTGTGTACTCAGCTAACAGAGTGGAACCTTTCTTTTTACAGAGCAGCTTTGAAACTCTATTTTTGTGGATTCTGCAAATTGATATTTAGATTGCTTTAACGATATCGTTGGAAAAGGGAATATCCTCATACAAAATCTAGACAGAAGCACTCTCAGAAACTACTTTGTGATATCTGCATTCAAGTCACAGAGTTGAACATTCGCTTTCTTAGAGCACTTTTGAAACACTCTTTTTGTAGTATCTAGAAGTGGACATTTGGAGCTCTTTGATGCCTTTGGTGAAAAAGGAAATGTCTTCCCATAAAAACTAGACAGAAGCATTCTCAGAAACTTGTTTGTGATGTGTGCACCCAGCTAAAGGAGTTGAACATTTATTGATAGAGCAGTTTTGAAGCACTCTTTTTGTGGAAAATGCAAGTGGATATTTGGATAGCTTGGAGGATTTCGTTGGAAGCGGGAGTTCAAATAAAAGGTAGACAGCAGCATTCTCAGAAATTTCTTTCTGATGTCTGCATTCAACTCATAGAGTTGAAGATTCCCTTTCATAGAGCAGGTTTGAAACACTCTTTCTGGAGTATCTGGATGTGGACATTTGGAGCGCTTTGATGCCTACGGTGAAAAAGTAAATATCTTCCCATAAAAACGAGACAGAAGGATTCTCAGAAACAAGTTTGTGATGTGTGTACTCAGCTAACAGAGTGGAACCTTTCTTTTTACAGAGCAGCTTTGAAACTCTATTTTTGTGGATTCTGCAAATTGATATTTAGGTTGCTTTAACGATATCGTTGGAAAAGGGAATATCGTCATACAAAATCTAGACAGAAGCATTCTCACAAACTTCTTTGTGATGTGTGTCCTCAACTAACAGAGTTGAACCTTTCTTTTGATGCAGCAATTTGGAAACACCCTTTTGGTAGAAACTGTAACTGGATATTTGGATAGCTCTAACGATTTCGTTGGAAACGGGAATATCATCATCTAAAATCTAGACAGAAGCACTATTAGAAACTACTTGGTGATATCTGCATTCAAGTCACAGAGTTGAACATTCCCTTACTTTGAGCACGTTTGAAACACTCTTTTGGAAGAATCTGGAAGTGGACATTTGGAGCGCTTTGATGCCTTTGGTGAAAAGGAAACGTCTTCCAATAAAAGCCAGACAGAAGCATTCTCAGAAACTTGTTCGTGATGTGTGTACTCAACTAAAAGAGTTGAACCTTTCTATTGACAGAGCAGTTTTGAAACACTCTTTTTGTGGATTCTGCAAGTGGATATTTGGATTGCTTTGAGGATTTCGTTGGAAGCGGGAATTCGTATAAACACTAGACAGCAGCATTCCCAGAAATTTCTTTCGGATATTTCCATTCGACTCATAGAGATGAACATGGCCTTTCATAGAGCAGGTTTGAAACACTCTTTTTGTAGTTTGTGGAAGTGGACATTTGGAGCGCTTTGATGCCTTTGGTGAAAAAGGGAATGTCTTCCCATAAAAACTAGACAGAAGCATTCTCAGAAACTTGTTGGTGATATGTGTCCTCAACTAACAGATTTGAACTTTGCCATTGATAGAGAGCAGTTTTGAAACACTCTTTTTGTGGAATCTGCAAGTGGATATTTGGATAGCTTGGAGGATTTCGTTGGAAGCGGGAATTCAAATAAAAGGTAGACAGCAGCATTCTCAGAAATTTCTTTCTGATGTCTGCATTCAACTCATAGAGTTGAATATTCCCTTTCATAGAGCAGGTTTGAAACACTCTTTCTGGAGTATCTGGATGTGGACATTTGGAGCGCTTTGATGCCTACGGTGAAAAAGTAAATATCTTCCCATAAAAACGACACAGAAGGATTCTCAGAAACAAGTTTGTGATGTGTGTACTCAGCTAACAGAGTGGAACCTCTCTTTTGATGCAGCAGTTTGGAAACACTCTTTTTGTAGAAACTGTAAGTGGATATTTGGATAGCTCTAATGATTTCGTTGGAAACGGGAATATCATCATCTAAAATCTAGACAGAAGCCCTCTCAGAAACTACTTTGTGATATCTGCATTCAAGTCACAGAGTTGAACATTCGCTTTCTTAGAGCACGTTGGAAACACTCTTTTTGTAGTGTCTGGAAGTGGACATTTGGAGCGCTTTGATGCCTTTGGTGAAAAAGGGAATGTCTTCCCATAAAATCTAGACAGAAAGCATTCTCAGAAACTTGTTTGTGATGTGTGCACCCAGCTAAAGGAGTTGAACATTTATTGATAGAGCAGTTTTGAAGCACTCTTTTTGTGGAAAATGCAAGTGGATATTTGGATAGCTTGGAGGATTTCGTTGGAAGCGGGAGTTCAAATAAAAGGTAGACAGCAGCATTCTCAGAAATTTCTTTCTGATGTCTGCATTCAACTCATAGAGTTGAAGATTCCCTTTCATAGAGCAGGTTTGAAACACTCTTTCTGGAGTATCTGGATGTGGACATTTGGAGCGCTTTGATGCCTACGGTGAAAAAGTAAATATCTTCCCATAAAAACGAGACAGAAGGATTCTGAGAGACAAGTTTGTGATGTGTGTACTCAGCTAACAGAGTGGAACCTTTCTTTTTACAGAGCAGCTTTGAAACTCTATTTTTGTGGATTCTGCAAATGGATATTTAGATTGCTTTAACGATATCGCTGGAAAAGGGAATATGGTCATACAAAATCTAGACAGAAGCATTCTCACAAACTTCTTTGTGATGTGTGTCCTCAACTAACAGAGTTGAACTTTTCTTTTGATGCAGCAGTTTGGAAACACTGTTTTTGTAGAAACTGTAAGTGGATATTTGGATAGCTCTAACGATTTCGTTGGAAACGGGAATATCATCATCTAAAATCTAGACAGAAGCACTATTAGAAACTACTTGGTGATATCTGCATTCAAGTCACAGAGTTGAACATTCCCTTACTTTGAGCACGTTTGAAACACTCTTTTGGAAGAATCTGGAAGTGGACATTTGGAGCGCTTTGATGCCTTTGGTGAAAAGGAAACGTCTTCCAATAAAAGTCAGACAGAAGCATTCTCAGAAACTTGTTCTTGATGTGTGTACTCAACTAAAAGAGTTGAACCTTTCTATTGATAGAGCAGTTTTGAAACACTCTTTTTGTGGATTCTGCAAGTGGATATTTGGATTGCTTTGAGGATTTCGTTGGAAGCGGGAATTCGTATAAAAACTAGACAGCAGCATTCCCAGAAATTTCTTTCGGATATTTCCATTCAACTCATAGAGATGAACATGGCCTTTCATAGAGCAGGTTTGAAACACTCTTTTTGTAGTTTGTGGAAGTGGACATTTCGATCGCCTTGACGCCTACGGTGAAAAAGGAAATATCTTCCCATAAAAAATAGACAGAAGCATTCTCAGAAACTTGTTGGTGATATGTGTCCTCAACTAACAGAGTTGAACTTTGCCATTGATAGAGAGCAGTTTTGAAACACTCTTTTTGTGGAATCTGCAAGTGGATATTTGGATAGCTTGGAGGATTTCGTTGGAAGCGGGAATTCAAATAAAAGGTAGACAGCAGCATTCTCAGAAATTTCTTTCTGATGTCTGCATTCAACTCATAGAGTTGAAGATTCCCTTTCATAGAGCAGGTTTGAAACACTCTTTCTGGAGTATCTGGATGTGGACATTTGGAGCGCTTTGATGTCTACGGTGGAAAAGTAAATATCTTCCCATAAAAACGAGACAGAAGGATTCTGAGAAACAAGTTTGTGATGTGTGTACTCAGCTAACAGAGTGGAACCTCTGTTTTGATGCAGCAGTTTGGAAACACTCTTTTTGTAGAAACTGTAAGTGGATATTTGGATAGCTCTAATGATTTCGTTGGAAACGGGAATATCATCATCTAAAATCTAGACAGCAGCCCTCTCAGAAACTACTTTGTGATATCTGCATTCAAGTCACAGAGTTGAACATTCGTTTTCTTAGAGCACGTTTGAAACACTCTTTTTGTAGTGTCTGGAAGTGGACATTTGGAGCGCTTTGATGCCTTTGGTGAAAAAGGGAACGTCTTCCCATAAAAACTAGACAGAAGCATTCTCAGAAACTTGTTTGTGATGTGTGTACCCAGCCAAAGGAGTTGAACATTTCTATTGATAGAGCAGTTTTAAAACACTCTTGTTGTGGAAAATGCAAGTGGATATTTGGATAGCTTGGAGGATTTCGTTGGAAGCGGGAATTCAAATAAAAGGTAGACAGCAGCATTCTCAGAAATTTCTTTCTGATGTCTGCATTCAACTCATAGAGTTGAAGATTCCCTTTCATAGAGCAGGTTTGAAACACTCGTTCTGGAGTATCTGGATGTAGACATTTGGAGCGCTTTGATGCCTACGGTGGAAAAGTAAATATCTTCCCATAAAAACGAGACAGAAGGATTCTCAGAAACAAGTTTTTTATGTGTGTACTCAGCTAATAGAGTGGATCCTTTCTTTTTACAGAGCAGCTTTGAAACTCTATTTCTGTGGATTCTGCAAATTGATATTTGGGTTGATTTAATGACATCGTTGGAAAAGGGAATATCTTCATACAAAATCTAGACAGAAGCATTTTCACAAACTTCTTTGTGATGTGTGTCCTCAACTAACAGAGTTGAACCTTTCTTTTGATGCAGCAATTTGGAAACACCCTTTTGGTAGAAACTGTAACTGGATATTTGGATAGCTCTAACGATTTCGTTGGAAACGGGAATATCATCATCTAAAATGTAGACAGAAGCACTATTAGAAACTACTTGGTGATATCTGCATTCAAGTCACAGAGTTGAACATTCCCTTACTTTGAGCACGTTTCAAACACTCTTTTGGAAGAATCTGGAAGTGGACATTTGGAGCGCTTTGATGCCTTTGGTGAAAAGGAAACGTCTTCCAATAAAAGCCAGACAGAAGCATTCTCAGAAACTTGTTTGTGATGTGTGTACTCAACTAAAAGAGTTGAACCTTTCTATTGATAGAGCAGTTTTGAAACACTCTTTTTGTGGATTCTGCAAGTGGATATTTGGATTGCTTTGAGGATTTCGTTGGAAGCGGGAATTCGTATAAACACTAGACAGCAGCATTCCCAGAAATTTCTTTCGGATATTTCCATTCAACTCATAGAGATGAACATGGCCTTTCATAGAGCAGGCTTGAAACACTCTTTTTGTAGTTTGTGGAAGTGGACATTTCGATCGCCTTGACGCCTACGGTGAAAAAGGAAATATCTTCCCATAAAAATAGACAGAAGCATTCTCAGAAACTTGTTGGTGATATGTGTCCTCATCTAACAGAGTTGAACTTTGCCATTGATAGAGAGCAGTTTTGAAACACTCTTTTTGTGGAATCTGCAAGTGGATATTTGGATAGCTTGGAGGATTTCGTTGGAAGCGGGAATTCAAATAAAAGGTAGACAGCAGCATTCTCAGAAATTTCTTTCTGATGTCTGCATTCAACTCATAGAGTTGAAGATTCCCTTTTATAGAGCAGGTTTGAAACACTCTTTCTGGAGTATCTGGATGTGGACATTTGGAGCGCTTTGATGCCTACGGTGAAAAAGTAAATATCTTCCCATAAAAACGAGACAGAAGGATTCTCAGAAACAAGTTTGTGATGTCTTTACTCAGCTAACAGAGTGGAACCTCTCTTTTGATGCAGCAGTTTGGAAACACTCTTTTTGTAGAAACTGTAAGTGGATATTTGGATAGCTCTAATGATTTCGTTGGAAACGGGAATATCATCATCTAAAATCTAGACAGAAGCCCTCTCAGAAACTACTTTGTGATATCTGCATTCAAGTCACAGAGTTGAACATTCACTTTCTTAGAGCACGTTTGAAACACTCTTTTTGTAGTGTCTGGAAGTGGACATTTGGAGCGCTTTGATGCCTTTGGTGAAAAGGGGAATGTCTTCCCATAAAAACTAGACAGAAGCATTCTCAGAAACTTGTTTGTGATGTGTGTACCCAGCTAAAGGAGTTGAACATTTCTATTGATAGAGCAGTCTTGAAACACTCTTTTTGTGGAAAATGCAAGTGGATATTTGGATAGCTTGGAGGATTTCGTTGGAAGCGGGAATTCAAATAAAAGGTAGACAGCAGCATTCTCAGAAATTTCTTTCTGATGTCTGCATTCAACTCATAGAGTTGAAGATTCTCTTTCATAGAGCAGGTTTGAAACACTCTTTCTGGAGTATCTGGATGTGGACATTTGGAGCGCTTTGATGCCTACGGTGAAAAAGTAAATATCTTCCCATAAAAACGAGACAGAAGGATTCTCAGAAACAAGTTTGTGATGTGTGTACTCAGCTAACAGAGTGGAACCTTTCTTTTTACAGAGCAGCTTTGAAACTCTATTTTTGTGGATTCTGCAAATGGATATTTAGATTGCTTTAACGATATCGTTGGAAAAGGGAATATCGTCATACAAAATCTGGACAGAAGCATTCTCACAAACTTCTTTGTGATGTGTGTCCTCAACTAACAGAGTTGAACCTTTCTTTTGATGCAGCAGTTTGGAAACACTCTTTTTGTAGAAACTGTAAGTGGATATTTGGATAGCTCTAACGATTTCGCTGGAAACGGGAATATCGTCATCTAAAATCTAGACAGAAGCACTATTAGAAACTACTTGGTGATATCTGCATTCAAGTCACAGAGTTGAACATTCCCTTACTTTGAGCACGTTTGAAACACTCTTTTGGAAGAATCTGGAAGTGGACATTTGGAGCGCTTTGATGCCTTTGGTGAAAAGGAAACGGCTTCCAATAAAAGCCAGACAGAAGCATTCTCAGCAAACTTGTTTGTGATGTGTGTACTCAACTAAAAGAGTTGAACCTTTCTATTGATAGAGCAGTTTTGAAACACTCTTTTTGTGGATTCTGCAAGTGGATATTTGGATTGCTTTGAGGATTTCGTTGGAAGCGGGAATTCGTATAAAAACTAGACAGCAGCATTCCCAGAAATTTCTTTCGGATATATCCATTCAACTCATAGAGATGAACATGGCCTTTCATAGAGCAGGTTTGAAACACTCTTTTTGTAGTTTGTGGAAGTGGACATTTCGATCGCCTTGACGCCTACGGTGAAAAAGGAAATATCTTCCCATAAAAAATAGACAGAAGCATTCTCAGAAACTTGTTGTTGATATGTGTCCTCAACTAACAGAGTTGAACTTTGCCATTGATAGAGAGCAGTTTTGAAACACTCTTTTTGTGGAATCTGCAAGTGGATATTTGGATAGCTTGGAGGATTTCGTTGGAAGCGGGAATTCAAATAAAAGGTAGACAGCAGCATTCTCAGGAATTTCTTTCTGATGTCTGCATTCAACTCATAGAGTTGAAGATTCCCTTTCATAGAGCAGGTTTGAAACACTCTTTGTGGAGTATCTGGATGTGGACATTTGGAGCGCTTTGATGCCTACGTTGAAAAAGTAAATATCTTCCCATAAAAACGAGACAGAAAGGATTCTGAGAAACAAGTTTGTGATGTGTGTACTCAGCTAACAGAGTGGAACCTCTCTTTTGATGCAGCAGTTTGGAAACACTCTTTTTGTAGAAACTGTAAGTGGATATTTGGATAGCTCTAATGATTTCGTTGGAAACGGGAATATCATCGTCTAAAATCTAGACAGAAGCCCTCTCAGAAACTACTGTGTGATATCTGCATTCAAGTCACAGAGTTGAACATTCGCTTTCTTAGAGCACGTTTGAAACACTCTTTTTGTAGTGTCTGGAAGTGGACATTTGGAGCGCTTTGATTCCTTTGGTGAAAAAGGGAATGTCTACCCATAAAAACTAGACAGAAGCATTTTCAGAAACTTGTTTGTGATGTGTGTACCCAGCCAAAGGAGTTGAACATTTCTATTGATAGAGCAGTTTTGAAACACTCTTTTTGTGGAAAATGCAGGTGGATATTTGGATAGCTTGGAGGATTTCGTTGGAAGCGGGAATTCAAATAAAAGGTAGACAGCAGCATTCTCAGAAATTTCTTTCTGATGTCTGCATTCAACTCATAGAGTTGAAGATTCCCTTTCATAGAGCAGGTTTGAAATACTCTTTCTGGAGTATCTGGATGTGGACATTTGGAGCGCTTTGATGCCTACGGTGGAAAAGTAAATATCTTCCCATAAAAACGAGACAGAAGGATTCTCAGAAACAAGTTTGTGATGTGTGTACTCAGCTAACAGAGTGGAGCCTTTCTTTTTACAGAGCAGCTTTGAAACTCTATTTTCGTGGATTCTGCAAATTGATATTTAGATTGCTTTAACGATATCGTTGGAAAAGGGAATATCGTCATACAAAATCTAGACAGAAGCATTCTCACAAACTTCTTTGTGATGTGTGTCCTCAACTAACAGAGTTGAACCTTTCTTTTGATGCAGCAATTTGGAAACACCCTTTCGGTAGAAACTGTAACTGGATATTTGGATAGCTCTAACGATTTCGTTGGAAACGGGAATATCATCACCTAAAATCTAGACAGAAGCACTATTAGAAACTACTTGGTGATATCTGCATTCAAGTCACAGAGTAGAACATTCCCTTACTTCGAGCACGTTTGAAACACTCCTTTGGAAGAATCTGGAAGTGGACATTTGGAGCGCTTTGATGCCTTTGGTGAAAAGGAAACGTCTTCCAATAAAAGCCAGACAGAAGCATTCTCAGAAACTTGTTGGTGATGTGTGTACTCAACTAAAAGAGTTGAACCTTTCTATTGATAGAGCAGTTTTGAAACACTCTTTTTGTGGATTCTGCAAGTGGATATTTGGATTGCTTTGAGGATTTCGTTGGAAGCGGGAATTCATATAAAAACTAGACAGCAGCATTCCCAGAAATTTCTTTCGGATATTTCCATTCAACTCATAGAGATGAACATCGCCTTTCATAGAGCAGGTTTGAAACACTCTTTTTGTAGTTTGTGGAAGTGGACATTTCGATCGCCTTGACGCCTACGGTGAAAAAGGAAATATCTTCCCATAAACAATAGACAGAAGCATTCTCAGAAACTTGTTGGTGATATGTGTCCTCAACTAACAGAGTTGAACTTTGCCATTGATAGAGAGCAGTTTTGAAACACTCTTTTTGTGGAATCTGCAAGTGGATATTTGGATAGCTTGGAGGATTTCGTTGGAAGCGGGAATTCAAATAAAAGGTAGACAGCAGCATTCTCAGAAATTTCTTTCTGATGTCTGCATTCAACTCATAGAGTTGAAGATTCCCTTTCATAGAGCAGGTTTGAAACACTCTTTCTGGAGTATCTGGATGTGGACATTTGGAGCGCTTTGATGCCTACGGTGAAAAAGTAAATATCTTCCCATAAAAAAGAGACAGAAGGATTCTGAGAAACAAGTTTGTGATGTGTGTACTCAGCTAACAGAGTGGAACCTTTCTTTTTACAGAGCAGCTTTGAAACTCTATTTTTGTGGATTCTGCAAATTGATATTTAGATTGCTTTAACGATATCGTTGGAAAAGGGAATATCGTCATACAAAACCTAGACAGAAGCATTCTCACAAACTTCTTTGTGACGTGTGTCCTCAACTAACAGAGTTGAACCTTTCTTTTGATGCAGCAGTTTGGAAACACTGTTTTTGTAGCAACTGTAAGTGGATATTTGGATAGCTCTAACGATTTTGTTGGAAACGGGAATATCATCATCTAAAATCTAGACAGAAGCACTATTAGAAACTACTTGGTGATATCTGCATTCAAGTCACAGAGTTGAACATTCCCTTACTTTGAGCACGTTTCAAACACTCTTTTGGAAGAATCTGGAAGTGGACATTTGGAGCGCTTTGATGCCTTTGGTGAAAAGGAAACGTCTTCCAATAAAAGCCAGACAGAAGCATTCTCAGAAACTTGTTTGTGATGTGTGTACTCAACTAAAAAGAGTTGAACCTTTCTATTGATAGAGCAGTTTTGAAACACTCTTTTTGTGGATTCTGCAAGTGGATATTTGGATTGCTTTGAGGATTTCGTTGGAAGCGGGAATTCGTATAAAAACTAGACAGCAGCATTCCCAGAAATTTCTTTCGGATATTTCCATTCGACTCATAGAGATGAACATGGCCTTTCATAGAGCAGGTTTGAAACACTCTTTTTGTAGTTTGTGGAAGTGGACATTTCGATCGCCTTGACGCCTACGGTGAAAAAGGAAATATCTTCCCATAAAAAATAGACAGAAGCATTCTCAGAAACTTGTTGGTGATATGTGTCCTCAACTAACAGAGTTCAACTTTGCCATTGATAGAGAGCAGTTTTGAAACACTCTTTTTGTGGAATCTGCAAGTGGATATTTGGATAGCTTGGAGGATTTCGTTGGAAGCGGGAATTCAAATAAAAGGTAGACAGCAGCATTCTCAGAAATTTCTTTCTGATGTCTGCATTCAACTCATAGAGTTGAAGATTCCCTTTCATAGGGCAGGTTTGAAATACTCTTTCTGTAGTATCTGGATGTGGACATTTGGAGCGCTTTGATGCCTACGGTGAAAAAGTAAATATCTTCCCATAAAAACGAGACAGAAGGATTCTGAGAAACAAGTTTGTGATGTGTGTGCTCAGCTAACAGAGTGGAACCTCTCTTTTGATGCAGCAGTTTGGAAACACTCTTTTTGTAGAAACTGTAAGTGGATATTTGGATAGCTCTAATGATTTCGTTGGAAACGGGAATATCATCATCTAAAATCTAGACAGAAGCCCTCTCAGAAACTACTTTGTGATATCTGCATTCAAGTCACAGAGTTGAACATTCGCTTTCTTAGAGCACGTTTGAAACACTCTTTTTGTAGTGTCTGGAAGTGGACATTTGGAGCGCTTTGATTCCTTTGGTGAAAAAGGGAATGTCTACCCATAAAAACTAGACAGAAGCATTCTCAGAAACTTGTTTGTGATGTGTGTACCCAGCCAAAGGAGTTGAACATTTCTATTGATAGAGCAGTTTTGAAACACTCTTTTTGTGGAAAATGCAGGTGGATATTTGGATAGCTTGGAGGATTTCGTTGGAAGCGGGAATTCAAATAAAAGTTAGACAGCAGCATTCTCAGAAATTTCTTTCTGATGTCTGCATTCAACTCATAGAGTTGAAGATTCCCTTTCATAGAGCAGGTTTGAAATACTCTTTCTGTAGTATCTGGATGTGGACATTTGGAGCGCTTTGATGCCTACGGTGAAAAAGTAAATATCTTCCCATAAAAACGAGACAGAAGGATTCTCAGAAACAAGTTTGTGATGTGTGTACTCAGCTAACAGAGTGGAACCTTTCTTTTTACAGAGCAGCTTTGAAACTCTATTTTTGTGGATTCTGCAAATTGATATTTAGATTGCTTTAACGATATCGTTGGAAAAGGGAATATGGTCATACAAAATCTAGACAGAAGCATTCTCACAAACTTCTTTGTGATGTGTGTCCTCAACTAACAGAGTTGAACCTTTCTTTTGATGCAGCAGTTTGGAAACACTGTTTTTGTAGCAACTGTAAGTGGATATTTGGATAGCTCTAACGATTTCGTTGGAAACGGGAATATCATCATCTAAAATCTAGACAGAAAGCACTATTAGAAACTACTTGGTGATATCTGCATTCAAGTCACAGAGTTGAACATTCCCTTACTTTGAGCACGTTTCAAACACTCTTTTGGAAGAATCTGGAAGTGGACATTTGGAGCGCTTTGATGCCTTTGGTGAAAAGGAAACGTCTTCCAATAAAAGCCAGACAGAAGCATTCTCAGAAACTTGTTTGTGATGTGTGTACTCAACTAAAAGAGTTGAACCTTTCTATTGATAGAGCAGTTTTGAAACACTCTTTTTGTGGATTCTGCAAGTGGATATTTGGATTGCTTTGAGGATTTCGTTGGAAGCGGGAATTCGTATAAAAACTAGACAGCAGCATTCCCAGAAATTTCTTTCGGATATTTCCATTCAACTCATAGAGATGAACATGGCCTTTCATAGAGCAGGTTTGAAACACTCTTTTTGTAGTTTGTGGAAGTGGACATTTCGATCGCCTTGACGCCTACGGTGAAAAAGGAAATATCCTCCCATAAAAAATAGACAGAAGCATTCTCAGAAAACTTGTTGGTGATATGTGTCCTCAACTAACAGAGTTGAACTTTGCCATTGATAGAGAGCAGTTTTGAAACACTCTTTTTCCTGAATCTGCAAGTGGATATTTGGATAGTTTGGAGGATTTCGTTGGAAGCGGGAATTCAAATAAAAGGTAGACAGCAGCATTCTCAGAAATTTCTTTCTGATGTCTGCATTCAACTCATAGAGTTGAACATTCCCTTTCATAGGGCAGGTTTGAAATACTCTTTCTGTAGTATCTGGATGTGGACATTTGGAGCGCTTTGATGCCTACGGTGAAAAAGTAAATATCTTCCCATAAAAACGAGACAGAAGGATTCTGAGAAACTAGTTTGTGATGTGTGTACTCAGCTAACAGAGTGGAACCTCTCTTTTGATGCAGTAGTTTGGAAACACTCTTTTTGTAGAAACTGGAAGTGGATATTTGGATAGCTCTAATGATTTCGTTGGAAACGGGAATATCATCATCTAAAATCTAGACAGAAGCCCTCTCAGAAACTACTTTGTGATATCTGCATTCAAGTCACAGAGTTGAACATTCGCTTTCTTAGAGCACGTTGGAAACACTCTTTTTGTAGTGTCTGGAAGTGGACATTTGGAGCGCTTTGATGCCTTGGTGAAAAAGGGAATGTCTTCCCATAAAAACTAGACAGAAGCATTCTCAGAAACTTGTTTGTGATGTGTGTACCCAGCCAAAGGAGTTGAACATTTCTATTGATAGAGCAGTTTTGAATCACTCTTGTTGTGGAAAATGCAGGTGGATATTTGGATAGCTTGGAGGATTTCGTTGGAAGCGGGAATTCAAATAAAAGGTAGACAGCAGCATTCTCAGAAATTTCTTTCTGATGTCTGCATTCAACTCATAGAGTTGAAGATTCCCTTTCATAGAGCAGGTTTGAAACAGTCTTTCTGGAGTATCTGGATGTGGACATTTGGAGCGCTTTGATGCCTATGGTGAAAAAGTAAATATCTTCCCATAAAAACGAGACAGAAGGATTCTGAGAAACAAGTTTGTGATGTGTGTACTCAGCTAACAGAGTGGAACCTTTCTTTTTACAGAGCAGCTTTGAAACTCTATTTTTGTGGATTCTGCAAATTGATATTTAGATTGATTTAACGATATCGTTGGAAAAGGGAATATCGTCATACAAAATCTAGACAGAAGCATTCTCACAAACTTCTTTGTGATGTGTGTCCTCAACTAACAGAGTTGAACCTTTCTTTTGATGCAGCAGTTTGGAAACACTCTTTTTGTAGAAACTGTAAGTGGATATTTGGATAGCTCTAACGATTTCGTT
This sequence comes from Homo sapiens, assembly GCF_000001405.40. Lineage (NCBI taxonomy): Eukaryota > Metazoa > Chordata > Mammalia > Primates > Hominidae > Homo > Homo sapiens. Next base: position 12,531,477 of record NC_000021.9, read on the forward strand.
GGAATCGGGAATATCATCATCTAAAATCTAGACAGAAGCACTATTAGAAACTACTTGGTGATATCTGCATTCAAGTCAAAGAGTTGAACATTCCCTTACTTTGAGCACGTTTGAAACACTCTTTTGGAAGAATCTGGAAGTGGACATTTGGAGCGCTTTGATGCCTTTGGTGAAAAGGAAACGTCTTCCAATAAAAGCCAGACAGAAGCATTCTCAGAAACTTGTTTGTGATGTGTGTACTCAACTAAAAGAGTTGAACCTTTCTATTGATAGCGCAGTTTTGAAACACTCTTTTTGTGGATTCTGCAAGTGGATATTTGGATTGCTTTGAGGATTTCGTTGGAAGCGGGAATTCGTATAAACACTAGACAGCAGCATTCCCAGAAATTTCTTTCGGATATTTCCATTCAACTCATAGAGATGAACATGGCCTTTCATAGAGCAGGTTTGAAACACTCTTTTTGTAGTTTGTGGAAGTGGACATTTCGATCGCCTTGACGCCTACGCTGAAAAAGGAAATATCTTCCCATAAAAAATAGACAGAAGCATTCTCAGAAACTTGTTGGTGATATGTGTCCTCAACTAACAGAGTTGAACTTTGCCATTGATAGAGAGCAGTTTTGAAACACTCTTTTTGTGGAATCTGCAAGTGGATATTTGGATAGCTTGGAGGATTTCGTTGGAAGCGGGAATTCAAATAAAAGGTAGACAGCAGCATTCTCAGAAATTTCTTTCTGATCTCTGCATTCAACTCATAGAGTTGAACATTCCCTTTCATAGGGCAGGTTTGAAATACTCTTTCTGGAGTATCTGGATGTGGACATTTGGAGCGCTTTGATGCCTACGGTGAAAAAGTAAATATCTTCCCATAAAAACGAGACAGAAGGATTCTGAGAAACAAGTTTGTGATGTGTGTACTCAGCTAACAGAGTGGAACCTCTCTTTTGATGCAGCAGTTTGGAAACACTCTTTTTGCAGAAACTGTAAGTGGATATTTGGATAGCTCTAATGATTTCGTTGGAAACGGGAATATCATCATCTAAAATCTAGACAGAAGCCCTCTCAGAAACTACTTTGTGATATCTGCATTCAAGTCACAGAGTTGAACATTCGCTTTCTTAGAGCACGTTGGAAACACTCTTTCTGTGGTGTCTGGAAGTGGACATTTGGAGCGCTTTGATGCCTTTGGTGAAAAAGGGAATGTCTTCCCATGAAAACTAGACAGAAGCATTCTCAGAAACTTGTTTGTGATGTGTGTACCCAGCTAAAAGAGTTGAACATTTCTATTGATAGAGCAGTTTTGAAACACTCTTTTTGTGGAAAATGCAAGTGGATATTTGGATAGCTTGGAGGATTTCGTTGGAAGCGGGAATTCAAATAAAAGGTAGACAGCAGGATTCTCAGAAACAAGTTTGTGATGTGTGTACTCAGCTAACAGAGTGGAACCTTTCTTTTTACAGAGCAGCTTTGAAACTCTATTTTTGTGGATTCTGCAAATTGATATTTAGATTGCTTTAACGATATTGTTGGAAAAGGGAATATGGTCATACAACATCTAGACAGAAGCATTCTCACAAACTTCTTTGTGATGTGTGTCCTCAACTAACAGAGTTGAACCTTTCTTTTGATGCAGCAGTTTGGAAACACTCTTTTTGTAGAAACTGTAAGTGGATATTTGGATAGCTCTAACGATTTCGCTGGAAACGGGAATATCGTCATCTAAAATCTAGACAGAAGCACTATTAGAAACTACTTGGTGATATCTGCATTCAAGTCAAAGAGTTGAACATTCCCTTACTTTGAGCACGTTTGAAACACTCTTTTGGAAGAATCTGGAAGTGGACATTTGGAGCATTTTGATGCCTTTGGTGAAAAGGAAACGTCTTCCAATAAAAGCCAGACAGAAGCATTCTCAGAAACTTGTTTGTGATGTGTGTACTCAACTAAAAGAGTTGAACCTTTCTATTGATAGAGCAGTTTTGAAACACTCTTTTTGTGGATTCTGCAAGTGGATATTTGGATTGCTTTGAGGATTTCGTTGGAAGCGGGAATTCGTATAAAAACTAGACAGCAGCATTCCCAGAAATTTCTTTCGGATATTTCCATTCAAGTCATAGAGATGAACATGGCCTTTCATAGAGCAGGTTTGAAACACTCTTTTTGTAGTTTGTGGAAGTGGACATTTCGATCGCCTTGACGCCTACGGTGAAAAAGGAAATATCTTCCCATAAAAAATAGACAGAAGCATTCTCAGAAACTTGTTGGTGATATGTGTCCTCAACTAACAGAGTTGAACTTTGCCATTGATAGAGAGCAGTTTTGAAACACTCTTTTTGTGGAATCTGCAAGTGGATATTTGGATAGCTTGGAGGATTTCGTTGGAAGCGGGAATTCAAATAAAAGGCAGACAGCAGCATTCTCAGAAATTTCTTTCTGATGTCTGCATTCAACTCATAGAGTTGAAGATTCCCTTTCATAGAGCAGGTTTGAAACACTCTTTCTGGAGTATCTGGATGTGGACATTTGGAGCGCTTTGATGCCTACGGTGAGAAAGTAAATATCTTCCCATAAAAACGAGACAGAAGGATTCTGAGAAACAAGTTTGTGATGTGTGTACTCAGCTAACAGAGTGGAACCTCTCTTCTGATGCAGCAGTTTGGAAACACTTTTTTTGTAGAAACTGTAAGTGGATATTTGGATAGCTCTAATGATTTCGTTGGAAACGGGAATATCATCATCTAAAATCTAGACAGAAGCACTCTCAGAAACTACTTTGTGATATCTGCATTCAAGTCACAGAGTTGAACATTCGCTTTCTTAGAGCACGTTTGAAACACTCTTTTTGTAGTGTCTGGAAGTGGACATTTGGAGCGCTTTGATTCCTTTGGTGAAAAAGGGAATGTCTACCCATAAAAACTACACAGAAGCATTCTCAGAAACTTGTTTGTGATGTGTGCACCCAGCTAAAGGAGTTGAACATTTATTGATAGAGCAGTTTTGAAGCACTCTTTTTGTGGAAAATGCAAGTGGATATTTGGATAGCTTGGAGGATTTCGTTGGAAGCGGGAGTTCAAATAAAAGGTAGACAGCAGCATTCTCAGAAATTTCTTTCTGATGTCTGCATTCAACTCATAGAGTTGAAGATTCCCTTTCATAGAGCAGGTTTGAAACACTCTTTCTGGAGTATCTGGATGTGGACATTTGGAGCGCTTTGATGTCTACGGTGAAAAAGTAAATATCTTCCCAGAAAAACGAGACAGAAGGATTCTGAGAAACAAGTTTGTGATGTGTGTACTCAGCTAACAGAGTGGAACCTTTCTTTTTACAGAGCAGCTTTGAAACTCTATTTTTGTGGATTCTGCAAATTGATATTTAGATTGCTTTAACGATATCGTTGGAAAAGGGAATATCGTCATACAAAATCTGGACAGAAGCATTCTCACAAACTTCTTTGTGATGTGTGTCCTCAACTAACAGAGTTGAACCTTTCTTTTGATGCAGCAATTTGGAAACACCCTTTTGGTAGAAACTGTAACTGGATATTTGGATAGCTCTAATGATTTCGTTGGAAACGGGAATATCATCATCTAAAATCTAGACAGAAGCACTATTAGAAACTACTTGGTGATATCTGCATTCAAGTCACAGAGTTGAACATTCCCTTACTTTGAGCACGTTTGAAACACTCTTTTGGAAGAATCTGGAAGTGGACATTTGGAGCGCTTTGATGCCTTTGGTGAAAAGGAAACGTCTTCCAATAAAAGCCAGACAGAAGCATTCTCAGAAACTTGTTTGTGATGTGTGTACTCAACTAAAAGAGTTGAACCTTTCTATTGATAGAGCAGTTTTGAAACACTCTTTTTGTGGATTCTGCAAGTGGATATTTGGATTGCTTTGAGGATTTCGTTGGAAGCGGGAATTCGTATAACAACTAGACAGCAGCATTCCCAGAAATTTCTTTTGGATATTTCCATTCAACTCATAGAGATGAACATGGCCTTTCATAGAGCAGGTTTGAAACACTCTTTTTGTAGTTTGTGGAAGTGGACATTTCGATCGCCTTGACGCCTACGGTGAAAAAGGAAGTATCTTCCCATAAAAAATAGACAGAAGCATTCTCAGAAACTTGTTGGTGATATGTGTCCTCAACTAACAGAGTTGAACTTTGCCATTGATAGAGAGCAGTTTTGAAACACTCTTTTTGTGGAATCTGCAAGTGGATATTTGGATAGCTTGGAGGATTTCGTTGGAAGCGGGAATTCAAATAAAAGGTAGACAGCAGCATTCTCAGAAATTTCTTTCTGATGTCTGCATTCAACTCATAGAGTTGAAGATTCCCTTTCATAGAGCAGGTTTGAAACACTCTTTCTGGAGTATCTGGATGTGGACATTTGGAGCGCTTTGATGCCTACGGTGAAAAAGTATAATCTTCCCATAAAAACGAGACAGAAGGATTCTCAGAAACAAGATTTTGATGTGTGTACTCAGCTAACAGAGTGGAACCTCTCTTTAGATGCAGCAGTTTGGAAACACTCTTTTTGTAGAAACTGTAAGTGGATATTTGGATAGCTCTAATGATTTCGTTGGAAACGGGAATATCATCATCTAAAATCTAGACAGAAGCCCTCTCAGAAACTACTTTGTGATATCTGCATTCAAGTCACAGAGTTGAACATCCGGTTTCTTAGAGCACGTTTGAAACACTCTTTTTGTAGTGTCTGGAAGTGGACATTTGTAGCGCTTTGATGCCTTTGGTGAAAAAGGGAATGTCTTCCCATAAAAACTAGACAGAAGCATTCTCAGAAACTTGTTTGTGATGTGTGTACCCAGCCAAAGGAGTTGAACATTTCTATTGATAGAGCAGTTTCGAAACACTCTTGTTGTGGAAAATGCAGGTGGATATTTGGATAGCTTGGAGGATTTCGTTGGAAGCGGGAATTCAAATAAAAGGTAGACAGCAGCATTCTCAGAAATTTCTTTCTGATGTCTGCATTCAACTCATAGAGTTGAAGATTCCCTTTCATAGAGCAGGTTTGAAACACTCTTTCTGGAGTATCTGGATGTGGACATTTGGAGCGCTTTGATGCCTACGGTGAAAAAGTAAATATCTTCCCATAAAAACGAGACAGAAGGATTCTCAGAAACAAGTTTGTGATGTGTGTACTCAGCTAACAGAGTGGAACCTTTCTTTTTACAGAGCAGCTTTGAAACTCTATTTTTGTGGATTCTGCAAATGGATATTTAGATTGCTTTAACGATATCGTTGGAAAAGGGAATATCGTCATACAAAATCTAGACAGAAGCATTCTCACAAACTTCTTTGTGATGTGTGTCCTCAACTAACAGAGTTGAACCTTTATTTTGATGCAGCAGTTTGGAAACACTCTTTTTGTAGAAACTGTGAGTGGATATTTGGATAGCTCTAACGATTTCGTTGGAAACGGGAATATCATCATCTAAAATCTAGACAGAAGCACTATTAGAAACTAGTTGGTGATATCTGCATTCAAGTCACAGAGTTGAACATTCCCTTACTTTGAGCACGTTTCAAACACTCTTTTGGAAGAATCTGGAAGTGGACATTTGGAGCGCTTTGATGCCTTTGGTGAAAAGGAAACGTCTTCCAATAAAAGCCAGACAGAAGCATTCTCAGAAACTTGTTTGTGATGTGTGTACTCAACTAAAAGAGTTGAACCTTTCTATTGATAGAGCAGTTTTGAAACACTCTTTTTGTGGATTCTGCAAGTGGATATTTGGATTGCTTTGAGGATTTCGTTGGAAGCGGGAATTCGTATAAAAACTAGACAGCAGCATTCCCAGAAATTTCTTTCGGATATTTCCATTCGACTCATAGAGATGAACATGGCCTTTCATAGAGCAGGTTTGAAACACTCTTTTTGTAGTTTGTGGAAGTGGACATTTCGATCGCCTTGACGCCTACGGTGAAAAAGGAAATATCTTCCCATAAAAAACAGACAGAAGCATTCTCAGAAACTTGTTGGTGATATGTGTCCTCAACTAACAGAGTTGAACTTTGCCATTGATAGAGAGCAGTTTTGAAACACTCTTTTTGTGGAATCTGCAAGTGGATATTTGGATAGCTTGGAGGATTTCGTTGGAAGCGGGAATTCAAATAAAAGGTAGACAGCAGCATTCTCAGAAATTTCTTTCTGATGTCTGCAATCAACTCATAGAGTTGAAGATTCCCGTTCATAGAGCAGGTTTGAAACACTCTTTGTGGAGTATCTGGATGTGGACATTTGGAGCGCTTTGATGCCTACGGTGAAAAAGTAAATATCTTCCCATAAAAACGAGACAGAAGGATTCTGAGAATCAAGTTTGTGATGTGTGTACTCAGCTAACAGAGTGGAACCTCTCTTTTGATGCAGCAGTTTGGAAACACTCTTTTTGTAGAAACTGTAAGTGGATATTTGGATAGCTCTAATGATTTCGTTGGAAACGGGAATATCATCATCTAAAATCTAGACAGAAGCCCTCTCAGAAACTACTTTGTGATATCTGCATTCAAGTCACAGAGTTGAATATTCGCTTTCTTAGAGCACGTTTGAAACACTCTTTTTGTAGTGTCTGGAAGTGGACATTTGGAGCGCTTTGATGCCTTTGGTGAGAAAGGGAATGTCTTCCCATAAAAACTAGAAAGAAGCATTCTCAGGAAACTTGTTTGTGATGTGTGTACCCAGCTAAAGGAGTTGAACATTTCTATTGATAGAGCAGTTTTGAAACACTCTTTTTGTGGAAAATGCAAGTGGATATTTGGATAGCTTGGAGGATTTCGTTGGACGCGGGAATTCAAATAAAAGGTAGACAGCAGAATTCTCAGAAATTTCTTTCTGATGTCTGCATTCAACTCATAGAGTTGAAGATTCCCTTTCATAGAGCAGGTTTGAAACAGTCTTTCTGGAGTATCTGGATGTGGACATTTGGAGCGCTTTGATGCCTACGGTGGAAAAGTAAATATCTTCCCATAAAAACGAGACAGAAGGATTCTGAGAAACAAGTTTGTGATGTGTGTACTCAGCTAACAGAGTGGAACCTTTCTTTTTACAGAGCAGCTTTGAAACTCTATTTTTGTGGATTCTGCAAATGGATATTTAGATTGCTTTAACGATATCGTTGGAAAAGGGAATATGGTCATACAAAATCTAGACAGAAGCATTCTCACAAACTTGTTTGTGATGTGTGTCCTCAACTAACGGAGTTGAACCTTTCTTTTGATGCAGCAATTTGGAAACACCCTTTTGGTAGAAACTGTAACTGGATATTTGGATAGCTCTAACGATTTCGTTGGAAACGGGAATATCATCATCTAAAATGTAGACAGACAAGCACTATTAGAAACTACTTGGTGATATCTGCATTCAAGTCACAGAGTTGAACATTCCCTTACTTTGAGCACGTTTCAAACACTCTTTTGGAAGAATCTGGAAGTGGACATTTGGAGCGCTTTGATGCCTTTGGTGAAAAGGAAACGTCTTCCAATAAAAGCCAGACAGAAGCATTCTCAGAAACTTGTTTGTGATGTGTGTACTCAACTAAAAGAGTTGAACCTTTCTATTGATAGAGCAGTTTTGAAACACTCTTTTTGTGGATTCTGCAAGTGGATATTTGGATTGCTTTGAGGATTTCGTTGGAAGCGGGAATTCGTATAAAAACTAGACAGCAGCATTCCCAGAAATTTCTTTCGGATATTTCCATTCAACTCATAGAGATGAACATGGCCTTTCATAGAGCAGGTTTGAAACACGCTTTTTGTAGTTTGTGGAAGTGGACATTTCGATCGCCTTGACGCCTACGGTGAAAAAGGAAATATCTTCCCATAAAAAATAGACAGAAGCATTCTCAGAAACTTGTTGGTGATATGTGTCCTCAACTAACAGAGTTGAACTTTGCCATTGATAGAGAGCAGTTTTGAAACACTCTTTTTGTGGAATCTGCAAGTGGATATTTGGATAGCTTGGAGGATTTCGTTGGAAGCGGGAATTCAAATAAAAGGTAGACAGCAGCATTCTCAGAAATTTCTTTCTGATGTCTGCATTCAACTCATAGAGTTGAACATTCCCTTTCATAGAACAGGTTTGAAACACTCTTTCTGGAGTATCTGGATGTGGACATTTGGAGCGCTTTGATGCCTACGGTGAAAAAGTAAATATCTTCCCATAAAAACGAGACAGAAGGATTCTCAGAAACAAGTTTGTGATGTTTGTACTCAGCTAACAGAGTGGAACCTCTCTTTTGATGCAGCAGTTTGGAAACACTCTTTTTGTAGAAACTGTAAGTGGATATTTGGATAGCTCTAATGATTTCGTTGGAAACGGGAATATCATCATCTAAAATCTAGAGAGAAGCCCTCTCAGAAACCACTTTGTGATATCTGCATTCAAGTCACAGATTTGAACATTCGTTTTCTTAGAGCACGTTTGAAACACTCTTTTTGTAGTGTCTGGAAGTGGACATTTGGAGCGCTTTGATGCCTTTGGTGAAAAAGGGAATGTCTTCCCATAAAAACTAGACAGAAGCATTCTCAGAAACTTGTTTGTGATGTGTGTACCCAGCCAAAGGAGTTGAACATTTCTATTGATAGAGCAGGTTTGAAACACTCTTTTTGTGGAAAATGCAGGTGGATATTTGGATAGCTTGGAGGATTTCGTTGGAAGCGGGAATTCAAATAAAAGGTAGACAGCAGCATTCTCAGAAATTTCTTTCTGATGTCTGCATTCAACCTCATAGAGTTGAAGATTCCCTTTCATAGAGCAGGTTTGAAACACTCGTTCTGGAGTATCTGGATGTGGACATTTGGAGCGCTTTGATGCCTACAGTGGAAAAGTAAATATCTTCCCATAAAAACGAGACAGAAGGATTCTCAGAAACAAGTTTGTGATGTGTGTACTCAGCTAACAGAGTGGAACCTTTCTTTTTACAGAGCAGCTTTGAAACTCTATTTTTGTGGATTCTGCAAATTGATATTTAGATTGCTTTAATGATATCGTTGGAAAAGGGAATATCGTCATACAAAATCTAGACAGAAGCATTCTCACAAACTTCTTTGTGACGTGTGTCCTCAACTAACAGAGTTGAACCTTTCTTTTGATGCAGCAGTTTGGAAACACTGTTTTTGTAGCAACTATAAGTGGATATTTGGATAGCTCTAACGATTTCGTTGGAAACGGGAATATCATCATCTAAAATCTAGACAGAAGCACTATTAGAAACTACTTAGTGATATCTGCATTCAAGTCACAGAGTTGAACATTCCCTTACTTTGAGCACGTTTGAAACACTCTTTTGGAAGAATCTGGAAGTGGACATTTGGAGCGCTTTGATGCCTTTGGTGAAAAGGAAACGTCTTCCAATAAAAGCCAGACAGAAGCATTCTCAGAAACTTGTTTGTGATGTGTGTACTCAACTAAAAGAGTTGAACCTTTCTATTGATAGAGCAGTTTTGAAACACTCTTTTTGTGGATTCTGCAAGTGGATATTTGGATTGCTTTGAGGATTTCGTTGGAAGCGGGAATTCGTATAAAAACTAGACAGCAGCATTCCCAGAAATTTCTTTCGGATATTTCCATTCAACTCATAGAGATGAACATGGCCTTTCATAGAGCAGGTTTGAAACACTCTTTTTGTAGTTTGTGGAAGTGGACATTTCGATCGCCTTGATGCCTACGGTGAAAAAGGAAATATCTACCCATAAAAAATAGACAGAAGCATTCTCAGAAACTTGTTGGTGATATGTGTCCTCAACTAACAGAGTTGAACTTTGCCATTGATAGAGAGCAGTTTTGAAACACTCTTTTTGTGGAATCTGCAAGTGGATATTTGGATAGCTTGGAGGATTTCGTTGGAAGCGGGAATTCAAATAAAAGGTAGACAGCAGCATTCTCAGAAATTTCTTTCTGATGCCTGCATTCAACTCATAGAGTTGAAGATTCCCTTTCATAGAGCAGGTTTGAAACACTCTTTCTGGAGTATCTGGATGTGGACATTTGGAGCGCTTTGATGCCTACGGTGAGAAAGTAAATATCTTCCCATAAAAACGAGACAGAAGGATTCTGAGAAACAAGTTTGTGATGTGTGTACTCAGCTAACAGAGTGGAACCTCTCTTTTGATGCAGCAGTTTGGAAACACTCTTTTTGTGGAAACTGTAAGTGGATATTTGGATAGCTCTAATGATTTCGTTGGAAACGGGAATATCATCATCTAAAATCTAGACAGAAGCCCTCTCAGAAACTACTTTGTGATATCTGCATTCAAGTCACAGAGTTGAACATTCGCTTTCTTAGAGCACGTTTGAAACCCTCTTTTTGTAGTGTCTGGAAGTGGACATTTGGAGCGCTTTGATGCCTTTGGTGAAAAAGGGAATGTCTTCCCATAAAAACTAGACAGAAGCATTCTCAGAAACTTGTTTGTGATGTGTGTACCCAGCCAAAGGAGTTGAACATTTCTATTGATAGAGCAGTTTTGAAACACTCTTGTTGTGGAAAATGCAGGTGGATATTTGGATAGCTTGGAGGATTTCGTTGGAAGCGGGAATTCAAATAAAAGTTAGACAGCAGCATTCTCAGAAATTTCTTTCTGATGTCTGCATTCAACTCATAGAGTTGAAGATTCCCTTTCATAGAGTAGGTTTGAAACACTCTTTCTGGAGTATCTGGATGTGGACATTTGGAGCGCTTTGATGCCTACGGTGAAAAAGTAAATATCTTCCCATAAAAACGAGACAGAAGGATTCTCAGAAACAAGTTTGTGATGTGTGTACTCAGCTAACAGAGTGGAACCTTTCTTTTTACAGAGCAGCTTTGAAACTCTATTGTTGTGGATTCTGCAAATTGATATTTAGATTGCTTTAACGATATCGTTGGAAAAGGGAATACCGTCATACAAAATCTAGACAGAAGCATTCTCACAAACTTCTTTGTGATGTGTGTCCTCAACTAACAGAGTTGAACCTTTCTTTTGATGCAGCAATTTGGAAACACCCTTTTAGTAGAAACTGTAACTGGATATTTGGATAGCTCTAGCGATTTCGTTGGAAACGGGAATATCATCATCTAAAATCTAGACAGAAGCACTATTAGAAACTACTTGGTGATATCTGCATTCAAGTCACAGAGTTGAACATTCCCTTACTTTGAGCACGTTTGAAACACTCTTTTGGAAGAATCTGGAAGTGGACATTTGGAGCGCTTTGATGCCTTTGGTGAAAAGGAAACGTCTTCCAATAAAAGCCAGAGAGAAGCATTCTCAGAAACTTGTTCGTGATGTGTGTACTCAACTAAAAGAGTTGAACCTTTCTTTTGATAGCGCAGTTTTGAAACACTCTTTTTGTGGATTCTGCAAGTGGATATTTGGATTGCTTTGAGGATTTCGTTGGAAGCGGGAATTCGTATAAACACTAGACAGCCAGCATTCCCAGAAATTTCTTTCGGATATTTCCATTCAACTTATAGAGATGAACATCGCCTTTCATAGAGCAGGTTTGAAACACTCTTTTTGTAGTTTGTGGAAGTGGACATTTCGATCGCCTTGATGCCTACGGTGAAAAAGGAAATATCTTCCCATAAAAAATAGACAGAGCATTCTCAGAAACTTGTTGGTGATATGTGTCCTCAACTAACAGAGTGGATCTTTGCCATTGATAGAGAGCAGTTTTGAAACACTCTTTTTGTGGAATCTGCAAGTGGATATTTGGATAGCTTGGAGGATTTCGTTGGAAGCGGGAATTCAAATAAAAGGTAGACAGCAGCATTCTCAGAAATTTCTTTCTGATGTCTGCATTCAACTCATAGAGTTGAAGATTCCCTTTCATAGAGCAGGTTTGAAACACTCTTTCTGGAGTATCTGGATGTGGACATTTGGAGCGCTTTGATGCCTACGGTGAGAAAGTAAATATCTTCCCATAAAAACGAGACAGAAGGATTCTGAGAAACAAGTTTGTGATGTGTGTACTCAGCTAACAGAGTGGAACCTCTCTTTTGATGCAGCAGTTTGGAAACACTCTTTTTGTAGAAACTGTAAGTGGATATTTGGATAGCTCTAATGATTTCGTTGGAAACGGGAATATCATCATCTAAAATCTAGACAGAAGCCCTCTCAGAAACTACTTTGTGATATCTGCATTCAAGTCACAGAGTTGAACATTCGCTTTCTTAGAGCACGTTGGAAACAATCTTTTTGTAGTGTCTGGAAGTGGACATTTGGAGCGCTTTGATGCCTTTGGTGAAAAAGGGAACGTCTTCCCATAAAAACTAGACAGAAGCATTCTCAGAAACTTGTTTGTGATGTGTGTACCCAGCTAAAGGAGTTGAACATTTCTATTGATAGAGCAGTTTTGAAACACTCTTTTTGTGGAATCTGCAAGTGGATATTTGGATAGCTTGGAGGATTTCGTTGGAAGCGGGAATTCAAATAAAAGGTAGACAGCAGCATTTTCAGAAATTTCTTTCTGATGTCTGCATTCAACTCATAGAGTTGAAGATTCCCTTTCATAGAGCAGGTTTGAAACACTCGTTCTGGAGTATCTGGATGTGGACATTTGGAGCGCTTTGATGCCTACGGTGGAAAAGTAAATATCTTCCCATAAAAACGAGACAGAAGGATTCTGAGAAACAAGTTTGTGATGTGTGTACTCAGCTAACAGAGTGGAACCTTTCTTTTTACAGAGCAGCTTTGAAACTCTATTTTTGTGGATTCTGCAAATTGATATTTAGATTGCTTTAACGATATCGTTGGAAAAGGGAATATCGTCATACAAAATCTAGACAGAAGCATTCTCACAAACTTCTTTGTGATGTGTGTCCTCAACTAACAGAGTTGAACCTATCTTTTGATGCAGCAATTTGGAAACACCCTTTTGGTAGAAACTGTAACTGGATATTTGCTTAGCTCTAACGATTTCGTTGGAAACGGGAATATCATCATCTGAAATCTAGACAGAAGCACTATTAGAAACTACTTGGTGATATCTGCATTCAAGTCACAGAGTTGAACATTCCCTTACTTTGAGCACGTTTGAAACACTCTTTTGGAAGAATCTGGAAGTGGACATTTGGAGCGCTTTGATGCCTTTGGTGAAAAGGAAACGTCTTCCAATAAAAGCCAGACAGAAGCATTCTCAGAAACTTGTTTGTGATGTGTGTACTCAACTAAAAGAGTTGAACCTTTCTATTGATAGAGCAGTTTTGAAACACTCTTTTTGTGGATTCTGCAAGTGGATATTTGGATTGCTTTGAGGATTTCGTTGGAAGCGGGAATTCGTATAAAAACTAGACAGCAGCATTCCCAGAAATTTCTTTCGGATATTTCCATTCAACTCATAGAGATGAACATTGCCTTTCATAGAGCAGGTTTGAAACACTCTTTTTGTAGTTTGTGGAAGTGGACATTTCGATCGCCTTGACGCCTACGGTGAAAAAGGAAATATCTTCCCATAAAAAATAGACAGATAAGCATTCTCAGAAACTTGTTGGTGATATGTGTCCTCAACTAACAGCAGTTGAACTTTGCCATTGATAGAGAGCAGTTTGGAAACACTCTTTTTGTGGAATCTGCAAGTGGATATTTGGATAGCTTGGAGGATTTCGTTGGAAGCGGGAATTCAAATAAAAGGTAGACAGCAGCATTCTCAGAAATTTCTTTCTGATGTCTGCATTCAACTCATAGAGTTGAAGATTCCCTTTCATAGAGCAGGTTTGAAACACTCTTTCTGGAGTATCTGGATGTGGACATTTGGAGCGCTTTGATGCCTACGGTGAAAAAGTAAATATCTTCCCAGAAAAACGAGACAGAAGGATTCTGAGAAACAAGTTTGTGATGTGTGTACTCAGCTAACAGAGTGGAACCTCTCTTTTGATGCAGCAGTTTGGAAACACTCTTTTTGTAGAAACTGTAAGTGGATATTTGGATAGCTCTAATGATTTCGTTGGAAACGGGAATATCATCATCTAAAATCTAGACAGAAGCCCTCTCAGAAACTACTTTGTGATATCTGCATTCAAGTCACAGAGTTGAACATTTGCTTTCTTAGAGCACGTTTGAAACACCCTTTTTGTAGTGTCTGGAAGTGGACATTTGGAGCGCTTTGATGCCTTTGGTGAAAAAGGGAACGTCTTCCCATAAAAACTAGACAGAAGCATTCTCAGAAACTTGTTTGTGATGTGTGTACCCAGCCAAAGGAGTTGAACATTTCTATTGATAGAGCAGTTTTGAAACACTCTTGTTGTGGAAAATGCAGGAGGATATTTGGATAGCTTGGAGGATTTCGTTGGAAGCGGGAATTCAAATAAAAGGTAGACAGCAGCATTCTCACAAACTTCTTTGTGATGTGTGTCCTCAACTAACAGAGTTGAACCTTTCTTTTGATGCAGCAGTTTGGAAACACTCTTTTTGTAGAAACTGTAAGTGGATATTTGGATAGCTCTAATGATTTCGTTGGAAGCGGGAATATCATCATCTAAAATCTAGACAGAAGCCCTCTCAGAAACTACTTGGTGATATCTGCATTCAAGTCACAGAGTTGAACATTCGCTTTCTTAGAGCACGTTTGAAACACTCTTTTTGTAGTGTCTGGAAGTGGACATTTGGAGCGCTTTGATGCCTTTGGTGAAAAAGGGAATGTCTTCCCATAAAAACTAGACAGAAGCATTCTCAGAAACTTGTTTGTGATGTGTGTACCCAGACAAAGGAGTTGAACATTTCTATTGATAGAGCAGTTTTGAAACACTTTTTTTGTGCAAAATGCAGGTGGATATTTGGATAGCTTGGAGGATTTCGTTGGAAGCGGGAATTCAAATAAAAGGTAGACAGCAGCATTCTCAGAAATTTCTTTCTGATTCTGCATTCAACTCATAGAGTTGAAGATTCCCTTTCATAGAGCAGGTTTGAAACACTCGTTCTGGAGTATCTGGATGTGGACATTTGGAGCGCTTTGATGCCTATGGTGGAAAAGTAAATATCTTCCCATAGAAACGAGACAGAAGGATTCTGAGAAACAAGTTTGAGATGTGTGTACTCAGCTAACAGAGTGGAACCTTTCTTTTTACAGAGCAGCTTTGAAACTCTATTTTTGTGGATTCTGCAAATTGATATTTAGATTGCTTTAACGATATCGTTGGAAAAGGGAATATCGTCATACAAAATCTGGACAGAAGCATTCTCACAAACTTCTTTGTGATGTGTGTCCTCAACTAACAGAGTTGAACCTTTCTTTTGATGCAGCAGTTTGGAAACACCCTTTTGGTAGAAACTGTAAGTGGATATTTGGATAGCTCTAACGAATTCGTTGGAAACGGGAATATCATCATCTAAAATCTAGACAGAAGCACTATTAGAAACTACTTGGTGACATCTGCATTCAAGTCACAGAGTTGAACATTCCCTTACTTCGAGCACGTTTGAAACACTCTTTTGGAAGAATCTGGAAGTGGACATTTGGAGCGCTTTGATGCCTTTGGTGAAAAGGAAACGTCTTCCAATAAAAGCCAGACAGAAGCATTCTCAGAAACTTGTTTGTGATGTGTGTACTCAACTAAAAGAGTTGAACCTTTCTATTGATAGAGCAGTTTTGAAACACTCTTTTTGTGGATTCTGCAAGTGGATATTTGGATTGCTTTGAGGATTTCATTGGAAGCGGGAATTCGTATAAACACTAGACAGCAGCATTCCCAGAAATTTCTTTCGGATATTTCCATTCAACTCATAGAGATGAACATGGCCTTTCATAGAGCAGGTTTGAAACACTCTTTTTGTAGTTTGTGGAAGTGGACATTTCGATCGCCTTGACGCCTACGCTGAAAAAGGAAATATCTTCCCATAAAAAATAGACAGAAGCATTCTCAGAAACTTGTTGGTGATATGTGTCCTCAACTAACAGAGTTGAACTTTGCCATTGATAGAGAGCAGTTTTGAAACACTCTTTTTGTGGAATCTGCAAGTGGATATTTGGATAGCTTGGAGGATTTCGTTGGAAGCGGGAATTCAAATAAAAGGTAGACAGCAGCATTCTCAGAAATTTCTTTCTGATGTCTGCATTCAACTCATAGAGTTGAAGATTCCCTTTCATAGAGCAGGTTTGAAATACTCTTTCTGGAGTATCTGGATGTGGACATTTGGAGCGATTTGAGGCCTACGATGAAAAAGTAAATATCTTCCCATAAAAACGAGACAGAAGGATTCTGAGAAACAAGTTTGTGATGTGTGTACTCAGCTAACAGAGTGGAACCTCTCTTTGGATGCAGCAGTTTGGAAACACTCTTTTTGTAGAAACTGTATGTGGATATTTGGATAGCTCTAATGATTTCGTTGGAAACGGGAATATCATCATCTAAAATCTAGACAGAAGCCCTCTCAGAAACTACTTTGTGATATCTGCATTCAAGTCACAGAGTTGAACATTCGCTTTCTTAGAGCACGTTTGAAACACTCTTTTTGTAGTGTCTGGAAGTGGACATTTGGAGCGCTTTGATGCCTTTGGTGAAAAAGGGAACGTCTTCCCATAAAAACTAGACAGAAGCATTCTCAGAAACTTGTTTGTGATGTGTGTACCCAGCCAAAGGAGTTGAACATTTCTATTGCTAGAGCAGTTTTGAAACACTCTTTTTGTGGAAAATGCAGGTGGATATTTGGATAGCTTGGAGGATTTCGTTGGAAGCGGGAATTCAAATAAAAGGTAGACAGCAGCATTCTCAGAAATTTCTTTCTGATGTCTGCATTCAACTCATAGAGTTGAAGATTCCCTTTCATAGAGCAGGTTTGAAACAGTCTTTCTGGAGTATCTGGATGTGGACATTTGGAGTGCTTTGATGCCTACGGTGAAAAAGTAAATATCTTCCCATAAAAACGAGACAGAAGGATTCTCAGAAACAAGTTTGTGATGTGTGTACTCAGCTAACAGAGTGGAACCTTTCTTTTTACAGAGCAGCTTTGAAACTCTATTTTTGTGGATTCTGCAAATTGATATTTAGATTGCTTTAACGATATCGTTGGAAAAGGGAATATCGTCATACAAAATCCAGACAGAAGAATTCTCACAAACTTCTTTGTGATGTGTGTCCTCAACTAACAGAGTTGAACGTTTCTTTTGATGCAGCAGTTTGGAAACACTCTTTTTGTAGAAACTGTAAGTGGATATTTGGATAGCTCTAACGATTTCGTTGGAAACGGGAATATCATCATCTAAAATCTAGACAGAAGCACTATTAGAAACTACTTGGTGATATCTGCATTCAAGTCACAGAGTTGAACATTCCCTTACTTTGAGCACGTTTCAAACACTCTTTTGGAAGAATCTGGAAGTGGACATTTGGAGCGCTTTGATGCCTTTGGTGAAAAGGAAACGTCTTCCAATAAAAGCCAGACAGAAGCATTCTCAGAAACTTGTTTGTGATGTGTGTACTCAACTAAAAGAGTTGAACCTTTCTATTGATAGAGCAGTTTTGAAACACTCTTTTTGTGGATTCTGCAAGTGGATATTTGGATTGCTTTGAGGATTTCGTTGGAAGCGGGAATTCGTATAAAAACTAGACAGCAGCATTCCCAGAAATTTCTTTTGGATATTTCCATTCGACTCATAGAGATGAACATGGCCTTTCATAGAGCAGGTTTGAAACACTCTTTTTGTAGTTTGTGGAAGTGGACATTTCGATCGCCTTGACGCCTACGGTGAAAAAGGAAATATCTTCCCATAAAAAATAGACAGAAGCATTCTCAGAAACTTGTTGGTGATATGTGTCCTCAACTAACAGAGTTGAACTTTGCCATTGATAGAGAGCAGTTTTGAAACACTCTTTTTGTGGAATCTGCAAGTGGATATTTGGATAGCTTGGAGGATTTCGTTGGAAGCGGGAATTCAAATAAAAGGTAGACAGCAGCATTCTCAGAAATTTCTTTCTGATGTCTGCATTCAACTCATAGAGTTGAGCATTCCCTTTCATAGAGCAGGTTTGAAACACTCGTTCTGGAGTATCTGGATGTGGACATTTGGAGCGCTTTGATGCCTACGGTGGAAAAGTAAATATCTTCCCATAAAAACGAGACAGAAGGATTCTGAGAAACAAGTTTGTGATGTGTGTACTCAGCTAACAGAGTGGAACCTCTCTTTTGATGCAGCAGTTTGGAAACACTCTTTTTGTAGAAACTGTAAGTGGATATTTGGATAGCTCTAATGATTTCGTTGGAAACGGGAATATCATCATCTAAAATCTAGACAGAAGCACTCTCAGAAACTACTTTGTGATATCTGCATTCAAGTCACAGAGTTGAACATTCGGTTTCTTAGAGCACGTTTGAAACACTCTTTTTGTAGTGTCTGGAAGTGGACATTTGGAGCGCTTTGATGCCTTTGGTGAAAAAGGGAATGTCTTCCCATAAAAACTAGACAGAAGCATTCTCAGAGACTTGTTTGTGATGTGTGTACCCAGCCAAAGGAGTTGAACATTTCTATTGATAGAGCAGTTTTGAAACACTCTTGTTGTGGAAAATGCAGGTGGATATTTGGATAGTTTGGAGGATTTCGTTGGAAGCGGGAATACAAATAAAAGGTAGACAGCAGCATTCTCAGAAATTTCTTTCTGATGTCTGCATTCAACTCATAGAGTTGAACATTCCCTTTCATAGAGCAGGTTTGAAACACTCTTTCTGGAGTATCTGGATGTGGACATTTGGAGCGCTTTGATGCCTACGGTGAAAAAGTAAATATCTTCCCAGAAAAACGAGACAGAAGGATTCTCAGAAACAAGTTTGTGATGTGTGTACTCAGCTAACAGAGTGGAACCTTTCTTTTTACAGAGCAGCTTTGAAACTCTATTTTTGTGGATTCTGCAAATTGATATTTAGATTGCTTTAACAATATCGTTGGAAAAGGGAATATCGTCATACAAAATCTAGACAGAAAGCATTCTCACAAACTTCTTTGTGATGTGTGTCCTCAACTAACAGAGTTGAACCTTTCTTTTGATGCAGCAGTTTGGAAACACTCTTTTTGTAGAAACTGTAAGTGGATATTTGGATAGCTCTAACGATTTCGTTGGAAACGGGAATATCATCATCTAAAATCTAGACAGAGCACTATTAGAACCTACTTTGTGATATCTGCATTCAAGTCAAAGAGTTGAACATTCCCTTACTTTGAGCACGTTTGAAACACTCTTTTGGAAGAATCTGGAAGTGGACATTTGGAGCGCTTTGATGCCTTTGGTGAAAATGAAACGTCTTCCAATAAAAGCCAGACAGAAGCATTCTCAGAAACTTGTTTGTGATGTGTGTACTCAACTAAAAGAGTTGAACCTTTCTATTGATAGAGCAGTTTTGAAACACTCTTTTTGTGGATTCTGCAAGTGGATATTTGGATTGCTTTGAGGATTTCGTTGGAAGCGGGAATTCGTATAAAAACTAGACAGCAGCATTCCCAGAAATTTCTTTCGGATATTTCCATTCAACTCATACAGATGAACATCGCCTTTCATAGAGCAGGTTTGAAACACTCTTTTTGTAGTTTGTGGAAGTGGACATTTCGATCGCCTTGACGCCTACGGTGAAAAAGGAAATATCTTCCCATAAAAAATAGACAGAAGCATTCTCAGAAACTTGTTGGTGATATGTGTCCTCAACTAACAGAGTTGAACTTTGCCATTGATAGAGAGCAGTTTTGAAACACTCTTTTTGTGGAATCTGCAAGTGGATATTTGGATAGCTTGGAGGATTTCGTTGGAAGCGGGAATTCAAATAAAAGGTAGACAGCAGCATTCTCAGAAATTTCTTTCTGATGTCTGCATTCAACTCATAGTAGTTGAAGATTCCCTTTCATAGAGCAGGTTTGAAACACTCGTTCTGGAGTATCTGGATGTGGACATTTGGAGCGCTTTGATGCCTACGGTGGAAAAGTAAATATCTTCCCATAAAAACGAGACAGAAGGATTCTGAGAAACAAGTTTGTGATGTGTGTACTCAGCTAACAGAGTGGAACCTCTCTTTTGATGCAGCAGTTTGGAAACACTCTTTTTGTAGAAACTGTAAGTGGATATTTGGATAGCTCTAATGATTTCGTTGGAAACGGGAATATCATCATCTAAAATCTAGACAGAAGCCCTCTCAGAAACTACTTTGTGATATCTGCATTCAAGTCACAGAGTTGAACATTAGCTTTCTTAGAGCACGTTGGAAACACTCTTTTTGTAGTGTCTGGAAGTGGACATTTGGAGCGCTTTGATTCCTTTGGTGAAAAAGGGAATGTCTACCCATAAAAACTAGACAGAAGCATTCTCAGAAACTTGTTTGTGATGTGTGTACCCAGCCAAAGGAGTTGAACATTTCTATTGATAGAGCAGGTTTGAAACACTCTTTTTGTGGAAAATGCAGGTGGATATTTGGATAGCTTGGAGGATTTCGTTGGAAGCGGGAATTCAAATAAAAGGTAGACAGCAGCATTCTCAGAAATTTCTTTCTGATGTCTGCATTCAACTCATAGAGTTGAAGATTCCCTTTCATAGAGCAGGTTTGAAACACTCTTTCTGGAGTATCTGGATGTGGACATTTGGAGCACTTTGATGCCTACGGTGAAAAAGGAAATATCTTCCCATAAAAACGAGACAGAAGGATTCTCAGAAACAAGTTTGTGATGTGTGTACTCAGCTAACAGAGTGGAACCTTTCTTTTTACAGAGCAGCTTTCAAACTCTATTTTTGTGGATTCTGCAAATTGATATTTAGATTGCTTTAACGATATCGTTGGAAAAGGGAATATCGTCATACAAAATCTGGACAGAAGCATTCTCACAAACTTCTTTGTGATGTGTGTCCTCAACTAACAGAGTTGAACCTTTCTTTTGATGCAGCAGTTTGGAAACACTCTTTTTGTAGAAAGTGTAAGTGGATATTTGGATAGCTCTAACGATTTCGTTGGAAACGGGAATATCATCATCTAAAATCTAGACAGAAGCACTATTAGAAACTACTTGGTGATATCTGCATTCAAGTCACAGAGTTGAACATTCCCTTACTTTGAGCACGTTTGAAACACTCTTTTGGAAGAATCTGGAAGTGGACATTTGGAGCGCTTTGATGCCTTTGGTGAAAAGGAAACGTCTTCCAATAAAAGCCAGACAGAAGCATTCTCAGAAACTTGTTCGTGATGTGTGTACTCAACTAAAAGAGTTGAACCTTTCTATTGATAGAGCAGTTTTGAAACACTCTTTTTGTGGATTCTGCAAGTGGATATTTGGATTGCTTTGAGGATTTCGTTGGAAGCGGGAATTCGTATAAACTACTAGACAGCAGCATTCCCAGAAATTTCTTTCGGATATTTCCATTCAACTCATAGAGATGAACATGGCCTTTCATAGAGCAGGTTTGAAACACTCTTTTTGTAGTTTATGGAAGTGGACATTTCGATCGCCTTGACGCCTACGGTGAAAAAGGAAATATCTTCCCATAAAAAATAGACAGAAGCATTCTCAGAAACTTGTTGGTGATATGTGTCCTCAACTAACAGAGTTGAACTTTGCCATTGATAGAGAGCAGTTTTGAAACACTCTTTTTGTGGAATCTGCAAGTGGATATTTGGATAGCTTGGAGGATTTCGTTGGAAGCGGGAATTCAAATAAAAGGTAGACAGCAGCATTCTCAGAAATTTCTTTCTGATGTCTGCATTCAACTCATAGAGTTGAAGATTACCTTTCATAGAGCAGGTTTGAAACACTCTTTCTGGAGTATCTGGATGTGGACATTTGGAGCGCTTTGATGCC
Source organism: Homo sapiens (assembly GCF_000001405.40). Classification (NCBI taxonomy): domain Eukaryota; kingdom Metazoa; phylum Chordata; class Mammalia; order Primates; family Hominidae; genus Homo; species Homo sapiens. Next base: position 12,553,232 of record NC_000021.9, read on the forward strand.
TACGGTGAAAAAGTAAATATCTTCCCATAAAAACGAGACAGAAGGATTCTGAGAAACAAGTTTGTGATGTGTGTACTCGGCTAACAGAGTGGAACCTCTCTTTTGATGCAGCAGTTTGGAAACACTCTTTTTGTAGAAACTGTAAGTGGATATTTGGATAGCTCTAATGATTTCGTTGGAAACGGGAATATCATCATCTAAAATCTAGACAGAAGCACTCTCAGAAACTACTGTGTGATATCTGCATTCAAGTCACAGAGTTGAACATTCGCTTTCTTAGAGCACGTTTGAAACACTCTTTTTGTAGTGTCTGGAAGTGGACATTTGGAGCGCTTTGATTCCTTTGGTGAAAAAGGGAATGTCTACCCATAAAAACTAGACAGAAGCATCCTCAGAAACTTGTTTGTGATGTGTGTACCCAGCCAAAGGAGTTGAACATTTCTATTGATAGAGCAGTTTTGAAACACTCTTTTTGTGGAAAAGTGCAAGGTGGATATTTGGAGTAGCTTGGAGGATTTCGTTGGAAGCGGGAATTCAAATAAAAGGTAGACAGCAGCATTCTCAGAAATTTCTTTCTGATGTCTGCATTCAACTCATAGAGTTGAAGATTCCCTTTCATAGAGCAGGTTTGAAACACTCTTTCTGGAGTATCTGGATGTGGACATTTGGAGTGCTTTGATGCCCACGGTGAAAAAGTAAATATCTTCCCATAAAAACGAGACAGAAGGATTCTGAGAAACAAGTTTGTGATGTGTGTACTCAGCTAACAGAGTGGAACCTTTCTTTTTACAGAGCAGCTTTGAAACTCTATTTTTGTGGATTCTGCAAATTGATATTTAGATTGCTTTAACGATATCGTTGGAAAAGGGAATATCGTCATACAAAATCTAGACAGAAGCATTCTCACAAACTTCTTTGTGATGTGTGTCCTCAACTAACAGAGTTGAACCTTTCTTTTGATGCAGCAATTTGGAAACACCCTTTTGGTAGAAACTGTAACTGGATATTTGGATAGCTCTAACGATTTCGTTTGAAACGGGAATATCATCATCTAAAATGTAGACAGAAGCACTATTAGAAACTACTTGGTGATATCTGCATTCAAGTCACAGAGTTGAACATTCCCTTACTTTGAGCACGTTTGAAACACTCTTTTGGAAGAATCTGGAAGTGGACATTTGGAGCGCTTTGATGCCTTTGGTGAAAAGGAAACGTCTTCCAATAAAAGCCAGAGAGAAGCATTCTCAGAAACTTGTTCGTGATGTGTGTACTCAACTAAAAGAGTTGAACCTTTCTATTGATAGAGCAGTTTTGAAACACTCTTTTTGTGTATTCTGCAAGTGGATATTTGGATTGCTTTGAGGATTTCGTTGGAAGCGGGAATTCGTATAAACACTAGACAGCAGCATTCCCAGAAATTTCTTTCGGATATTTCCATTCGACTCATAGAGATGAACATGGCCTTTCATAGAGCAGGTTTGAAACACTCTTTTTGTAGTTTGTGGAAGTGGACATTTCGATCGCCTTGACGCCTACGGTGAAAAAGGAAATATCTTCCCATAAAAAAAGACAGAAGCATTCTCAGAAACTTGTTGGTGATATGTGTCCTCAACTAACAGAGTTGAACTTTGCCATTGATAGAGAGCAGTTTTGAAACACTCTTTTTGTGGAATCTGCAAGTGGATATTTGGATAGCTTGGAGGATTTCGTTGGAAGCGGGAATTCAAATAAAAGGTAGACAGCAGCATTCTCAGAAATTTCTTTCTGATGTCTGCATTCAACTCATAGAGTTGAAGATTCCCTTTCATAGAGCAGGTTTGAAACACTCTTTCTGGAGTATCTGGATGTGGACATTTGGAGCGCTTTGATGCCTACGGTGAAAAAGTAAATATCTTCCCATAAAAACGAGTCAGAAGGATTCTCAGAAACAAGTTTGTGATGTGTGTACTCAGCTAACAGAGTGGAACCTCTCTTTTGATGCAGCAGTTTGGAAACACTCTTTTTGTAGAAACTGTAAGTGGATATTTGGATAGCTCTAATGATTTCGTTGGAAACGGGAATATCATCATCTAAAATCTAGAGAGAAGCCCTCTCAGAAACTACTTTGTGATATCTGCATTCAAGCCACAGAGTTGAACATTCGCTTTCTTAGAGCACGTTTGAAACACTCTTTTTGTAGTGTCTGGAAGTGGACATTTGGAGCTGCTTTGATGCCTTTGGTGAAAAAGGGAATGTCTTCCCATAAAAACTAGACAGAAAGCATTCTCAGAAACTTGTTTGTGATGTGTGTACCCAGCCAAAGGAGTTGAACATTTCTATTGATAGAGCAGTTTTGAAACACTCTTGTTGTGGAAAATGCAGGTGGATATTTGGATAGCTTGGAGGATTTCGTTGGAAGCGGGAATTCAAATAAAAGGTAGACAGAGCATTCTCAGAAATTTCTTTCTGATTCTGCATTCAACTCATAGAGTTGAAGATTCCCTTTCATAGAGCAGGTTTGAAACACTCGTTCTGGAGTATCTGGATGTGGACATTTGGAGCGCTTTGATGCCTACAGTGGAAAAGTAAATATCTTCCCATAAAAACGAGACAGAAGGATTCTCAGAAACAAGTTTGGGATGTGTGTACTCAGCTAACAGAGTGGAACCTTTCTTTTTACAGAGCAGCTTTGAAACTCTGTTTTTGTGGATTCTGCAAATTGATATTTAGATTGCTTTAACGATATCGTTGGAAAAGGGAATATCGTCATACAAAATCTAGACAGGAAAGCATTCTCACAAACTTCTTTGTGATGTGTGTCCTCAACTAACAGAGTTGAACCTTTCTTTTGATGCAGCAATTTGGAAACACCCTTTTGGTAGAAACTGTAACTGGATATTTGGATAGCTCTAACGATTTCGTTGGAAACGGGAATATCATCATCTAAAATGTAGACAGAAGCACTATTAGAAACTACTTGGTGATATCTGCATTCAAGTCACAGAGTTGAACATTCCCTTACTTTGAGCACGTTTGAAACACTCTTTTGGAAGAATCTGGAAGTGGACATTTGGAGCGCTTTGATGCATTTGGTGAAAAGGAAACGTCTTCCAATAAAAGCCAGACAGAAGCATTCTCAGAAACTTGTTCGTGATGTGTGTACTCAACTAAAAGAGTTGAACCTTTCTATTGATAGAGCAGTTTTGAAACACTCTTTTTGTGGATTCTGCAAGTGGATATTTGGATTGCTTTGAGGATTTCGTTGGAAGCGGGAATTCGTATAAAAACTAGACAGCAGCATTCCCAGAAATTTCTTTCGGATATTTCCATTCAACTCATAGAGATGAACATGGCCTTTTATAGAGCAGGTTTGAAACACTCTTTTTGTAGTTTGTGGAAGTGGACATTTCGATCGCCTTGACGCCTACGGTGAAAAAGGAAATATCTTCCCATAAAAAATAGACAGAAGCATTCTCAGAAACTTGTTGGTGATATGTGTCCTCAACTAACAGAGTTGAACTTTGCCATTGATAGAGAGCAGTTTTGAAACACTCTTTTTCCTGAATCTGCAAGTGGATATTTGGATAGTTTGGAGGATTTCGTTGGAAGCGGGAATTCAAATAAAAGGTAGACAGCAGCATTCTCAGAAATTTCTTTCTGATGTCTGCATTCAACTCATAGAGTTGAAGATTCCCTTTCATAGAGCAGGTTTGAAACACTCTTTCTGGAGTATCTGGATGTGGACATTTGGAGCGCTTGGATGCCTACGGTTAAAAAGTAAATATCTTCACATAAAAACGACACAGAAGGATTCTGAGAAACAAGTTTGTGATGTGTGTACTCAGCTAACAGAGTGGAACCTCTCTTTTGATGCAGCAGTTTGGAAACACTCTTTTTCTAGAAACTGTAAGTGGATATTTGGATAGCTGTAATGATTTCGTTGGAAACGGGAATATCATCATCTAAAATCTAGACAGAAGCCCTCTCAGAAACTACTTTGTGATATCTGCATTCAAGTCACAGAGTTGAACATTCGCTTTCTTAGAGCACGTTTGAAACACTCTTTTTGTAGTGTCTGGAAGTGGACATTTGGATCGCTTTGATGGCTTTGGTGAAAAAGGGAATGTCTTCCCATAAAAACTAGACAGAAGCATTCTCAGAAACTTGTTTGTGATGTGTGTACCCAGCTAAAGGAGTTGAACGTTTCTATTGATAGAGCAGTTTTGAAACACTCTTTTTGTGGAAAATGCAAGTGGATATTTGGATAGCTTGGAGGATTTCGTTGTAAGCGGGAATTCAAATAAAAGGTAGACAGCAGCATTCTCAGAAGTTTCTTTCTGATGTCTGCATTCAACTCATAGAGTTGAAGATTCCCTTTCATAGAGCAGGTTTGAAACACTCTTTCTGGAGTATCTGGATGTGGACATTTGGAGCGCTTTGATGCCTACGGTGAAAAAGTAAATATCTTCCCATAAAAACGAGACAGAAGGATTCTCAGAAACAAGTTTGTGATGTGTGTACTCAGCTAACAGAGTGGAACCTTTCTTTTTACAGAGCAGCTTTGAAACTCTATTTTTGTGGATTCTGCAAATTGATATTTAGATTGCTTTAACGATATCGTTGGAAAAGGGAATATCGTCATACAAAATATAGACAGAAGCATTCTCACAAACTTCTTTGTGATGTGTGTCCTCAACTAACAGAGTTGAACCTTTCTTTTGATGCAGCAATTTGGAAACACCCTTTTGGTAGAAACTGTAACTGGATATTTGGATAGCTCTAGCGATTTCGTTGGAAACGGGAATATCATCATCTAAAATGTAGACAGAAGCACTATTAGAAACTACTTGGTGATATCTGCATTCAAGTCACAGAGTTGAACATTCCCTTACTTTGAGCACGTTTGAAACACTCTTTTGGAAGAATCTGGAAGTGGACATTTGGAGCGCTTTGATGCCTTTGGTGAAAAGGAAACGTCTTCCAATAAAAGCCAGACAGAAAGCATTCTCAGGAAACTTGTTTGTGATGTGTGTACTCAACTAAAAGAGTTGAACCTTTCTATTGATAGAGCAGTTTTGAAACACTCTTTTTGTGGATTCTGCAAGTGGATATTTGGATTGCTTTGAGGATTTCGTTGGAAGCGGGAATTCATATAAAAACTAGACAGCAGCATTCCCAGAAATTTCTTTCGGATATTTCCATTCAACTCATAGAGATGAACATGGCCTTTCATAGAGCAGGTTTGAAACACTCTTTTTGTAGTTTGTGGAAGTGGACATTTCGATCGCCTTGGCGCCTACGCTGAAAAAGGAAATATCTTCCCATAAAAAATAGACAGAAGCATTCTCAGAAACTTGTTGGTGATATGTGTCCTCAACTAACAGAGTTGAACTTTGCCATTGATAGAGAGCAGTTTTGAAACACTCTTTTTGTGGAATCTGCAAGTGGATATTTGGATAGCTTGGAGGATTTCGTTGGAAGCGGGAATTCAAATAAAAGGTAGACAGCAGGATTCTGAGAAACAAGTTTGTGATGTGTGTACTCAGCTAACAGAGTGCAACCTTTCTTTTTACAGAGCAGCTTTGAAACTCTATTTTTGTGGATTCTGCAAATGGATATTTAGATTGCTTTAACGATATCGTTGGAAAAGGGAATATCGTCATACAAAATCTAGACAGAAGCATTCTCACAAACTTCTTTGTGATGTGTGTCCTCAACTAACAGAGTTGAACCTTTCTTTTGATGCAGCAGTTTGGAAACACTCTTTTTGTAGCAACTGTAAGTGGATATTTGGATAGCTCTAACGATTTCGTTGGAAACGGGAATATCATCATCTAAAATACTAGACAGAAGCACTATTAGAAACTACTTGGTGATATCTGTATTCAAGTCACAGTAGTTGAACATTCCCTTACTTTGAGCACGTTTGAAACACTCTTTTGGAAGAATCTGGAAGTGGACATTTGGAGCGCTTTGATGCCTTTGGTGAAAAGGAAACGTCTTCCAATAAAAGCCAGAGAGAAGCATTCTCAGAAACTTGTTTGTGATGTGTGTACTCAACTAAAAGAGTTGAACCTTTCTATTGATAGAGCAGTTTAGAAACACTCTTTTTGTGGATTCTGCAAGTGGATATTTGGATTGCTTTGAGGATTTCGTTGGAAGCGGGAATTCGTATAAACACTAGACAGCAGCATTCCCAGAAATTTCTTTCGGATATTTCCATTCAACTCATAGAGATGAACATGGCCTTTCATAGAGCAGGTTTGAAACACTCTTTTTGTAGTTTGTGGAAGTGGACATTTCGATCGCCTTGACGCCTACGGTGAAAAAGGAAATATCTTCCCATAAAAAATAGACAGAAGCATTCTCAGAAACTTGTTGGTGATATGTGTCCTCAACTAACAGAGTTGAACTTTGCCATTGATAGAGAGCAGTTTTGAAACACTCTTTTTGTGGAATATGCAAGTGGATATTTGGATAGCTTGGAGGATTTCGTTGGAAGCGGGAATTCAAATAAAAGGTAGACAGCAGCATTCTCAGTAAATTTCTTTCTGATGTCTGCATTCAACTCATAGCAGTTGAAGATTCCCTTTCATAGAGCAGGTTTGAAACACTCGTTCTGGAGTATCTGGATGTGGACATTTGGAGCGCTTTGATGCCTACGGTGGAAAAGTAAATATCTTCCCATAAAAACGAGACAGAAGGATTCTGAGAAACAAGTTTGTGATGTGTGTACTCAGCTAACAGAGTGGAACCTCTCTTTTGATGCAGCAGTTTGGAAACACTCTTTTTGTAGAAACTGTAAGTGGATATTTGGATAGCTCTAATGATTTCGTTGGAAACGGGAATATCATCATCTAAAATCTAGACAGAAGCCCTCTCAGAAACTACTTTGTGATATCTGCATTCAAGTCACAGAGTTGAACATTCGCTTTCTTAGGGCACGTTGGAAACACTCTTTTTGTAGTGTCTGGAAGTGGACATTTGGAGCGCTTTGATGCCTTTGGTGAAAAAGGGAACGTCTTCCCATAAAAACTAGACAGAAGCATTCTCAGAAACTTGTTTGTGATGTGTGTACCCAGCCAAAGGAGTTGAACGTTTCTATTGATACAGCAGTTTTGAAACACTCTTGTTGTGGAAAATGCAGGTGGATATTTGGATAGCTTGGAGGATTTCGTTGGAAGCGGGAATTCAAATAAAAGGTAGACAGCAGGATTCTCAGAAACAAGTTTGTGATGTGTGTACTCAGCTAACAGAGTGGAACCTTTCTTTTTACAGAGCAGCTTTGAAACTCTATTTTTGTGGATTCTGCAAATTGATATTTAGATTGCTTTAACGATATCGTTGGAAAAGGGAATACGGTCATACAAAATCTAGACAGAAGCATTCTCACAAACTTCTTTGTGATGTGTGTCCTCAACTAACAGAGTTGAACTTTTCTTTTGATGCAGCAATTTGGAAACACCCTTTTGGTAGAAACTGTAACTGGATATTTGGATAGCTCTAGCGATTTCGTTGGAAACGGGAATATCATCATCTAAAATGTAGACAGAAGCACTATTAGAAACTACTTGGTGATATCTGCATTCAAGTCACAGAGTAGAACATTCCCTTACTTCGAGCACGTTTGAAACACTCTTTTGGAAGAATCTGGAAGTGGACATTTGGAGCGCTTTGATGCCTTTGGTGAAAAGGAAACGTCTTCCAATAAAAGCCAGACAGAAGCATTCTGAGAAACTTGTTCGTGATGTGTGTACTCAACTAAAAGAGTTGAACCTTTCTATTGATATAGCAGTTTTGAAACACTCTTTTTGTGGATTCTGCAAGTGGATATTTGGATTGCTTTGAGGATTTCGTTGGAAGCAGGAATTCATATAAACACTAGACAGCAGCATTCCCAGAAATTTCTTTCGGATATTTCCATTCAACTCATAGAGATGAACATGGCCTTTCATAGAGCAGGTTTGAAACACTCTTTTTGTAGTTTGTGGAAGTGGACATTTCGATCGCCTTGACGCCTACGGTGAAAAAGGAAATATCTTCCCATAAAAAATAGACAGAAGCATTCTCAGAAACTTGTTGGTGATATGTGTCCTCAACTAACAGAGTTGAACTTTGCCATTGATAGAGAGCAGTTTTGAAACACTCTTTTTGTGGAATCTGCAAGTGGATATTTGGATAGCTGGAGGATTTCGTTGGAAGCGGGAATTCAAATAAAAGGTAGACAGCCAGCATTCTCAGAATTTCTTTCTGATGTCTGCATTCAACTCATAGAGTTGAAGATTCCCTTTCATAGAGCAGGTTTGAAACACTCTTTCTGGAGTATCTGGATGTGGACATTTGGAGCGCTTTGATGCCTACGGTGAAAAAGTAAATATCTTCCCATAAAAACGAGACAGAGGATTCTGAGAAACTAGTTTGTGATGTGTGTACTCAGCTAACAGAGTGGAACCTCTGTTTTGATGCAGCAGTTTGGAAACACTCTTTTTGTAGAAACTGTAAGTGGATATTTGGATAGCTCTAATGATTTCGTTGGAAACGGGAATATCATCATCTAAAATACTAGACAGAAGCCCTCTCAGAAACTACTTTGTGATATCTGCATTCAAGTCACAGAGTTGAACATGCGCTTTCTTAGAGCACGTTTGAAACACTCTTTTTGTAGTGTCTGGAAGTGGACATTTGGAGCGCTTTGATGCCTTTGGTGAAAAAGGGAACGTCTTCCCATAAAAACTAGACAGAAGCATTCTCAGAAACTTGTTTGTGATGTGTGTACCCAGCCAAAGGAGTTGAACATTTCTATTGATAGAGCAGTTTTGAAACACTCTTTTTGTGGAAAATGCAGGTGGATATTTGGATACCTTGGAGGATTTCGTTGGAAGCGGGAATTCAAATAAAAGGTAGACAGCAGGATTCTCAGAAACAAGATTGTGATGTGTGTACTCAGCTAACAGAGTGGAACCTTTCTTTTTACAGAGCAGCTTTGAAACTCTATTTTTGTGGATTCTGCAAATTGATATTTAGATTGCTTTAACGATATCGATGGAAAAGGGAATATCATCATACAAAATCTAGACAGAAGCATTCTCACAAACTTCTTTGTGATGTGTGTCCTCAACTAACAGAGTTGAACCTTTCTTTTGATGCAGCAGTTTGGAAACACTCTTTTTGTAGAAACTGTAAGTGGATATTTGGATAGCTCTAACGATTTCATTGGAAACGGGAATATCATCATCTAAAATGTAGACAGAAGCACTATTAGAAACTACTTGGTGATATCTGCATTCAAGTCACAGAGTTGAACATTCCCTTACTTTGAGCACGTTTGAAACACTCTTTTGGAAGAATCTGGAAGTGGACATTTGGAGCGCTTTGATGCCTTTGGTGAAAAGGAAACGTCTTCCAATAAAAGCCAGACAGAAGCATTCTCAGAAACTTGTTTGTGATGAGTGTACTCAACTAAAAGAGTTGAACCTTTCTATTGATAGAGCAGTTTTGAAACACTCTTTTTGTGGATTCTGCAAGTGGATATTTGGATTGCTTTGAGGATTTCGTTGGAAGCGGGAATTCGTATAAACACTAGACAGCAGCATTCCCAGAAATTTCTTTCGGATATTTCCATTCAACTCATAAAGATGAACATGGCCTTTCATAGAGCAGGTTTGAAACACTCTTTTTGTAGTTTGTGGAAGTGGACATTTCGATCGCCTTGACGCCTACGGTGAAAAAGGAAATATCTTCCCATAAAAAATAGACAGAAGCATTCTCAGAAACTTGTTGGTGATATGTGTCCTCAACTAACAGAGTTGAACTTTGCCATTGATAGAGAGCAGTTTTGAAACACTCTTTTTGTGGAATCTGCAAGTGGATATTTGGATAGCTTGGAGGATTTCGTTGGAAGCGGGAATTCAAATAAAAGGTAGACAGCAGCATTCTCAGAAATTTCTTTCTGATGTCTGCATTCAACTCATAGAGTTGAAGATTCCCTTTCATAGAGCAGGTTTGAAACACTCTTTCTGGAGTATCTGGATGTGGATATTTGGAGCGCTTTGATGCCTACGGTGAGAAAGTAAATATCTTCCCATAAAAACGAGACAGAAGGATTCTGAGAAACAAGTTTGTGATGTGTGTACTCAGCTAACAGAGTGGAACCTCTCTTTTGATGCAGCAGTTTGGAAACACTCTTTTTGTAGAAACTGTAAGTGGATATTTGGATAGCTCTAATGATTTCGTTGGAAACGGGAATATCATCATCTAAAATCTAGACAGAAGCACTCTCAGAAACTACTTTGTGATATCTGCATTCAAGTCACAGAGTTGAACATTCGCTTTCTTAGAGCACGTTGGAAACACTCTTTTTGTAGTGTCTGGAAGTGGACATTTGGAGCGCTTTGATTCCTTTGGTGAAAAAGGGAATGTCTACCCATAAAAACTAGACAGAAGCATTCTCAGAAACTTGTTTGTGATGTGTGTACCCAGCCAAAGGAGTTGAACATTTCTATTGATAGAGCAGGTTTGAAACACTCTTTTTGTGGAAAATGCAGGTGGATATTTGGATAGCTTGGAGGATTTCGTTGGAAGCGGGAATTCAAATAAAAGGTAGACAGCAGCATTCTCAGAAATTTCTTTCTGATGTCTGCATTCAACTCATAGAGTTGAAGATTCCCTTTCATAGAGCAGGTTTGAAACACTCGTTCTGGAGTATATGGATGTGGACATTTGGAGCGCTTTGATGCCTACGGTGGAAAAGTAAATATCTTCCCATAAAAACGAGACAGAAGGATTCTCAGAAACAAGTTTGTGATGTGTGTACTCAGCTAACAGAGTGGAACCTTTCTTTTTACAGAGCAGCTTTGAAACTCTATTTTTGTGGATTCTGCAAATTGATATTTAGATTGCTTTAACGATATCGTTGGAAAAGGGAATATGGTCATACAAAATCTAGACAGAAGCATTCTCACAAACTTCTTTGTGATGTGTGTCCTCAACTAACAGAGTTGAACCTTTCTTTTGATGCAGCAATTTGGAAACACCCTTTTGGTAGAAACTGTAACTGGATATTTGGATAGCTCTAGCGATTTCGTTGGAAACGGGAATATCATCATCTAAAATGTAGACAGAAGCACTGTTAGAAACTACTTGGTGATATCTGCATTCAAGTCACAGAGTTGAACATTCCCTTACTTCGACCACGTTTGAAACACTCTTTTGGAAGAATCTGGAAGTGGACATTTGGAGCGCTTTGATGCCTTTGGTGAAAAGGAAACGTCTTCCAATAAAAGCCAGACAGAAAGCATTCTCAGAAACTTGTTCGTGATGTGTGTACTCAACTAAAAGTAGTTGAACCTTTCTATTGATAGAGCAGTTTTGAAACACTCTTTTTGTGGATTCTGCAAGTGGATATTTGGATTGCTTTGAGGATTTCGTTGGAAGCGGGAATTCGTATAAACACTAGACAGCAGCATTCCCAGAAATTTCTTTCGGATATTTCCATTCAACTCATAGAGATGAACATGGCCTTTCATAGAGCAGGTTTGAAACACTCTTTTTGTAGTTTGTGGAAGTGGACATTTCGATTGCCTTGACGCCTACGGTGAAAAAGGAAATATCTTCCCATAAAAAATAGACAGAAGCATTCTCAGAAACTTGTTGGTGATATGTGTCCTCAACTAACAGAGTTGAACTTTGCCATTGATAGAGAGCAGTTTTGAAACACTCTTTTTGTGGAATCTGCAAGTGGATATTTGGATAGCTTGGAGGATTTCGTTGGAAGCGGGAATTCAAATAAAAGGTAGACAGCAGCATTCTCAGAAATTTCTTTCTGATGTCTGCATTCAACTCATAGAGTTGAAGATTCCCTTTCATAGAGCAGGTTTGAAACACTCTTTCTGGAGTATCTGGATGTGGACATTTGGAGCGCTTTGATGCCTACGGTGAAAAAGTAAATATCTTCCCAAAAAAACGAGACAGAAGGATTCTGAGAAACAAGTTTGTGATGTGTGTACTCAGCTAACAGAGTGGAACCTCTCTTTTGATGCAGCAGTTTGGAAACACTCTTTTTGTAGAAACAGTAAGTGGATATTTGGATAGCTCTAATGATTTCGTTGGAAACGGGAATATCATCATCTAAAATCTAGACAGAAGCACTCTCAGAAACTACTTTGTGATATCTGCATTCAAGTCACAGAGTTGAACATTCGCTTTCTTAGAGCACGTTTGAAACACTCTTTTTGTAGTGTCTGGAAGTGGACATTTGGAGCGCTTTGATGCCTTTGGTGAAAAAGGGAATGTCTTCCCATAAAAACTAGACAGAAGCATTCTCAGAGTCTTGTTTGTGATGGGTGTACCCAGCCAAAGGAGTTGAACATTTCTATTGATAGAGCAGTTTTGAAACACTCTTGTTGTGGAAAATGCAGGTGGATATTTGGATAGCTTGGAGGATTTCGTTGGAAGCGGGAATTCAAATAAAAGGTAGACAGCAGGATTCTCAGAAACAAGTTTGTGATGTGTGTACTCAGCTAACAGAGTGGAACCTTTCTTTTTACAGAGCAGCTTTGAAACTCTATTTTTGTGGATTCTGCAAATGGATATTTAGATTGCTTTAACGATATCGTTGGAAAAGGGAATATCGTCATACAAAATCTGGACAGAAGCATTCTCACAAACAGCTTTGTGACGTGTGTCCTCAACTAACACAGTTGAACCTTTCTTTTGATGCAGCAGTTTGGAAACACCCTTTTGGTAGAAACTGTAAGTGGATATTTGGATAGCTCTAACGATTTCGTTGGAAACGGGAATATCATCATCTAAAATCTAGACAGAAGCACTATTAGAAACTACTTGGTGATATCTGCATTCAAGTCACAGAGTTGAACATTCCCTTACTTTGAGCACGTTTCAAACACTCTTTTGGAAGAATCTGGAAGTGGACATTTGGAGCGCTTTGATGCCTTTGGTGAAAAGGAAACGTCTTCCAATAAAAGCCAGACAGAAGCATTCTCAGAAACTTGTTTGTGATGTGTGTACTCAACTAAAAGAGTTGAACCTTTCTATTGATAGAGCAGTTTTGAAACACTCTTTTTGTGGATTCTGCAAGTGGATATTTGGATTGCTTTGAGGATTTCGTTGGAAGCGGGAATTCGTATAAAAACTAGACAGCAGCATTCCCAGAAATTTCTTTCGGATATTTCCATTCAACTCATAGAGATGAACATGGCCTTTCATAGAGCAGGTTTGAAACACTCTTTTTGTAGTTTGTGGAACTGGACATTTCGATCGCCTTGACGCCTACGGTGAAAAAGGAAATATCTTCCCATAAAAAATAGACAGAAGCATTCTCAGAAACTTGTTGGTGATATGTGTCCTCAACTAACAGAGTTGAACTTTGCCATTGATAGAGAGCAGTTTTGAAACACTCTTTTTGTGGAATCTGCAAGTGGATATTTGGATAGCTTGGAGGATTTCGTTGGAAGCGGGAATTCAAATAAAAGGTAGACAGCAGCATTCTCAGAAATTTCTTTCTGATGTCTGCATTCAACTCATAGAGTTGAAGATTCCCTTTCATAGAGCAGGTTTGAAACACTCTTTCTGGAGTATCTGGATGTGGACATTTGGAGCGCTTTGATACCTACGGTGTAAAAGTAAATATCTTCCCATAAAAACGAGACAGAAGGATTCTGAGAAACAAGTTTGTGATGTGTGTACTCAGCTAACAGAGTGGAACCTCTCTTTTGATGCAGCAGTTTGGAAACACTCTTTTTGTAGAAACTGTAAGTGGATATTTGGATAGCTCTAATGATTTCATTGGAAACGGGAATATCATCATCTAAAATCTAGACAGAAGCCCTCTCAGTAAACTACTTTGTGATATCTGCATTCAAGTCACAGAGTTGAACATTCGCTTTCTTAGAGCACGTTTGAAACACTCTTTTTGTAGTGTCTGGAAGTGGACATTTGGAGCGCTTTGATGCCTTTGGTGAAAAAGGGAACGTCTTCCCATAAAAACTAGACAGAAGCATTCTCAGCAAACTTGTTTGTGATGTGTGTACCCAGCCAAAGGAGTTGAACATTTCTATTGATAGAGCAGTTTTGAAACACTCTTGTTGTGGAAAATGCAGGTGGATATTTGGATAGCTTGGAGGATTTCGTTGGAAGCGGGAATTCAAATAAAAGGTAGACAGCAGCATTCTCAGAAATTTCTTTCTGATGTCTGCATTCAACTCATAGAGTTGAAGATTCCCTTTCATAGAGCAGGTTTGAAACACTCGTTCTGGAGTATCCGGATGTGGACATTTGGAGCGCTTTGATGCCTACGGTGGAAAAGTAAATATCTTCCCATAAAAACGAGACAGAAGGATTCTGAGAGACAAGTTTGTGATGTGTGTACTCAGCTAACAGAGTGGAACCTTTCTTTTTACAGAGCAGCTTTGAAACTCTATTTTTGTGGATTCTGCAAATGGATATTTAGATTGCTTTAACGATATCGTTGGGAAAAGGGAATATGGTCATACAAAATCTAGACAGAAGCATTCTCACAAACTTCTTTGTGATGTGTCTCCTCAACTGACAGAGTTGAACCTTTCTTTTGATGCAGCAGTTTGGAAACACTCTTTTTGTAGAAACTGTAAGTGGATATTTGGATAGCTCTAACGATTTCGTTGGAAACGGGAATATCATCATCTAAAATCTAGACAGAAGCACTATTAGAAACTACTTGGTGATATCTGCATTCAAGTCACAGAGTTGAACATTCCCTTACTTTGAGCACGTTTGAAACACTCTTTTGGAAGAATCTGGAAGTGGACATTTGGAGCGCTTTGATGCCTTTGGTGAAAAGGAAACGTCTTCCAATAAAAGCCAGACAGAAGCATTCTCAGAAACTTGTTTGTGATGTGTGTACTCAACTAAAAGAGTTGAACCTTTCTATTGATGGAGCAGTTTTGAAACACTCTTTTTGTGGATTCTGCAAGTGGATATGTGGATTGCTTTGAGGATTTCGTTGGAAGCGGGAATTCGTATAACAACTAGACAGCAGCATTCCCAGAAATTTCTTTCGGATATTTCCATTCAACTCATAGAGATGAACATGGCCTTTCATAGAGCAGGTTTGAAACACTCTTTTTGTAGTTTGTGGAAGTGGACATTTCGATCGCCTTGACGCCTACGCTGAAAAAGGAAATATCTTCCCATAAAAAATAGACAGAAGCATTCTCAGAAACTTGTTGGTGATATGTGTCCTCAACTAACAGAGTTGAACTTTGCCATTGATAGAGAGCAGTTTTGAAACACTCTTTTTCCTGAATCTGCAAGTGGATATTTGGATAGTTTGGAGGATTTCGTTGGAAGCGGGAATTCAAATAAAAGGTAGACAGCAGCATTCTCAGAAATTACTTTCTGATGTCTGCATTCAACTCATAGAGTTGAAGATTCCCTTTCATAGAGCAGGTTTGAAACACTCTTTCTGTACTATCTGGAAGTGGACATTGGGATCGCTTTGATGCCTACGGTGAAAAAGGAAATATCTTCCCATAAAAGCTAGACAGAAGGATTCTGAGAAACAAGTTTGTGATGTGTGTACTCAGCTAACAGAGTGGAACCTCTCTTTTGATGCAGCAGTTTGGAAACACTCTTTTTGTAGAAACTGTAAGTGGATATTTGGATAGCTCTAATGATTTCGTTGGAAACGGGAATATCATCATCTAAAATCTAGACAGAAGCCCTCTCAGAAACTACTTTGTGATATCTGCATTCAAGTCACAGAGTTGAATATTCGCTTTCTTAGAGCACGTTTGAAACACTCTTTTTGTAGTGTCTGGAAGTGGACATTTGGAGCGCTTTGATGCCTTTGGTGAAAAAGGGAATGTCTTCCCATAAAAACTAGACAGAAGCATTCTCAGAAACTTGTTTGTGATGTGTGTACCCAGCTAAAGGAGTTGAACATTTCTATTGATAGAGCAGTTTTGAAACACTCTTTTTGTGGAATCTGCAGGTGGATATTTGGATAGCTTGGAGGATTTCGTTGGAAGCGGGAATTCAAATAAAAGGTAGACAGCAGCATTCTCAGAAATTTCTTTCTGATGTCTGCATTCAACTCATAGAGTTGAAGATTCCCTTTCATAGAGCAGGTTTGAAACACTCTTTCTGGAGTATCTGGATGTGGACATTTGGAGCGCTTTGATGCCTACGGTGAAAAAGTAAATATCTTCCCATAAAAACGAGACAGAAGGATTCTGAGAGACAAGTTTGTGATGTGTGTACTCAGCTAACAGAGTGGAACCTTTCTTTTTACAGAGCAGCTTTGAAACTCTATTTTTGTGGATTCTGCAAATGGATATTTAGATTGCTTTAATGATATCGTTGGAAAAGGGAATATCGTCATACAAAATCTGGACAGAAGCATTCTCACAAACTTCTTTGTGATGTGTGTCCTCAACTAACAGAGTTGAACCTTTCTTTTGATGCAGCAATTTGGAAACACCCTTTTGGTAGAAACTGTAACTGGATATTTGGATAGCTCTAACGATTTCGTTGGAAACGGGAATATCCTCACCTAAAATCTAGACAGAAGCACTATTAGAAACTACTTGGTGATATCTGCATTCAAGTCACAGAGTTGAACATTCCCTTACTTTGAGCACGTTTCAAACACTCTTTTGGAAGAATCTGGAAGTGGACATTTGGAGCGCTTTGATGCCTTTGGTGAAAAGGAAACGTCTTCCAATAAAAGCCAGACAGATAAGCATTCTCAGCAAACTTGTTTGTGATGTGTGTACTCAACTAAAAGAGTTGAACCTTTCTATTGATAGAGCAGTTTTGAAACACTCTTTTTGTGGATTCTGCAAGTGGATATTTGGATTGCTTTGAGGATTTCGTTGGAAGCGGGAATTCATATAAAAACTAGACAGCAGCATTCCCAGAAATTTCTTTCGGATATTTCCATTCAACTCATAGAGATGAACATGGCCTTTCATAGAGCAGGTTTGAAACACTCTTTTTGTAGTTTGTGGAAGTGGACATTTCGATCGCCTTGACGCCTACGGTGAAAAAGGAAATATCTACCCATAAAAAATAGACAGAAGCATTCTCAGAAACTTGTTGGTGATATGTGTCCTCAACTAACAGAGTTGAACTTTGCCATTGATAGAGAGCAGTTTTGAAACACTCTTTTTGTGGAATCTGCAAGTGGATATTTGGATAGCTTGGAGGATTTCGTTGGAAGCGGGAATTCAAATAAAAGGTAGACAGCAGCATTCTCAGAAATTTCTTTCTGATGTCTGCATTCAACTCATAGAGTTGAAGATTCCCTTTCATAGAGCAGGTTTGAAACACTCGTTCAGAGTATCTGGATGTGGACATTTGGAGCGCTTTGATGCCTACGGTGAAAAAGTAAATATCTTCCCATAAAAACGAGACAGAAAGGATTCTGAGAAACAAGTTTGTGATGTGTGTACTCAGCTAACAGAGTGGAACCTCTCTTTTGATGCAGCAGTTTGGAAACACTCTTTTTGTAGAAACTGTAAGTGGATATTTGGATAGCTCTAATGATTTCTTTGGAAACGGGAATATCATCATCTAAAATCTAGACAGAAGCACTATTAGAAACTACTTTGTGATATCTGCATTCAAGTCACAGAGTTGAACATTCGCTTTCTTAGAGCACGTTGGAAACACTCTTTTTGTAGTGTCTGGAAGTGGACATTTGGAGCGCTTTGATGCCTTTGGTGAAAAAGGGAATGTCTTCCCATAAAAACTAGACAGAAGCATTCTCAGAAACTTGTTTGTGATGTGTCTACCCAGCTAAAGGAGTTGAACATTTCTATTGATAGAGCAGTTTTGAAACACTCTTTTTGTGGAAAATGCAGGTGGATATTTGGATAGCTTGGAGGATTTCGTGGGAAGCGGGAATTCAAATAAAAAGTAGACAGCAGCATTCTCAGAAATTTCTTTCTGATGTCTGCATTCAACTCATAGAGTTGAAGATTCCCTTTCATAGAGCAGGTTTGAAACAGTCTTTCTGGAATATCTGGATGTGGACATTTGGAGCGCTTTGATGCCTACGGTGAAAAAGTAAATATCTTCCCATAAAAACGAGACAGAAGGATTCTGAGAAACAAGTTTGTGATGTGTGTACTCAGCTAACAGAGTGGAACCTTTCTTTTTACAGAGCAGCTTTGAAACTCTATTTTTGTGGATTCTGCAAATTGATATTTAGATTGCTTTAACGATATCGTTGGAAAAGGGAATATCGTCATACAAAATCTAGACAGAAGCATTCTCACAAACTTCTTTGTGATGTGTGTCCTCAACTAACAGACTTGAACCTTTCTTTTGATGCAGCAGTTTGGAAACACCCTTTTGGTAGAAACTGTAAGTGGATATTTGGATAGCTCTAACGATTTCGTTGGAAACGGGAATATCATCATCTAAAATCTAGACAGAAGCACTATTAGAAACTACTTGGTGATATCTGCATTCAAGTCACAGAGTTGAACATTCCCTTACTTTGAGCACGTTTGAAACACTCTTTGGGAAGAATCTGGAAGTGGACATTTGGAGCGCTTTGATGCCTTTGGTGAAAAGGAAACGTCTTCCAATAAAAGCCAGACAGAAGCATTCTCAGAAACTTGTTTGTGATGTGTGTACTCAACTAAAGGAGTTGAACCTTTCTATTGATAGAGCAGTTTTGAAACACTCTTTTTGTGGATTCTGCAAGTGGATATTTGGATTGCTTTGAGGATTTCGTTGGAAGCGGGAATTCATATAAAAACTAGACAGCAGCATTCCCAGAAATTTCTTTCGGATATTTCCATTCAACTCATAGAGATGAACATGGCCTTTCATAGAGCAGGTTTGAAACACTCTTTTTGTAGTTTGTGGAAGTGGACATTTCGATCGCCTTGACGCCTACGGTGAAAAAGGAAATATCTTCCCATAAAAAATAGACAGAAGCATTCTCAGAAACTTGTTGGTGATATGTGTCCTCAACTAACAGAGTTGAACTTTGCCATTGATAGAGAGCAGTTTTGAAACACTCTTTTGCCTGAATCTGCAAGTGGATATTTGGATAGCTTGGAGGATTTCGTTGGAAGCGGGAATTCAAATAAAAGGTAGACAGCAGCATTCTCAGAAATTTCTTTCTGATGTCTGCATTCAACTCATAGAGTTGAAGATTCCCTTTCATAGAGCAGGTTTGAAAAACTCTTTCTGTACTATCTGGATGTAGACATTTGGAGCGCTTTGATGCCTACGGTGAAAAAGTAAATATCTTCCCATAAAAACGAGACAGAAGGATTCTGAGAAACAAGTTTGTGATGTGTGTACTCGGCTAACAGAGTGGAACCTCTCTTTTGATGCAGCAGTTTGGAAACACTCTTTTTGTAGAAACTGTAAGTGGATATTTGGATAGCTCTAATGATTTCGTTGGAAACGGGAATATCATCATCTAAAATCTAGACAGAAGCCGTCTCAGAAACTACTTTGTGATATCTGCATTCAAGTCACAGAGTTGAACATTCGCTTTCTTAGAGCACGTTGGAAACACTCTTTTTGTAGTGTCTGGAAGTGGACATTTGGAGCGCTTTGATGCCTTTGGTGAAAAAGGGAATGTCTTCCCATAAAAACTAGACAGAAGCATTCTCAGAAACTTGTTTGTGATGTGTGTACCCAGCTAAAGGAGTTGAACATTTCTATTGATAGAGCAGTTTTGAAACACTCTTTTTGTGGAAAATGCAAGTGGATATTTGGATAGCTTGGAGGATTTCGTTGGAAGCGGGAATTCAAATAAAAGGTAGACAGCAGCATTCTCAGAAATTTCTTTCTGATGTCTGCATTCAACTCATAGAGTTGAAGATTCCCTTTCATAGAGGAGGTTTGAAACACTCTTTCTGGAGTATCTGGACGTGGACATTTGGAGCGCTTTGATGCCTATGGTGAAAAAGTAAATATCTTCCCATAAAAACGAGACAGAAGCTTTCTCAGAAACTTCTTTGTGATGTGTGTCCTCAACTAACAGAGTTGAACCTTTCTTTTGATGCAGCAGTTTGGAAACACACTTTCTGTAGAAACTGTAAGTGGATATTTGGGTAGGTCTAACGATATCGTTGGAAACGGGAATATCTTCATCTAAAGTATACACAGAAGCAGTCTCAGAAACTACTTTGTGATATCTGCATTCCAGTCACAGGGTTGAAAACTCCCTTACTTAGAGCAGGTTTGAAACACTCTTTTTGTAGAATCTGGAAGTGGACATTTGGAGCGCTTTGATGCCTTTGGTGAAAAAGGAAATGTCTTCCCTTAAAAAGTAGACAGAAGCATTTTCAGAAACTTGTTTGTGATGTGTGTACCCAGCCAAAGGAGTTGAACATTTCTATTGATAGAGCAGTTTTGAAACACTCTTTTTGTGGAAAATGCAGGTGGATATTTGGATAGCTTGGAGGATTTCGTTGGAAGCGGGAATTCAAATAAAAGGTAGACAGCAGCAGCATTCTCAGAAATTTCCTTCTGATGTCTGCATTCAACTCATAGAGTTGAAGACTCCCTTTCATAAAGCAGGTTTGAAACACTCTTTCTGGAGTATCTGGATGTGGACATTTGGAGCGCTTGGATGCCTACGGTGAAAAAGTAAATATCTTCCCATAAAAACGAGACAGAAGGATTCTGAGAAACAAGTTTGTGATGTGTGTACTCAGCTAACAGAGTGGAACCTTTCTTTTTACAGAGCAGCTTTGAAACTCTATTTTTGTGGATTCTGCAAATTGATATTTAGATTGCTTTAACGATATCGTTGGAAAAGGGAATATCCTCATACAAAATATAGACAGAAGCATTCTCACAAACTTCTTTGTGATGTGTGTCCTCAACTAACAGAGTTGAACCTTTCTTTTGATGCAGCAATTTGGAAACACCCTTTTGGTAGAAACTGTAACTGGATATTTGGATAGCTGCTAACGATTTCGTTGGAAAAGGGAATATCATCATCTAAAATGTAGGCAGAAAGCACTATTAGAAACTACTTGGTGATATCTGCATTCAAGTCAAAGAGTTGAACATTCCCTTACTTTGAGCACGTTTGAAACACTCTTTTGGAAGAATCTGGAAGTGGACATTTGGAGCGCTTTGATGCCTTTGGTGAAAAGGAAACGTCTTCCAATAAAAGCCAGACAGAAGCATTCTCAGAAACATGTTCGTGGTGTGTGTACTCAACTAAAAGAGTTGAACCTTTCTATTGATAGAGCAGTTTTGAAACACTCTTTTTGTGGATTCTGCAAGTGGATATTTGGATTGCTTTGAGGATTTCGTTGGAAGCGGGAATTCGTATAAACACTAGACAGCAGCATTCCCAGAAATTTCTTTCGGATATTTCCATTCAACTCATAGAGATGAACATGGCCTTTCATAGAGCAGGTTTGAAACACTCTTTTTGTAGTTTGTGGAAGTGGACATTTCGATCGCCTTGACCGCCTACGGTGAAAAAGGAAATATCTTCCCATAAAAAATAGACAGAAGCATTCTCAGAAACTTGTTGGTGATATGTGTCCTCAACTAACACAGTTGAACTTTGCCATTGATAGAGAGCAGTTTTGAAACACTCTTTTTGTGGAATCTGCAAGTGGATATTTGGATAGCTTGGAGGATTTCGTTGGAAGCGGGAATTCAAATAAAAGGTAGACAGCAGGATTCTGAGAAACAAGTTTGTGATGTGTGTACTCAGCTAACAGAGTGGAACCTCTCTTTTGATGCAGCAGTTTGGAAACACTCTTTTTGTAGAAACTGTAAGTGGATATTTGGATAGCTCTAATGATTTCGTTGGAAACGGGAATATCATCATCTAAAATCTAGACAGAAGCCCTCTCAGAAACTACTTTGTGATATCTGCATTCAAGTCACAGAGTTGAACATTCGGTTTCTTAGAGCACGTTTGAAACACACTTTTTGTAGTGTCTGGAAGTGGACATTTGGAGCGCTTTGATGCCTTTGGTGAAAAAGGGAATGTCTTCCCATAAAAACTAGACAGAAGCATTCTCAGAAACTTGTTTGTGATGTGTGCACCCAGCTAAAGGAGTTGAACATTTCTATTGATAGAGCAGTTTTGAAGCACTCTTTTTGTGGAAAATGCAAGTGGATATTTGGATAGCTTGGAGGATTTCGTTGGAAGCGGGAGTTCAAATAAAAGGTAGACAGCAAGCATTCTCAGAAATTTCTTTCTGATGTCTGCATTCAACTCATAGAGTTGAAGATTCCCTTTCATAGAGCAGGTTTGAAACACTCTTTCTGGAGTATCTGGATGTGGACATTTGGAGCGCTTTGATGCCTACGGTGAAAAAGTAAATATCTTCCCATAAAAACGAGACAGAAGGATTCTCAGAAGCAAGTTTGTGATGTGTGTACTCAGCTAACAGAGTGGAACCTTTCTTTTTACAGAGCAGCTTTGAAACTGTTTTTGTGGATCCTGCAAATTGATATTTGTGTTGATTTAAAGATATCATTGGAAAAGGGAATATCTTCATACAAAATCTAGACAGAAGCATTCTCACAAACTTCTTTGTGACGTGTGTCCTCAACTAACAGAGTTGAACCTTTCTTTTGATGCAGCAGTTTGGAAACACTGTTTTTGTAGAAACTGTAAGTGGATATTTGGATAGCTCTAACGATTTCGTTGGAAACGGGAATATCATCATCTAAAATCTAGACAGAAGCACTATTAGAAACTACTTGGTGATATCTGCATTCAAGTCACAGAGTTGAACATTCCCTTACTTTGAGCACGTTTCAAACACTCTTTTGGAAGAATCTGGAAGTGGACATTTGGAGCGCTTTGATGCCTTTGGTGAAAAGGAAACGTCTTCCAATAAAAGCCAGACAGAAGCATTCTCAGAAACTTGTTTGTGATGTGTGTACTCAACTAAAAGAGTTGAACCTTTCTATTGATAGAGCAGTTTTGAAACACTCTTTTTGTGGATTCTGCAAGTGGATATTAGGATTGCTTTGAGGATTTCGTTGGAAGCGGGAATTCGTATAAAAACTAGACAGCAGCATTCCCAGAAATTTCTTTCGGATATTTCCATTCGACTCATAGAGATGAACATGGCCTTTCATAGAGCAGGTTTGAAACACTCTTTTTGTAGTTTGTGGAAGTGGACATTTCGATCGCCTTGACGCCTACGGTGAAAAAGGAAATATCTTCCCATAAAAAATAGACAGAAGCATTCTCAGAAACTTGTTGGTGATATGTGTCCTCAACTAACAGAGTTGAACTTTGCCATTGATAGAGAGCAGTTTTGAAACACTCTTTTTGTGGAATCTGCAAGTGGATATTTGGATAGCTTGGAGGATTTCGTTGGAAGCGGGAATTCAAATAAAAGGTAGACAGCAGCATTCTCAGAAATTTCTTTCTGATGTCTGCATTCAACTCATAGAGTTGAAGATTCCCTTTCATAGAGCAGGTTTGAAACACTCTTTCTGGAGTATCTGGACGTGGACATTTGGAGCGCTTTGATGCCTACGGTGAAAAAGTAAATATCTTCCCATAAAAACGAGACAGAAGGATTCTGAGAAACAAGTTTGTGATGTGTGTACTCAGCTAACAGAGTGGAACCTTTCTTTTTACAGAGCAGCTTTGAAACTCTATTTTTGTGGATTCTGCAAATTGATATTTAGATTGCTTTAACGATATCGTTGGAAAAGGGAATATCGTCATACAAAATCTAGACACAAGCACTCTCAGAAACTACTTTGTGATATCTGCATTCAAGTCACAGAGTTGAACATTCGCTTTCTTAGAGCACGTTTGAAACACTCTTTTTGTAGTGTCTGGAAGTGGACATTTGGAGCACTTTGATGCCTTTGGTGAAAAAGGGAACGTCTTCCCATAAAAACTAGACAGAAGCATTCTCAGAAACTTGTTTGTGATGTGTGTACCCAGCCAAAGGAGTTGAACATTTCTATTGATAGAGCAGTTTTGAAACACTCTTTTTGTGGAAAATGCAGGTGGATATTTGGATAGCTTGAAGGATTTCGTTGGAAGCGGGAATTCAAATAAAAGGTAGACAGCCAGCATTCTCAGAAATTTCTTTCTGATGTCTGCATTCAACTCATAGAGTTGAAGATTCCCTTTCATAGAGCAGGTTTGAAACACTCTTTCTGGAGTATCTGGATGTGGACATTTGGAGCGCTTTGATGCCTACGGTGAAAAAGTAAATATCTTCCCAGAAAAACGAGACAGAAAGGATTCTCAGAAACAAGTTTGTGATGTGTGTACTCAGCTAACAGAGTGGAACCTTTCTTTTTACAGAGCAGCTTTGAAACTCTATTGTTGTGGATTCTGCAAATTGATATTTAGATTGCTTTAACGATATCGTTGGAAAAGGGAATACCGTCATACAAAATCTAGACAGAAGCATTCTCACAAACTTCTTTGTGATGTGTGTCCTCAACTAACAGAGTTGAACCTTTCTTTTGATGCAGCAATTTGGAAGCACCCTTTTGGTAGAAACTGTAACTGGATATTTGGATAGCTCTAACGATTTCGTTGGAAACGGGAATATCATCATCTAAAATGTAGACAGAAGCACTATTAGAAACTACTTGGTGATATCTGCATTCAAGTCACAGAGTTGAACATTCCCTTACTTTGAGCACGTTTGAAACACTCTTTTGGAAGAATCTGGAAGTGGACATTTGGAGCGCTTTGATGCCTTTGGTGAAAAGGAAACGTCTTCCAATAAAAGCCACACAGAAGCATTCTCAGAAACTTGTTCGTGATGTGTGTACTCAACTAAAAGAGTTGAACCTTTCTATTGATAGAGCAGTTTTGAAACACTCTTTTTGTGGATTCTGCAAGTGGATATTTGGATTGCTTTGAGGATTTCGTTGGAAGCGGGAATTCGTATAAACACTAGACAGCAACATTCCCAGAAATTTCTTTCGGATATTTCCATTCAACTCATAGAGATGAACATGGCCTTTCATATTGAAACACTCTTTTTGTAGTTTGTGTAAGTGGACATTTCGATCGCCTTGATGCCTACGGTGAAAAAGGAAATATCTTCCCATAAAAAATTGACAGAAGCATTCTCAGAAAATTGTTGGTGATATGTGTCCTCAACTAACAGAGTTGAACTTTGCCATTGATAGAGAGCAGTTTTGAAACACTCTTTTTGTGGAATCTGCAAGTGGATATTTGGATAGCTTGGAGGATTTCGTTGGAAGCGGGAATTCAAATTAAAGGTAGACAGCAGCATTCTCAGAAATTTCTTTCTGATGTCTGCATTCAACTCATAGAGTTGAAGATTCCCTTTCATAGAGCAGGTTTGAAACACTCTTTCTGGAGTATCTGGATGTGGACATTTGGAGCGCTTTGATGCCTACGGTGAAAAAGTATAATCTTCCCATAAAAACGAGACAGAAGGATTCTGAGAAACAAGTTTGTGATGTGTGTACTCAGCTAACAGAGTGGAACCTCTCTTTTGATGCAGCAGTTTGGAAACACTCTTTTTGTAGAAACCGTAAGTGGATATTTGGATAGCTCTAATGATTTCGTTGGAAACGGGAATATCATCATCTAAAATCTAGACAGAAGCCCTCTCAGAAACTACTTTGTGATATCTGCATTCAAGTCAGAGAGTTGAACATTCGCTTTCTTAGAGCACGTTTGAAACACTCTTTTTGTAGTGTCAGGAAGTGGACATTTGGAGCGCTTTGATGCCTTTGGTGAAACAGGGAATGTCTTCCCATAAAAACTAGACAGAAGCATTCTCAGAAACTTGTTTGTGATGTGTGTACCCAGCTAAAGGAGTTGAACATTTCCATTGATAGAGCAGTTTTGAAACACTCTTTTTGTGGAAAATGCAAGTGGATATTTGGATAGCTTGGAGGATTTCATTGGAAGCGGGAATTCAAATAAAAGGTAGACAGGAGCATTCTCAGAAATTTCTTTCTGATGTCTGCATTCAACTCATAGAGTTGAAGATTCCCTTTCATAGAGCAGGTTTGAAACACTCGTTCTGGAGTATCTGGATGTGGACATTTGGAGCGCTTTGATGCCTACGGTGGAAAAGAAAATATCTTCCCATAAAAACGAGACAGAAGGATTCTCAGAAACAAGTTTGTGATGTGTGTACTCAGCTAACAGAGTGGATCCTTCCTTTTTACAGAGCAGCTTTGAAACTCTATTTCTGTGGATTCTGCAAATTGATATTTGGGTTGATTTAACGACATCGTTGGAAAAGGGAATATCTTCATACAAAATCTAGACAGAAGCATTCTCACAAACTTCTTTGTGACGTGTGTCCTCAACTAACAGAGTTGAACCTTTCTTTTGATGCAGCAGTTTGGAAACACTCTTTTTGTAGAAACTGTAAGTGGATATTTGGATAGCTCTAACGATTTCGTTGGAAACGGGAATATCATCATCTAAAATCTAGACAGAAGCACTATTAGAAACTACTTGGTGATATCTGCATTCAAGTCACAGAGTTGAACATTCCCTTACTTTGAGCACGTTTCAAACACTCTTTTGGAAGAATCTGGAAGTGGACATTTGGAGCGCTTTGATGCCTTTGGTGAAAAGGAAACGTCTTACAATAAAAGCCAGACAGAAGCATTCTGAGAAACTTGTTCGTGATGTGTGTACTCAACTAAAAGAGTTGAACCTTTCTATTGATAGGGCAGTTTTGAAACACTCTTTTTGTGGATTCTGCAAGTGGATATTTGGATTGCTTTGAGGATTTCGTTGGAAGCGGGAATTCGTATAAACACTAGACAGCAGCATTCCCAGAAATTTCTTTCGGATATTTCCATTCAACTCATAGAGATGAACATGGCCTTTCATAGAGCAGGTTTGAAACACTCTTTTTGTAGTTTGTGGAAGTGGACATTTCGATCGCCTTGACGCCTACGGTGAAAAAGGAAATATCTTCCCATAAAAAATAGACAGAAGCATTCTCAGAAACTTGTTGGTGATATGTGTCCTCAACTAACAGAGTTGAACTTTGCCATTGATAGAGAGCAGTTTTTGAAACACTCTTTTTGTGGAATCTGCAAGTGGATATTTGGATAGCTTGGAGGATTTCGTTGGAAGCGGGAATTCAAATAAAAGGTAGACAGCAGCATTCTCAGAAATTTCTTTCTGATGTCTGCATTCAACTCATAGAGTTGAAGATTCCCTTTCATAGAGCAGGTTTGAAACACTCCTTCTGGAGTATCTGGATGTGGACATTTGGAGCGCTTTGATGCCTACGGTGAAAAAGTAAATATCTTCCCAGAAAAACGAGACAGAAGGATTCTGAGAAACAAGTTTGTGATGTGTGTACTCAGCTAACAGAGTGGAACCTCTCTTTTGATGCAGCAGTTTGGAAACACTCTTTTTGTAGAAACTGTAAGTGGATATTTGGATAGATCTAATGATTTCGTTGGAAACGGGAATATCATCATCTAAAATCTAGACAGAAGCCCTCTCAGAAACTACTTTGTGATATCTGCATTCAAGTCACAGAGTTGAACATTCGGTTTCTTAGAGCACGTTGGAAACACTCCTTTTGTAGTGTCTGGAAGTGGACATTTGGAGCGCTTTGATGCCTTTGGTGAAAAAGGGAATGTCTTCCCATAAAAACTAGACAGAAGCATTCTCAGAAACTTGTTTGTGATGTGTGTACCCAGCTAAAGGAGTTGAACATTTCTATTGATAGAGCAGTTTTGAAACACTCTTTTTGTGGAAAATGCAAGTGGATATTTGGATAGCTTGGAGGATATCGTTGGAAGCGGGAATTCAATAAAAGGTAGACAGCAGCATTCTCAGAAATTTCTTTCTGATGTCTGCATTCAACTCATAGAGTTGAACATTCCCTTTCATAGAGCAGGTTTGAAACACTGTTTCTGGAGTATCTGGATGTGGACATTTGGAGCGCTTTGATGCCTACGGTGAAAAAGTAAATATCTTCCCATAAAAACGAGACAGAAGGATTCTGAGAGACAAGTTTGTGATGTGTGTACTCAGCTAACAGAGTGGAACCTTTCTTTTTACAGAGCAGCTTTGAAACTCTATTTTTGTGGATTCTGCAAATGCATATTTAGATTGCTTTAATGATATCGCTGGAAAAGGGAATATGGTCATACAAAATCTAGACAGAAGCTTTCTCACAAACTTCTTTGTGATGTGTGTCCTCAACTAACAGAGTTGAACCTTTCTTTTGATGCAGCAGTTTGGAAACACTCTTTTTGTAGAAACTGTAAGTGGATATTTGGATAGCTATAACGATTTCGTTGGAAACGGGAATATCATCATCTAAAATCTAGACAGAAGCACTATTAGAAACTACCTGGTGATATCTGCATTCAAGTCACAGAGTAGAACATTCCCTTACTTCGAGCACGTTTGAAACACTCTTTTGGAAGAATCTGGAAGTGGACATTTGGAGCGCTTTGATGCCTTTGGTGAAAAGGAAACGTCTTCCAATAAAAGCCAGACAGAAGCATTCTCAGAAACTTGTTGGTGATGTGTGTACTCAACTAAAAGAGTTGAACCTTTCTATTGATAGAGCAGTTTTGAAACACTCTTTTTGTGGATTCTGCAAGTGGATATTTGGATTGCTTTGAGGATTTCGTTGGAAGCGGGAATTCGTATAAACACTAGACAGCAGCATTCCCAGAAATTTCTTTCGGATATTTCCATTCAACTCATAGAGATGAACATGGCCTTTCATAGAGCAGGTTTGAAACACTCTTTTTGTAGTTTGTGGAAGTGGACATTTCGATCGCCTTGACGCCTACGGTGAAAAAGGAAATATCTTCCCATAAAAAATAGACAGAAGCATTCTCAGAAACTTGTTGGTGATATGTGTCCTCAACTAACAGACTTGAACTTTGCCATTGATAGAGAGCAGTTTTGAAACACTCTTTTTGTGGAATCTGCAAGTGGATATTTGGATAGCTTGGAGGATTTCGTTGGAAGCGGGAATTCAAATAAAAGGTAGACAGCAGCATTCTCAGAAATTTCCTTCTGATGTTTGCATTCAACTCATAGAGTTGAACATTCCCTTTCATAGAGCAGGTTTGAGACACTCTTTCTGTATTATCTGGAAGTGGACATTTGGAAAGCTTTGATGCCTACGGTGAAAAAGTAAATATCTTCCCATAAAAGCTAGACAGAAGGATTCTGAGAAACAAGTTTGTGATGTGTGTACTCAGCTAACAGAGTGGAACCTCTGTTTTGATGCAGCAGTTTGGAAACACTCTTTTTGTAGAAACTGTAAGTGGATATTTGGATAGCTGCTAATGATTTCGTTGGAAACGGGAATATCATCATCTAAAATCTAGACAGAAGCCCTCTCAGAAACTACTTTGTGATATCTGCATTCAAGTCACAGAGTTGAACATTCGCTTTCTTAGAGCACGTTGGAAACACTCTTTTTGTAGTGTCTGGAAGTGGACATTTGGAGCGCTTTGATGCCTTTGGTGAAAAAGGGAATGTCTACCCATAAAAACTAGACAGAAGCATTCTCAGAAACTTGTTTGTGATGTGTCTACCCAGCTAAAGGAGTTGAACATTTCTATTGATAGAGCAGTTTTGAAACACTCTTTTTGTGGAAAATGCAAGTGGATATTTGGATAGCTTGGAGGATTTCGTTGGAAGAGGGAATTCAAATAAAAGGTAGACAGCAGCATTCTCAGAAATTTCTTTCTGATGTCTGCATTCAACTCATAGAGTTGAAGATTCCCTTTCATAGAGCAGGTTTGAAACACTCTTTCTGGAGTATCTGGATGTGGACATTTGGAGCGCTTTGATGCCTACGGTGAAAAAGTAAATATCTTCCCATAAAAACGAGACAGAAGGATTCTCAGAAACAAGTTTGTGATGTGTGTACTCAGCTAACAGAGTGGAACCTTTATTTTTACAGAGCAGCTTTGAAACTCTATTTTTGTGGATTCTGCAAATTGATATTTAGATTGCTTTAACGATATCGTTGGAAAAGGGAATATCGTCATACAAAATCTAGACAGAAGCATTCTCACAAACTTCTTTGTGATGTGTGTCCTCAACTAACAGAGTTGAACCTTTCTTTTGATGCAGCAATTTGGAAACACCCTTTTGGTAGAAACTGTAACTGGATATTTGGATAGCTCTAACGATTTCGTTGGAAACGGGAATATCATCATCTAAAATGTAGACAGAAGCACTATTAGAAACTACTTGGTGATATCTGCATTCAAGTCACAGAGTTGAACATTCCCTTACTTTGAGCACGTTTCAAACACTCTTTTGGAAGAATCTGGAAGTGGACATTTGGAGCGCTTTGATGCCTTTGGTGAAAAGGAAACGTCTTCCAATAAAAGCCAGACAGAAGCATTCTCAGAAACTTGTTTGTGATGTGTGTACTCAACTAAAAGAGTTGAACCTTTCTATTGATAGAGCAGTTTTGAAACACTCTTTTTGTGGATTCTGCAAGTGGATATTTGGATTGCTTTGAGGATTTCGTTGGAAGCGGGAATTCGTATAAAAACTAGACAGCAGCATTCCCAGAAATTTCTTTCGGATATTTCCATTCAACTCATAGAGATGAACATGGCCTTTCATAGAGCAGGTTTGAAACACTCTTTTTGTAGTTTGTGGAAGTGGACATTTCGATCGCCTTGACGCCTACGGTGAAAACGGAAATATCTTCCCATAAAAAATAGACAGAAAGCATTCTCAGAAAACTTGTTGGTGATATGTGTCCTCAACTAACAGAGTTGAACTTTGCCATTGATAGAGAGCAGTTTTGAAACACTCTTTTTGTGGAATCTGCAAGTGGATATTTGGATAGCTTGGAGGATTTCGTTGGAAGCGGGAATTCAAATAAAAGGTAGACAGCAGCATTCTCAGAAATTTCTTTCTGATGTCTGAATTTAACTCATAGAGTTGAAGATTCCCTTTCATAGAGCAGGTTTGAAACACTCTTTCTGGAGTATCTGGATGTGGACATTTGGAGCGCTTTGATGCCTACGGTGAAAAAGTAAATATCTTCCCATAAAAAAGAGACAGAAGGATTCTGAGAAACAAGTTTGTGATGTGTGTACTCAGCTAACAGAGTGGAACCTCTCTTTTGATGCAGCAGTTTGGAAACACTCTTTTTGTAGAAACTGTAAGTGGATATTTGGATAGCTCTAATGATTTCGTTGGAAACGGGAATATCATCATCTAAAATCTAGACAGAAGCCCTCTCAGAAACTACTTTGTGATATCTGCATTCAAGTCACAGAGTTGAACATTCGCTTTCTTAGGGCACGTTGGAAACACTCTTTTTGTAGTGTCTGGAAGTGGACATTTGGAGCGCTTTGATGCCTTTGGTGAAAAAGGGAATGTCTTCCCATAAAAACTAGACAGAAGCATTCTCAGAAACTTGTTTGTGATGTGTGTACCCAGCTAAAGGAGTTGAACATTTCCATTGATAGAGCAGTTTTGAAACACTCTTTTTGTGGAAAATGCAAGTGGATATTTGGATAGCTTGGAGGATTTCGTTGGAAGCGGGAATTCAAATAAAAGGTAGACAGCAGCATTCTCAGAAATTTCTTTCTGATGTCTGCATTCAACTCATAGAGTTGAAGATTCCCTTTCATAGAGCAGGTTTGAAACACTCTTTCTGGAGTATCTGGATGTGGACATTTGGAGCGCTTTGATGCCTACGGTGGAAAAAGTAAATATCTTCCCATAAAAACGAGACAGAAGGATTCTGAGAAACAAGTTTGTGATGTGTGTACTCAGCTAACAGAGTGGAACCTCTCTTTTGATGCAGCAGTTTGGAAACACTCTTTTTGTAGAAACTGTAAGTGGATATTTGGATAGCTCTAATGATTTCGTTGGAAACGGGAATATCATCATCTAAAATCTAGACAGAAGCACTCTCAGAAACTACTTTTTGATATCTGCATTCAAGTCACAGAGTTGAACATTCGCTTTCTTAGAGCACTTTTGAAACACTCTTTTTGTAGTATCTGGAAGTGGACATTTGGAGCTCTTTGATGCCTTTGGTGAAAAAGGAAATGTCTTCCCATAAAAACTAGACAGAAGCTTTCTCAGAAACTTGTTTGTGATGTGTGTACCCAGCGAAAGGAGTTGAACATTTCTATTGATAGAGAAGTTTTGAAACACTCTTTTTGTGGAATCTGCAAGTGGATATTTGGATAGCTTGGAGGTTTTCGTTGGAAGCGGGAATTCAAATAAAAGGTAGACAGCAGCATTCTCAGAAATTTCTTTCTGATGTCTGCATTCAACTCATAGAGTTGAAGATTCCCTTTCATAGAGCAGGTTTGAAACACTCGTTCTGGAGTATCTGGATGTGGACATTTGGAGCGCTTTGATGCCTACAGTGGAAAAGTAAATATCTTCCCATAAAAACGAGACAGAAGGATTCTCAGAATCAAGTTTGTGATGTGTGTACTCAGCTAACAGAGTGGAACCTTTCTTTTTACAGAGCAGCTTTGAAACTCTATTTTTGTGGATTCTGCAAATTGATATTTAGATTGCTTTAACGATATCGTTGGAAAAGGGAATATCGTCATACAAAATCTAGACAGAAGCATTCTCACAAACTTCTTTGTGATGTGTGTCCTCAACTAACAGAGTTGAACCTTTCTTTTGATGCAGCAATTTGGAAACACCCTTTTGGTAGAAACTGTAACTGGATATTTGGATAGCTCTAACGATTTCGTTGGAAACGGGAATATCATCATCTAAAATCTAGACAGAAGCACTATTAGAAACTACCTGGTGATATCTGCATTCAAGTCACAGAGTAGAACATTCCCTTACTTCGAGCACGTTTGAAACACTCTTTTGGAAGAATCTGGAAGTGGACATTTGGAGCGCTTTGATGCCTTTGGTGAAAAAGGAAACGTCTTCTAATAAAAACCAGACAGAAGCATTCTCAGAAACTTGTTTGTGATGTGTGTACTCAACTAAAAGAGTTGAACCTTTCTATTGATAGAGCAGTTTTGAAACACTCTTTTTGTGGATTCTGCAAGTGGATATTTGGATTGCTTTGAGGATTTCGTTGGAAGCGGGAATTCGTATAAACACTAGACAGCAGAATTCCCAGAAATTTCTTTCGGATATTTCCATTCAACTCATAGAGATGAACATGGCCTTTCATAGAGCAGGTTTGAAACACTCTTTTTGTAGTTTGTGGAAGTGGACATTTCGATCGCCTTGACACCTACGCTGAAAAAGGAAATATCTTCCCATAAAAAATAGACAGAAGCATTCTCAGAAACTTGTTGGTGATATGTGTCCTCAACTAACAGAGTTGAACTTTGCCATTGATAGAGAGCAGTTTTCAAACACTCTTTTTGTGGAATCTGCAAGTGGATATTTGGATAGCTTGGAGGATTTCGTTGGAAGCGGGAATTCAAATAAAAGGTAGACAGCAGCATTCTCAGAAATTTCTTTCTGATGTCTGCATTCAACTCATAGAGTTGAAGATTCCCTTTCATAGAGCAGGTTTGAAACACTCTTTCTGGAGTATCTGGATGTGGACATTTGGAGCGCTTTGATGCCTACGGTGGAAAAGTAAATATCTTCCCATAAAAACGAGACAGAAGGATTCTGAGAAACAAGTTTGTGATGTGTGTACTCAGCTAACAGAGTGGAACCTCTCTTTTGATGCAGCAGTTTGGAAACATTCTTTTTGTAGAAACTGTAAGTGGATATTTGGATAGCTCTAATGATTTCGTTGGAAACGGGAATATCATCATCTAAAATCTAGACAGAAGCACTCTCAGAAACTACTTTGTGATATCTGCATTCAAGTCACAGAGTTGAACATTCGCTTTCTTAGAGCACGTTGGAAACACTCTTTTTGTAGTGTCTGGAAGTGGACATTTGGAGCGCTTTGATGCCTTTGGTGAAAAAGGGAACGTCTTCCCATAAAAACTAGACAGAAGCATTCTCAGAAACTTGTTTGTGATGTGTGTACCCAGCCAAAGGAGTTGAACATTTCTATTGATAGAGCAGTTTTGAAACACTCTTTTTGTGGAAAATGCAAGTGGATATTTGGATAGCTTGGAGGATTTCGTTGGAAGCGGGAATTCAAATAAAAGGTAGACAGCAGCATTCTCAGAAATTTCTTTCTGATGTCTGCATTCAACTCATAGAGTTGAAGATTCCCTTTCATAGAGCAGGTTTGAAACACTCGTTCTCGAGTATCCGGATGTGGACATTTGGAGCGCTTTGATGCCTACGGTGGAAAAGTAAATATCTTCCCATAAAAACGAGACAGAAGGATTCTCAGAAACAAGTTTGTGATGTGTGTACTCAGCTAACAGAGTGGAACCTTTCTTTTTACAGAGCAGCTTTGAAACTCTATTTTTGTGGATTCTGCAAATTGATATTTAGATTGCTTTAACGATATCGTTGGAAAAGGGAATATTGTCATACAAAATCTGGACAGAAGCATTCTCACAAACTTCTTTGTGATGTGTGTCCTCAACTAACAGAGTTGAACCTTTCTTTTGATGCAGCAATTTGGAAACACCCTTTTGGTAGAAACTGTAACTGGATATTTGGATAGCTCTAACGATTTCGTTGGAAACGGGAATATCATCATCTAAAATGTAGACAGAAGCACTATTAGAAACTACTTGGTGATATCTGCATTCAAGTCACAGAGTTGAACATTCCCTTACTTCGACCACGTTTGAAACACTCTTTTGGAAGAATCTGGAAGTGGACATTTGGAGCGCTTTGATGCCTTTGGTGAAAAGGAAACGTCTTCCAATAAAAGCCAGACAGAAGCATTCTCAGAAACTTGTTCGTGTTGTGTGTACTCAACTAAAAGAGTTGAACCTTTCTATTGATAGAGCAGTTTTGAAACCCTCTTTTTGTGGATTCTGCAAGTGGATATTTGGATTGCTTTGAGGATTTCGTTGGAAGCGGGAATTCGTATAAACACTAGACAGCAGCATTCCCAGAAATTTCTTTCGGATATTTCCATTCAACTCATAGAGATGAACATGGCCTTTCATAGAGCAGGTTTGAAACACTCTTTTTGTAGTTTGTGGAAGTGGACATTTCGATCGCCTTGACGCCTACGGTGAAAAAGGAAATATCTTCCCATAAAAAATAGACAGAAGCATTCTCAGAAACTTGTTGGTGATATGTGTCCTCAACTAACAGAGTTGAACTTTGCCATTGATAGAGAGCAGTTTTGAAACACTCTTTTTGTGGAATCTGCAAGTGGATATTTGGATAGCTTGGAGGAGTTCGTTGGAAGCGGAAATTCAAATAAAAGGTAGACAGCAGGATTCTCAGAAACAAGTTTGTGATGTGTGTACTCAGCTAACAGAGTGGAACCTCTCTTTTGATCCAGCAGTTTGGAAACACTCTTTTTGTAGAAACTGTAAGTGGATATTTGGATAGCTCTAATGATTTCGTTGGAAACGGGAATATCATCATCTAAAATCTAGACAGAAGCCCTCTCAGAAACTACTTTGTGATATCTGCATTCAAGTCACAGAGTTGAACATTCGCTTTCTTAGAGCACGTTTGAAACACTCTTTTTGTAGTGTCTGGAAGTGGACATTTGGAGCGCTTTGATTCCTTTGGTGAAAAAGGGAATGTCTTCCCATAAAAACTAGACAGAAACATTCTCAGAGACTTGTTTGTGATGTGTGTACCCAGCCAAAGGAGTTGAACATTTCTATTGATAGAGCAGTTTTGAAACACTCTTGTTGTGGAAAATGCAGGTGGATATTTGGATAGCTTGGAGGATTTCGTTGGAAGCGGGAATTCAAATAAAAGGTAGACAGCAGCATTCTCAGAAATTTCTTTCTGATGTCTGCATTCAACTCATAGAGTTGAAGATTCCCTTTCATAGAGCAGGTTTGAAACACTCTTTCTGGAGTATCTGGATGTGGACATTTGGAGCGCTTTGATGCCTACGTTGGAAAAGTAAATATCTTCCCATAAAAACGAGACAGAAGGATTCTCAGAAACAAGTTTCTGATGTGTGTACTCAGCTAACAGAGTGGAACCTTTCTTTTTACAGAGCAGCTTTGAAACTCTATTTTTGTGGATTCTGCAAATTGATATTTAGATTGCTTTAACGATATCGTTGGAAAAGGGAATATCGTCATACAAAATCTGGACAGAAGCATTCTCACAAACTTCTTTGTGATGTGTGTCCTCAACTAACAGAGTTGAAACTTTCTTTTGATGCAGCAGTTTGGAAACACTCTTTTTGTAGAAACTGTAAGTGGATATTTGGATAGCTCTAATGATTTCGTTGGAAACGGGAATATCATCATCTAAAATCTAGACAGAAGCACTATTAGAAACTACTTGGTGATATCTGCATTCAAGTCACAGAGTTGAACATTCCCTTACTTTGAGCACGTTTGAAACACTCTTTTGGAAAAATCTGGAAGTGGACATTTGGAGCGCTTTGATGCCTTTGGTGAAAAGGAAACGTCTTCCAATAAAAGCCAGACAAAAGCATTCTCAGAAACTTGTTCGTGATGTGTGTACTCAACTAAAAGAGTTGAACCTTTCTATTGATAGAGCAGTTTTGAAACACTCTTTTTGTGGATTCTGCAAGTGGATATTTGGATTGCTTTGAGGATTTCGTTGGAAGCGGGAATTCGTATAAACACTAGACAGCAGCATTCCCAGAAATTTCTTTCGGATATTTCCATTCAACTCATAGAGATGAACATGGCCTTTCATAGAGCAGGTTTGAAACACTCATTTTGTAGTTTCTGGAAGTGGACATTTCGATCGCCTTGACGCCTACGGTGAAAAAGGAAATATCTTCCCATAAAAAATAGACAGAAGCATTCTCAGAAACTTGTTGGTGATATGTGTCCTCAACTAACAGAGTTGAACTTTGCCATTGATAGAGAGCAGTTTTGAAACACTCTTTTTGTGGAATCTGCAAGTGGATATTTGGATAGCTTGGAGGATTTCGTTGGAAGCGGGAATTCAAATAAAAGGTAGACAGCAGCATTCTCAGAAATTCCTTTCTGATGTTTGCATTCAACTCATAGAGTTGAACATTCCCTTTAATAGAGCAGGTTTGAAACACTCTTTCTGTACTATCTGGATGTGGACATTTGGAGCGCTTTGATGCCTACGGTGAAAAAGGAAATGTCTTCCCATAAAAAATTGAAGAAGGATTCTCAGAAACAAGTTTGTGATGTGCGTACTCAGCTAACAGAGTGGAACCTCTCTTCTGATGCAGCAGTTTGGAAACACTCTTTTTGTAGAAACTGTAAGTGGATATTTGGATAGCTCTAATGATTTCGTTGGAAACGGGAATATCATCATCTAAAATCTAGACAGAAGCCCTCTCAGAAACTACTTTGTGATATCTGCATTCAAGTCACAGGAGTTGAACATTCGCTTTCTTAGAGCACGTTTGAAACACTCTTTTTGTAGTGTCTGGAAGTGGACATTTGGAGCGCTTTGATGCCTTTGGTGAAAAAGGGAACGTCTTCCCATAAAAACTAGACAGAAGCATTCTCAGAAACTTGTTTGTGATGTGTGCACCCAGCTAAAGGAGTTGAACATTTATTGATAGAGCAGTTTTGAAGCACTCTTTTTGTGGAAAATGCAAGTGGATATTTGGATAGCTTGGAGGATTTCGTTGGAAGTGGGAGTTCAAATAAAAGGTAGACAGCAGCATTCTCAGAAATTTCTTTCTGATGTCTGCATTCAACTCATAGAGTTGAAGATTCCCTTTCATAGAGCAGGTTTGAAACACTCTTTCTGCAGTATCTGGATGTGGACATTTGGAGCGCTTTGATGCCTACGGTGAAAAAGTAAATATCTTCCCATAAAAACGAGACAGAAGGATTCTCAGAAACAAGTTTGTGATGTGTGTACTCAGCTAACAGAGTGGAACCTTTCTTTTTACAGAGCAGCTTTGAAACTCTATTTTTGTGGATTCTGCAAATGGATATTTAGATTGCTTTAATGATATCGCTGGAAAAGGGAATATGGTCATACAAAATATAGACAGATAAGCATTCTCACAAACTTCTTTGTGATGTGTGTCCTCAACTAACAGAGTTGAACCTTTCTTTTGATGCAGCAATTTGGAAACACCCTTTTGGTAGAAACTGTAACTGGATATTTGGATAGCTCTAACGATTTCGTTGGAAACGGGAATATCATCATCTAAAATGTAGACAGAAGCACTATTAGAAACTACTTGGTGATATCTGCATTCAAGTCACAGAGTAGAACATTCCCTTACTTCGAGCACTTTTGAAACACTCTTTTGGAAGAATCTGGAAGTGGACATTTGGAGCGCTTTGATGCCTTTGGTGAAAAGGAAACGTCTTCCAATAAAAGCCAGACAGAAGCATTCTCAGAAACTTGTTTGTGATGTGTGTACTCAACTAAAAGAGTTGAACCTTTCTATTGATAGAGCAGTTTTGAAACACTCTTTTTGTGGATTCTGCAAGTGGATATTTGGATTGCTTTGAGGATTTCGTTGGAAGCGGGAATTCGTATAAACACTAGACAGCAGCATTCCCAGAAATTTCTTTCGGATATATCCATTCAACTCATAGAGATGAACATGGCCTTTCATAGAGCAGGTTTGCAACACTCTTTTTGTAGTTTGTGGAAGTGGACATTTCGATCGCCTTGACGCCTACGGTGAAAAAGGAAATATCTTCCCATAAAAAATAGACAGAAGCATTCTCAAAAACTTGTTGGTGATATGTGTCCTCAACTAACAGAGTTGAACTTTGCCATTGATAGAGAGCAGTTTTGAAACACTCTTTTTGTGGAATCTGCAAGTGGATATTTGGATAGCTTGAAGGATTTCGTTGGAAGCGGGAATTCAAATAAAAGGTAGACAGCAGCATTCTCAGTAAATTTCTTTCTGATGTCTGCATTCAACTCATAGAGTTGAAGATTCCCTTTCATAGAGCAGGTTTGAAACACTCTTTCTGGAGTATCTGGATGTGGACATTTGGAGCGCTTTGATGCCTACGGTGAAAAAGTAAATATCTTCCCAGAAAAACGAGACAGAAGGATTCTGAGAAACAAGTTTGTGATGTGTGTACTCAGCTAACAGAGTGGAACCTCTCTTTTGATGCAGCAGTTTGGAAACACTCTTTTTGTAGAAACTGTAAGTGGATATTTGGATAGCTCTAATGATTTCGTTGGAAACGGGAATATCATCATCTAAAATCTAGACAGAAGCCCTCTCAGAAACTACTTTGTGATATCTGAATTCAAGTCACAGAGTTGAACATTCGCTTTCTTAGAGCACGTTGGAAACACTCTTTTTGTAGTGTCTGGAAGTGGACATTTGGAGCGCTTTGATGCCTTTGGTGAAAAAGGGAATGTCTTCCCATAAAAACTAGACAGAAGCATTCTCAGAAACTTGTTTGTGATGTGTGTACCCAGCCAAAGGAGATGAACATTTCTATTGATAGAGCAGTTTTGAAACTCTCTTTTTGTGGAAAATGCAGGTGGATATTTGGATAGCTTGGAGGATTTCGTTGGAAGCGGGAATTCAAATAAAAGGTAGACAGCAGCATTCTCAGAAATTTCTTTCTGATTCTGCATTCAACTCATAGAGTTGAAGATTCCCTTTCATAGAGCAGGTTTGAAACACTCGTTCTGGAGTATCTGGATGTGGACATTTGGAGCGCTTTGATGCCTACAGTGGAAAAGTAAATATCTTCCCATAAAAACGAGACAGAAGGATTCTCAGAAACAAGTTTGTGATGTGTGTACTCAGCTAACAGAGTGGAACCTTTCTTTTTACAGAGCAGCTTTGAAACTCTAGTTTTGTGGATTCTGCAAATTGATATTTAGATTGCTTTAACGATATCGTTGGAAAAGGGAATATCCTCATACAAAATCTAGACAGAAGCATTCTCACAAACTTCTTTGTGATGTGTGTCCTCAACTAACAGAGTTGAACCTTTCTTTTGATGCAGCAATTTGGAAACACCCTTTTGGTAGAAACTGTAACTGGATATTTGGATAGCTCTAACGATTTCGTTGGAAACGGGAATATCATCATCTAAAATCTAGACAGAAGCACTATTAGAAACTACTTGGTGATATCTGCATTCAAATCACAGAGTAGAACATTCCCTTACTTCGAGCACGTTTGAAACACTCTTTTGGAAGAATCTGAAAGTGGACATTTGGAGCGCTTTGATGCCTTTGGTGAAAAGGAAACGTCTTCCAATAAAAGCCAGACAGAAGCATTCTCAGAAACTTGTTTGTGATGTGTGTACTCAACTAAAAGAGTTGAACCTTTCTATTGATAGAGCAGTTTTGAAACACTCTTTTTGTGGATTCTGCAAGTGGATATTTGGATTGCTTTGAGGATTTCGTTGGAAGCGGGAATTCGTATAAAAACTAGACAGCAGCATTCCCAGAAATTTCTTTCGGATATTTCCATTCGACTCATAGAGATGAACATGGCCTTTCATAGAGCAGGTTTGAAACACTCTTTTTGTAGTTTGTGGAAGTGGACATTTCGATCGCCTTGACGCCTACGGTGAAAAAGGAAATATCTTCCCATAAAAAATAGACAGAAGCATTCTCAGAAACTTGTTGGTGATAGGTGTCCTCAACTAACAGAGTTGAACTTTGCCATTGATAGAGAGCAGTTTTGAAACACTCTTTTTGTGGAATCTGCAAGTGGATATTTGGATAGCTTGGAGGATTTCGTTGGAAGCGGGAATTCAAATAAAAGGTAGACAGCAGCATTCTCAGAAATTTCTTTCTGATGTCTGCATTCAACTCATAGAGTTGAACATTCCCTTTCATAGAGCAGGTTTGAAACACTCTTTCTGGAGTATCTGGATGTGGACATTTGGAGCGCTTTGATGCCTACGGTGAAAAAGTATAATCTTCCCATAAAAACGAGACAGAAGGATTCTGAGAAACAAGTTTGTGATGTGTGTACTCAGCTAACAGAGTGGAACCTCTCTTTTGATGCAGCAGTTTGGAAACACTCTTTTTGTAGAAACTGTAAGTGGATATTTGGATAGCTCTAATGATTTCGTTGGAAACGGGAATATCATCATCTAAAATCTAGACAGAAGCCCTCTCAGAAACTACTTTGTGATATCTGCATTCAACTCACAGAGTTGAACATTCGGTTTCTTAGAGCACGTTTGAAACACTCTTTTTGTAGTGTCTGGAAGTGGACATTTGGAGCGCTTTGATGCCTTTGGTGAAAAAGGGAATGTCTTCCCATAAAAACTAGACAGAAGCATTCTCAGAAACTTGTTTGTGATGTGTGTACCCAGCCAAAGGAGTTGAACATTTCTATTGATAGAGCAGTTTTGAAACACTCTTGTTGTGGAAAATGCAGGTGGATATTTGGATAGCTTGGAGGATTTCGTTGGAAGCGGGAATTCAAATTAAAGGTAGACAGCAGCATTCTCAGAAATTTCTTTCTGATGTCTGCATTCAACTCATAGAGTTGAAGATTCCCTTTCATAGAGCAGGTTTGAAACACACTTTCTGGAGTATCTGGATGTGGACATTTGGAGCGCTTTGATGCCTACGGTGAAAAAGTAAATATCTTCCCATAAAAACGAGACAGAAGGATTCTGAGAAACAAGTTTGTGATGTGTGTACTCAGCTAACAGAGTGGAACCTCTGTTTTGATGCAGCAGTTTGGAAACACTCTTTTTGTAGAAACTGTAAGTGGATATTTGGATAGCTCTAATGATTTCGTTGGAAACGGGAATATCATCATCTAAAATCTAGACAGAAGCACTCTCAGAAACTACTTTGTGATATCTGCATTCAAGTCACAGAGTTGAACATTCGCTTTCTTAGAGCACGTTTGAAACACTGTTTTTGTAGTGTCTGGAAGTGGACATTTGGAGCGCTTTGATGCCTTTGGTGAAAAAGGGAACGTCTTCCCATAAAAACTAGACAGAAGCATTCTCAGAAACTTGTTTGTGATGTGTGCACCCAGCTAAAGGAGTTGAACATTTATTGATAGAGCAGTTTTGAAGCACTTTTTTTGTGGAAAATGCAAGTGGATATTTGGATAGCTTGGAGGATTTCGTTGGAAGCGGGAGTTCAAATAAAAGGTAGACAGCAGCATTCTCAGAAATTTCTTTCTGATGTCTGCATTCAACTCATAGAGTTGAAGATTCCCTTTCATAGAGCAGGTTTGAAACACTCTTTCTGGAGTATCTGGATGTGGACATTTGGAGCGCTTTGATGCCTACGGTGAAAAAGTAAATATCTTCCCATAAAAACGAGACAGAAGGATTCTGAGAAACAAGTTTGTGATGTGTGTACTCAGCTAACAGAGTGGAACCTTTCTTTTTACAGAGCAGCTTTGAAACTCTATTTTTGTGGATTCTGCAAATGGATATTTAGATTGCTTTAATGATATCGTTGGAAAAGGGAATATCGTCATACAAAATCTAGACAGAAGCATTCTCACAAACTTCTTTGTGATGTGTGTCCTCAACTAACAGAGTTGAACCTTTCTTTTGATGCAGCAGTTTGGAAACACTCTTTTTGTAGCAACTGTAAGTGGATATTTGGATAGCTCTAACGATTTCGTTGGAAACGGGAATATCATCATCTAAAATCTAGACAGAAGCACTATTAGAAACTACTTGGTGATATCTGCATTCAAGTCACAGAGTTGAACATTCCCTTACTTTGAGCACGTTTGAAACACTCTTTTGGAAGAATCTGGAAGTGGACATTTGGAGCGCTTTGATGCCTTTGGTGAAAAGGAAACGTCTCCCAACAAAAGCCAGACAGAAGCATTCTCAGAAACTTGTTTGTGATGTGTGTACTCAACTAAAAGAGTTGAACCTTTCTATTGATAGAGCAGTTTTGAAACACTCTTTTTGTGGATTCTGCAAGTGGATATTTGGATTGCTTTGAGGATTTCGTTGGAAGCGGGAATTCATATAACAACTAGACAGCAGCATTCCCAGAAATTTCTTTCGGATATTTCCATTCAACTCATAGAGATGAACATGGCCTTTCATAGAGCAGGTTTGAAACACTCTTTTTGTAGTTTGTGGAAGTGGACATTTCGATCGCCTTGACGCCTACGGTGAAAAAGGAAGTATCTTCCCATAAAAAATAGACAGAAGAATTCTCAGAAACTTGTTTGTGATGTGTATCCTCAACTGACAGAGTTGAACCTTGCCATTGATAGATCAGTTTTGAAACACTCTTTTTGTGGAATCTGCAAGTGGATATTTGGATAGC
The DNA here is from genome assembly GCF_000001405.40 of Homo sapiens. Lineage (NCBI taxonomy): Eukaryota > Metazoa > Chordata > Mammalia > Primates > Hominidae > Homo > Homo sapiens. Next base: position 12,596,415 of record NC_000021.9, read on the forward strand.
CTGGAGGATTTCGTTGGAAGCGGGAATTCAAATAAAAGGTAGACAGCAGCATTCTCAGAAATTTCTTTGTGATGTTTGCATTCAACTCATAGAGTTGAACATTCCCTTTCATATAGCAGGTTTGAAACACTCTTTCTGTACTATCTGGATGTGGACATTTGGAAAGCTTTGATGCCTACGGTGAAAAAGTAAATATCTTCCCATAAAAGCTAGACAGAAGGATTCTCGGAAACAAGTTTGTGATGTGTGTACTCAGCTAACAGAGTGGAACCTCTCTTCTGATGCAGCAGTTTGGAAACACTCTTTTTGTAGAAACTGTAAGTGGATATTTGGATAGCTCTAATGATTTCGTTGGAAACGGGAATATCATCATCTAAAATCTAGACAGAAGCCCTCTCAGAAACTACTTTGTGATATCTGCATTCAAGTCACAGAGTTGAACATTCGCTTTCTTAGAGCACGTTTGAAACACTCTTTTTGTAGTGTCTGGAAGTGGACATTTGGAGCGCTTTGATGCCTTTGGTGAAAAAGGCAATGTCTTCCCATAAAAACTAGACAGAAGCATTCTCAGAAACTTGTTTGTGATGTGTGTACCCAGCCAAAGGAGTTGAACATTTCTATTGATAGAGCAGTTTTGAAACACTCTTGTTGTGGAAAATGCAGGTGGATATTTGGATAGCTTGGAGGATTTCGTTGGAAGTGGGAATTCAAATAAAAGGTAGACAGCAGGATTCTGAGAGACAAGTTTGTGATGTGTGTACTCAGCTAACAGAGTGGAACCTTTCTTTTTACAGAGCAGCTTTGAAACTCTATTTTTGTGGATTCTGCAAATGGATATTTAGATTGCTTTAATGATATCGCTGGAAAAGGGAATATGGTCATACAAAATCTAGACAGAAGCATTCTCACAAACTTCTTTGTGATGTGTGTCCTCAACTAACAGAGTTGAACCTTTCTTTTGATGCAGCAATTTGGAAACACCCTTTTGGTAGAAACTGTAACTGGATATTTGGATAGCTCTAGCGATTTCGTTGGAAACGGGAATATCATCATCTAAAATCTAGACATAAGCACTATTAGAAACTACTTGGTGATATCTGCATTCAAGTCACAGAGTTGAACATTCCCTTACTTTGAGCACGTTTCAAACACTCTTTTGGAAGAATCTGGAAGTGGACATTTGGAGCGCTTTGATGCCTTTGGTGAAAAGGAAACATCTTCCAATAAAAGCCAGACAGAAGCATTCTCAGAAACTTGTTTGTGATGTGTGTACTCAACTAAAAGAGTTGAACCTTTCTATTGATAGAGCAGTTTTGAAACACTCTTTTTGTGGATTCTGCAAGTGGATATTTGGATTGCTTTGAGGATTTCGTTGGAAGCGGGAATTCGTATAAAAACTAGACAGCAGCATTCCCAGAAATTTCTTTCGGATATTTCCATTCAACTCATAGAGATGAACATGGCCTTTCATAGAGCAGGTTTGAAACACTCTTTTTGTAGTTTGTGGAAGTGGACATTTCGATCGCCTTGATGCCTACAGTGAAAAAGGAAATATCTTCCCATAAAAAATAGACAGAAGCATTCTCAGAAACTTGTTGGTGATATGTGTCCTCAACTAACAGAGTTGAACTTTGCCATTGATAGAGAGCAGTTTTGAAACACTCTTTTTGTGGAATCTGCAAGTGGATATTTGGATAGCTTGGAGGATTTCGTTGGAAGCGGGAATTCAAATAAAAGGTAGACAGCAGCATTCTCAGAAATTTCTTTCTGATGTCTGCATTCAACTCATAGAGTTGAAGATTCCCTTTCATAGAGCAGGTTTGAAACACTCTTTCTGGAGTATCTGGATGTGGACATTTGGAGCGCTTTGATGCCTACGGTGCAAAAGTAAATATCTTCCCATAAAAACGAGACAGAAGGATTCTGAGAAACAAGTTTGTGATGTGTGTACTCAGCTAACAGATTGGAACCTCTCCTTTGATGCAGCAGTTTGGAAACACTCTTTTTGTAGAAACTGTAAGTGGATATTTGGATAGCTCTAATGATTTCGTTGGAAACGAGAATATCATCATCTAAAATCTAGACAGAAGCCCTCTCAGAAACTACTTTGTGATATCTGCATTCAAGTCACAGAGTTGAACATTCGCTTTCTTAGAGCACGTTTGAAACACTCTTTTTGTAGTGTCTGGAAGTGGACATTTGGAGCGCTTTGATGCCTTTGGTGAAAAAGGGAATGTCTTCCCATAAAAACTAGACAGAAGCATTCTCAGAAACTTGTTTGTGATGTGTGCACCCAGCTAAAGGAGTTGAACATTTATTGATAGAGCAGTTTTGAAGCACTCTTTTTGTGGAAAATGCAAGTGGATATTTGGATAGCTTGGAGGATTTCGTTGGAAGCGGGAGTTCAAATAAAAGGTAGACAGCAAGCATTCTCAGAAATTTCTTTCTGATGTCTGCATTCAACTCATAGAGTTGAAGATTCCCTTTCATAGAGCAGGTTTGAAACACTCTTTCTGGAGTATCTGGATGTGGACATTTGGAGCGCTTTGATTCCTACGGTGAAAAAGTAAAATATCTTCCCATAAAAACGAGACAGAAGGATTCTGAGAGACAAGTTTGTGATGTGTGTACTCAGCTAACAGAGTGGAACCTTTCTTTTTACAGAGCAGCTTTGAAACTCTATTTTTGTGGATTCTGCAAATGGATATTTAGATTGCTTTAATGATATCGTTGGAAAAGGGAATATCGTCATACAAAATCTGGACAGAAGCTTTCTCAGAAACTTCTTTGTGATGTGTGTCCTCAACTAACAGAGTTGAACCTTTCTTTTGATGCAGCAGTTTGGAAACACTCTTTTTGTAGAAACTGTAAGTGGATATTTGGATAGGTCTAACGATATCGTTGGAAACGGGAATATCTTCATCTAAAGTATACACAGAAGCACTATTAGAAACTACTTGGTGATATCTGCATTCAAGTCACAGAGTTGAACATTCCCTTACTTTGAGCACGTTTGAAACACTCTTTTGGAAGAATCTGGAAGTGGACATTTGGAGCGCTTTGATGCCTTTGGTGAAAAGGAAACGTCTTCCAATAAAAGC